>NC_000002.12:196277496-196580527 GCF_000001405.40 Homo sapiens
GAGAAATAGGAACACTTTTACACTGTTGGTGGGACTGTAAATTAGCTCAACTATTGTGGAAGACAGTGTGGCGATTCCTCAGGGATCTAGAACTAGAAATACCATTTGACCCAGCCATCCCATTACTGGGTATATACCCAAAGGACTATAAATCATGCTGCTATAAAGACACATGCACACGTATGTTTACTGTGGCACTACTCACAATAGCAAAGACTTGGAACCAATCCAAATGTCCAACAATGATAGACTGGATTAAGAAAACGTGGCACATATATACACCATGGAATACTACGCAGCCATAAAAAATGATGAGTTCATGTCCTTTGTAGGGACATGGGTGAAGCTGGAAACCATCATTCTCAGCAAACTATCACAAGAACAAAAAACCAAACACCGCATATTCTCACTCATAGGTGGGAATTGAACAGTGAGAACACTTGGACACAGGAAGGGGAACATCACACACCGGGGCCTGTTATGGGGTGGGGGGAGGGGGGAGGGATAGCATTAGGAGATATACCTAATGTAAATGATGAGTTAATGGGTGCAGCACACCAACATGGCACATGTATACAAATGTAACAAACCTGCACATTGTGCACGTGTACCCTAGAACTTAAAGTATAATTAAAAAATATATATATATATATATAAAGAAATTCCACATTTAACCAAGTTATATTCATTTCTTCCTGTGAGGCTGAAAATGGGTGTGCAAATGGGCTTATCATCTTCCTGTCTCGAACATTTTAGTACATTATCAACACCCTCTCACCTTCCTCTGAGTCAAAAAATCTTAAATTTCGTCAGTTTTGCCTCATATATCCTACCTTTTTAAATTTGTGATTTAGGCTGTATGTATTTCCAGAGAAGCCCTGTCAACATTCGAAAGCTTTTCAGCCTCTAAATCAAACTCAAAAAAAAAAAAAAGAAAAAATGCTTTAAAAAAATCAGTCAAATTCCTCAAACCATCACATACTAGAAGCTTCTATCAACCAACAGGTCAGTCCCCAAAACGCATGACTCACCTCACCCGCACTGTGGCTGCGTTGCCTTGTCAGGTGTTGCCGATGAACCAGCGCACTTGTGGGTCTACTGCTCTGAAGTGGGAGCCGGGGATCAATGAAAGTGGTGGTGCGGGAGTTGTGGTCCACAAAGAATGCCTAGGATACAATACACTGAGTCAAATACATGCCGCTCACATGTCTTAGCTGACTTATAACATCAGACGGTCAGGAAAAGACTCACTTCTGAGTCACAATCTTAGCTCTATTTTCTCATAATTTTCAATCTTTGGGGAAATTTCTCCTTACCCACACAGGACAGATCAGATTAGAGAAAGCCAAGCTTAGATGAGATCCAGAACGAAGAGAGCAGGAAGGAACATTATGCCTGGTTTTAGGAAATGCTCCACGAGATAGTCACCAAAGACATGATCCAAGAAGGAAGCCAGAAGAATGGACATTTAGGCTTCTCTTAACTGATGGTCTTTGAGCTCTTACTGTCATATGTGGTTATTATAAAGTTCTTACCACCTTGAAACTTAAAAAAAAAAATTTTTTTTTTTGAGACGGAGTCTCGCTCTGTCACCCAGGCTGGAGTGCAGTGGCGCGATCTCAGCTCACTGCAAGCTCCACCTCCCAGGTTCATGCCATTCTCCTGCCTCAGCCTCCCGAGTAGCTGGGACTACAGGCGCCCACCACCACGCCCGGCTAATTTTTTGTGTATTTAGTAGAGACGGGGTTTCACTGTGTTAGCCAGGATAGTCTCAATCTCCTGACCTCGTGATCTGCCTGCCTTGGCCTCCCAAAGTGCTGGGATTACAGGCGTGAGCCACCGCGCCTGGCCGAAACTTTTAAACATCATTGACTTCTCTTCTTTCTTCCTTCTCCTATACAGTAAGCCACAAAATCCTTCTCATTTTCTCACTGTAGTGTCCTCTATTTGTCCCCTCCCAGCCTGAACACCACCCCATTATTTTGGGACTTTATTTTATGTGTGTAAGTGCTGGTGGCTTCTCAGCTGCTCCACATCTCTATCACCATAGTCATTTAACTGGCCCGTTACTATAAGAATATTCTTTCTAAACACTTCAATTACATCACCACCCCAATACAAAGCTTCTCATGGCTATCCATTGTCCACAGAAAAGACATTCCCACTCTTTGGTCAGTTTTTCATTACTCTTTAACAGTCTGCCTACATGCCTTTCCAGTTTAGTCGCCCATTACACACCCATACAAACTCATCACATACCGTCTAGAACTTTGGGTAAGTCACTTAAGTTCTCTGAGCTATATGTTTCTTACAAAAACATGTCTCCTTCATTCCTGACATTTCTCCCCCATAATGTGTTAGAAGAATGGAAGCCATGTCTGTCATGATCACTGCAGAATCTCTGATAACATGAAATCATGAATGAGCATAAACCATTTACCTCAGCATTGCAGTAAGATGGACTACAATGTAGCAAAGCATTTTTTGGTCTGTTTGTTTAATTCTAAAACTATACAAGTGCTATCTATCATTATCCTTAGGGGCCCAATGTTGTAAGTTTTCAAAGTAAAATTGACTCAAGGTAATAATGAAACCCATTATCTTAAGTACAATTAGAAATTGTAAGTTTTCCATGATCAGATAGTTAATTAGGTCATCAAAGATGAAAGAGGCTATTAGGAGAGCCAGGAGACTCAGTACCTATAAACCAAGTATCAAGGCACATGATGTATGCCAAATAACAGGCAAAAAAGAACTGACCTTTCAAACCAATGGAGCTCAGTTAACAAAGTACCTTAACACCTAGAGATGAAGGTATCTAGGCAAATGCCAGAGGCAGATAGTATATTTATGCCTATTTAGAAACCTATTTTCCCATTATGGAACAGAATGTTTCATATGGAACTCTATGTACATCATCAAGAAATGGGGCAGGTCCCATATAGAAAACATTTTTACATCTTTATAAAGAAATAACTTTAAGCAATGGATGTACCAGAAAACAAAGCAGAAAAATGGACAGAACAGGAATCTTTCCCAGTCCTTTCTCTTACTATCCAATTCTGGGTACAAAAAAATAAAGGTTTTGTGTGAGATTTTGTCATCAGCCTCACATCCTGGGTAATGTTTCCTCTTCACTAACCTTGAGTGAAACATCCTTCTTCTCAGGTCTTGTAAAAAGTACTCCAGTGATAAAACCTGTGTGGACTTGCATTGACAGGTTCTGACCCCAAATGTCACATTGGTCCCATTTGGTTTGTGCTTCTAATACAATTGTCCACTATTTCTGCCACTACTCAAAATGTCATAAAATAGCAATTAAACTATTTTGCACCAATGGATGTGGCTAATACCTATTTTTAAATAATACATATTAGAACCAAACCCATATCCTCTGTATGTAAATGGAGAGTAACAAGCTTTTATTACTAACACAATCCTATTAACCATCTTGTTTAAGGGAAAAATACAAAGAGCATAAATTAGAATGGCCTATTTACCTAATTTCTTAGGAATGTTTTGAAGGGATGGGTGGTCATTAACGGTACAATGATGCACTTGTAATTATAAAGACAAATGGGTGTCTACATGTAGGTCAACTATGATTTGTATGTAGTGTCATAGCCTAATGTGATGTTAAGAGGCTTGTCTAAAATCCATTCTCAAAAGAACTATACTGCAAAAGCCTTGCAGTAGTGACTGTATCTTAGTCACTCTGTTATCCCCAATAGCTTTTAGGGCTGTGCCTGGGAGAAAGGGTGCTCAGATAAAAACAAATTGGCAAAAACTTGAATTTCCAACCAAAATACAAGGAGACAACTAACAATTAACTAACCAAGTGCTAAAAAGCATGTTCTTGGGCCAGGCGCGATGGCTCACACCTGTAATCCCAGCACTTTGGAAGGCTGAGGTAGGTGGATCGCTTGAGCTCAGAAGTTCAAGGCCAGCCTGGGCAACATGGCAAAACCCTGTCTCTACAAAATATTCAAAAATTATCCGGGCATGTGGTGGCAGACACCTGTAGTCCCAGCTACTTGGGAGGCTGAAGTGAGAGGATCATTTGAGCCTGGGAGGTGGTGATTGCAGTGAGCCAAGATTGCACCACTGCACTCCAGCCTGGGTAGGTGACAGAGTGAGACCCCGTCTCAAAAAAAAAAAAAAAAAAAAAAAAAAGCGTGTTCTTTTACCGAAATACTTAAGATTTGGGGGAAAAAAATGAGGGAAGCTAAAGACCCTAAAACCACAAACAGAAGATTTTAAAAATCCCATTGTAAATGTACCAGTTTAAAAATTGAGAAGTGGGAGGCAACATAATGATTAAATGCTTTGAATTTGGAAAAAGACAAGCCTGGTTCTGAGCTCTAGTTTGCTACTCACTAGCAATGTCACCTTGGGCAAATTAGTTAAAATTTTTAAACCTCAGTTTCTTTTCCTGTTAAATGGGGATCATAACTACATTAAAGGAAGGTTAACTGAGATAGTTCATATGAATTTTTGAGCATGCTGCCTGTGACACGTCAAATATGAGGTCCTATTATTTTCACAAATAATAGTTTTCTTTTCTGAAACAGTTTCCTAAGGATCACAGTGTTTCTTGCTAAAGCCCATACACAAGGCTCAAAAAAAGGAGGACCAGTGAAAACTGTGTTTGTTAACAGGCTCCTTGTAAGTATGTGTGGCCGAGACTAAGTTCTGACCAGTAAGATGTAAAACATAGTACTTCTGGGAAATCTGATAAGGGACAGATGATCCTTCGTTCTGTCCTTCACCCATCCTACCCTCTGAAACACAAATTTAATAGTGGAGCTCCAGTAGCCATACTGAACCATGGTGATTGTTGAGGAAAAGAGTCAAACTCTGTAAAATATTTGAAGAGATTTATTCTGAGCCAAGCATGAGTGGCCAATGGCTTGTGACACAGCCCTCAAGAGATCCTGAGAATGTCTACCCAAGGTGGACTTGGTTTTATACATTTTAGAGAGGGCTAAGACACCAAAAACACATGCAAGATATATGTTAGTTCAGTCTGGAAAGGCGAGACAACTGGAAGCAGGGGTGGGGGCGGTTCTAGGTCATAGGGAGATTCAAAGATTTTCTGTTTGGCAATTGGTTATTATCTAAAGATCTGGAATCAATAGAAAGGAATGTCTGGGTTATGATAACGATTGTGGAGACCAAGGTTTTATCATGCAGATGAAGCCTCCAGGTAGCAGGCTTCAGAGAGAATAGACTGTAAATATTTCTTATCAGACTCAAAGGCTCTGTTCTATCAGTCTTAAGGTCTCTGTGTTGGTGTTAATGCTGGTCAGCTGCAAGGCATATCCAACCCCCCACTTTCCATCATGGCCTGAACTAGCTTTTTTAGGTTAACTTTGGAATGTCCTTGGCTGAGAGGAGGGGTCCATTCAGACGGTTGAGGGGTTTAGAATTTTATTTTTGGTTTACAAAATGAAGGATGGCTGAGCAAAAAGTTGGAAGGAGCGGCTAGGTGTGGTGGCTCACACCTGTAATCCCAGCACTTTGGGAGGCCAAGGCAGGCGGATCATGAGGTCAGGAGAGGGAGACCGTCCTGGCTAACATGATGAAACCTCGTCTCTACTAAAAATATACAAAAAGTTAGCTGGGCGTGGTGGCAGGCACCTGTAGTCCCAGCTACTCGGGAGGCTGAGGTAGGAGAATGGCGTGAACCCGGGAGGCAGAGGTTGCAGTCAGCAGAGATCACACCACTGCACTCCAGCCTGGGTGACAGAGCAAGACTCCATCTCAAAAAAAAAAAAAAAAAAAAAAAGTTGGAAGGAGATGGGGGCTCTTGCAACATGATGAACTCCCTGGTCAACCCTAGACTGCCTACCTCTCAACTTCTTTATGTGAGAGAATACACTTTTTTTTTTTTTTTTGAGATGGAGTCTTGCTCTGTTGCCCAGGCTGGAGTGCAGTGGCACAATCTTGGCTCCCTGCAACCTCTGCCTCCCAGGTTCAAGTGACTCTCCTGCCTCCACCTCCCAAGTAGCTGGAATTACAGGCACGCACCACCACGCTACCACACCTAATTTTTTGTATTTTTAATAGAGACGGGGTTTCATCACGTTGGCCAGGCTGGTGTTGAACTCCTGACCTCAGGTGATCCACCTGCTTTGGCCTCTCAAAGTGTCGGAATTACAGGCGTAAGCCACCATGCCTGGTGAGAATACAGTCTTGTATGTTAAAACGTATATGGGTTTTCCACTACAATACAGTCAAATCAAATCCCACTGGAAACAGTGAAGTTTCCACACTGCAGAGGAAAGACAGTCTCTCTAAAAGTAAAATCAGAAACCACCATTATATGTAGGGATTTTCCCTATTTGGTGAATAATGATATATCTATCATTCACCTTTAATACAGCCAGAATACAATTCCCAATTTAAGTGAAATGTACAGTTGGAACTTACCAAGCTGGGATTTGAACCCATGTTTCTGTCTGACCCCAAAGCCCAATGAGCAATATCTTTTTCCCCACCTCTCTGCTTTTCATACATCATCTCCTTTTTTCCATTCTGCTTTCTGCCTACCATCTTTTCCTTTTTATGTTCTTCCCACTCCCCTCACACCTTATATCATACTTTATTTTAGGAAAACATTTCATTATGTATTGAATGAGGCTGACGGTAACAGCCACTCACAGTGCTTGGCCTCACCAGTTTCAACACTGCAAAGTTTCAAGTGGAAAGACTGCTACTGATCCCAGACAGCATGCTCTACATACTGCGTCCAATTCTCATCGCTAATCTGTTGGAAGGATGGCCATGGGTGGAGAATAGGTCCTATTTGTATCCCACAAGGGGCTCTATTTCAGAGTCAAATGGAATGTGTATATTGTTTACACATGTTTTTTACATCTGCCAAGTACTTAGGGGAAAAGTCTCAATTAAGACCTCCATCAAAGCCACACAGCTAGGGCACTGACTGAATATAGCACTTCTAAGGAGCAATCCCTTGGTGTGAGTTTTGGCTCTGCTCTGGGCCCACTGTGTGACCTTGGACAGGTTTCCTTAGTGCTTTGCTTTATTCACATAAAGGAAATTACTCAGGTCACAGCTGAATTGTGAAAAATAGATTCTACTTTAAAATGAAGAGAAGAGCATGCAAAGTCCAAGCATGCCATTTCTATTTGTGACACACATATCAATTATGTCAGGAAAATGGATCACTTTCCCACAGGAAATGCTACCTAGTTCAAGCCAGCAATGAAGCTGACCTAGTACATTTGGATCACTTTATGTCACAGTTTTTGAATAGCCTGCAATTATTTATGTAAGTATCTATCACATATTAATAAATGCTGTCTAGAGTAGAGTATGTCGAGAATGCAGGCATGAAAAAAGAAAAATATGGAAAAATAGATCCTTTTCACATTGGCTACTAGCAAAGCAAATTTTGAACAATATTGATTCCCTAATGCTAAGTTTCATTAAGGAAATTCACTCAAGCTTTACAGTGCTGGGCCAACTAACAACTCAAAAACTGAAAGGAATGCAAATACACAAACTCGAATCTCATTTTTAAAAACATCTACCCTTTCACTGCTTCAGGGCATAGTCAGAGTCAGGAAATATGGGCTAGTTGGAGCCAAGTGGTATTTTAGTGAAGCCAAACAAAATACATTTCTTTCTTTACACAATTCTTTCTTTTTTCTTTTTTTAAAAAAACTTCTATTATTTTAAGAAAAGAAAAAGCCATCACTATTTATGAAGAAATACCAACCTCAGGCTCAACAAATCTAAGTTAAAGAAGTTTGAAATCGTTTCCAGTTACTATTTTGCCACTAAGGAATACATATTAAAAGGCTATATAAACAAAATAAAACAAAAAGTGCTTGTAACTATGCTACAGAACGCTACAGAAAGACAGAACATCCGATCTTCCATTTTTCTTTCTGTAAAGAGTTATGTAAACAGTGAAAGGACAATAATTGATAAGCCAGAAGCACTATGTATTGTATCTGCTGTAAATTCTGGTGTCTTAGCCTACAAAGTCTTGGAAGTGCTCAAAAAAAGGCTCATTGTAATCTACTTTCATTTTTTAAAGATTGTATTTACTTACCCATTCTCTTCCTTCCAAATTATAACTCTCTTCTCAGCTCCTGGCTCCTTCCCCCAAGATTCCCCCAGTTATAAGGAATAAACATGCTATTATTTTCTTTATGTCTTAGACAGACTCTTTGTCACAAATAGTGGAGATGAAAAGGGCTGAATGATACAGTTTATCCTCAGTAAAAAAATCGTCATGCTAACTTGGTTCTTTTGAAGGAATCAGTAGTCCCAATTATTTCATGACATCTGTATCAGTCACAAAAAAGCTTATAGAAAAGTATTACGTTTAACTGCTATGACTGCAGCTCTAAAGGTGCTAGGAGAGGAAACAGGGATTTGTGGTACTTGGGCCAGAGTCCCAAAAACAGTCGGTTAGTAGATGTGGACAAGCACAATATAAGTACAACACTTTGATGTAAAATGTTAGCTAAGGGAGTGGTATTTTATATGTTGGGAGTGACAGTATTTAGGCGTTCAACCTGTAAGAGGGGAGCCAGTGTTATGTTGGAGATGGCTTGTACCAGCTTGTGAGAGCGGACTGTAATTTTAAGGAATTCTGTGAGCAGGTTGATGTGATGCTGACAGCATGTAATTGACCATGTTGGGAGAATTTACACCATCAAAACTGGCAAGTGCTACAAATCAGCCCTCCTCTCCACCTGCCACAGAGAGCTGATTGTTCAACATTTCCCAACTTACAGCTGTGGAAGAGTGGGAATAAAGTTATCCAAATTACCACATTTTAGGTGGAGTAGAAGTGCATTACCATGAAATGTTGAAATCATATATTCATATATATATATTTTAAGATGGAGGTCATATATATATATATTTAAATCCATGCAGGTCATAAAGACAACTGTTAAAAAAGAAAAGGCAAAGACCATCTCTGTACTTAGGCAATTCCTTCAAGATTCCATGAGTCTACTGTTTTACTCAGAAATTTATTCATAAAACCGATCTCTGCTCTATTTTCTCATTCAAAAAGGTACACAACCCCTAGACAGTTTATTTTTGCCATCTGCCTTCTATGTACACTTACGCATTAATTCTTTCTAACATATTTTTACCTTTTAAAATAGACAAGAAGTCCTTAAAAACCATGTGCTATCTATCATTTTATAGTTTAATTCCATCAACAGCTAGATTGCTGCATAACTTAAGGTAATTAAACCAGATACCCACCACAAGAGGTATCAGTTGTTTCTAAGCAATTAAAAATGTGTCACAAAAGTAACAAATGTGGTGGTCAAGTAGACAACATATTTTTCAAAATGTAGCACTTATCTTGCTAAGAGACTTTTGAAATTATAATAAGTTGTGGCCTCCAAATATTAAGTTGCACTTTACTCACTGAGATAAATAGGACTTGACCCAGTAAATAGTTGCCATCAGTTTCATGCAAGATTGAAACCAGGGTCTGGGTCATTACTGAAACAACTGTAGCCACACAGGCTATTAGGGTCTGGTAAAATGAGAATTCTCAAATAGGCTCAGCCTGTGGTACTTTCTACCCTACAAATATTTGTTCTGTTCTAAAATCTGTCCTCATAACCATAACTGCTATTTGCTGTGGTTCTCAAAGATGAGTATTTGGACCATTCTGATACTTAAACTCCCAATCTGACACCCAAAGTCAAAACCTCTAGAGTTACAAAGCTTGGACATAGCAATGGAAGCCAATTTAGCTGGGAGATATTGTAACACATGATTTCTGTAAGGAAAAACACAACAAACTATGGGAAAGATATTTCACTTTAAATAAGAAGATGGTTCCCATTGTATATTTTTATTTTTTAAAATCTCATGACATTTATGATATGTCACTTATAAAGTTCAAAGTTTCTTCGCATCTTGATTTAGGCCCAAAGAGAATAATCTGGGGGAAAAAACCCTGGGTTAATATTGTTTGAGAGTCTAAAGCAAAGAGGCAGGGGGAAATAGTCCGTATTTAACATCTTAAAGGAAATTTTAAAAAAAGAGACTTTTTTTTCTAAAAATTAAATCAAATAATCCCATTATGTAAACTTGAGAAATAACAACTTTCACGGTTTTGTTTTCTCATTATCCAAGTCATCTTGTAGCATTCTCTCAGTTTGACTCTCTGCAGTACAGCATCCACTGATTTCATGTAATTCATATGTGTCTCTTGAAATTCACTCATTATTTCTTCACAGGAACCAGAAATACCCACCTGGTGCTTTCCTGTCTCTGTGCCTTTCCTTTGGGTGTTTTCCCCACCCCATTCCTATTTTCTCTCTCCTCCAAAATCTCTTTTAACCAAACTTCAACCCATCATTTAAGGCTCACCTCAAACACTGCTGTTACTATGAAAACTTTCCAGGTATCTCATGCCATAAATAAGTCATTCTACAGTGGACCCTTGCATAGCACATACCAGTGCTAAGGCACACATCCTTTTTTTTTTTTATCTTTTTTTTTTATTATACTTTAAGTTTTAGGGTACATGTGCACAACGTGCAGGTTTGTTACATATGTGTACAGGCACGCATTCTTTTATAATTCAAAGAAGAGGCATTTAGGGTAAAAGAGCAATGTCTAGGAAAGGGATGGTTAGTGGCTTTACCCAGGAAGTACATGATTTTGTGCCAATGTGTCGATCTGATTTCAGTTCCAGTTCTAAATTACTTGGCTTTCAAGGATGTTTCTAAAACCCTAGTTTCATGATCATGGCTGACGGAGAATACAACCACCAGAGCAGAATTCCACTGATACAGCAAGAGAACAAATCCACTCAGACACCACAGTATCAGAGCATGCATCATACAGAAACAGAGAACATTCCATGTCATTATACAGGTGTAAGGCAGGAGCAAACAGCCCAGGTCAGACTACCCTGCAGTGATCAAGAACAACATGGACAGCAAAGAACTGTAACACCAAAAAGAAACCCTGCTGTGAAAATGCCATTCTCTCAGACCACCATGGTTAAGGGAGACCAGCCGTTCCTTAAGAGGAGGAATAGGATGCTGACATGAATCCTACAGTATATCCCTTATAAGTCATCATGCATTTCCTATAAGAGTAAAGATTCATCAATTAACAAATCTGTATTATTTTCATGAAATGCCAAACTGATGAGATTTTTTGGTTACTATTCTATATAGATCCCTACTTCTACCTCTAAATTTCAGTAAATTATGAATGATAATAATACCTACCTTATAAATTATCAGGAGGCTCCCACAGCATCCTGCCAAGCCCTTGCTATCTTCATGATAATTGCTGAAGATATCCCTTCACCCTCCTTACTGGTGAGAGGCAGGAGAAGAGCACAGACTCTGGAGCTGGACTGCCTGGGTGCAAATCCAATTCCACCACTTACGAATTGTGGGACCTTGGTCAATTCACGTAATCATGCTGTGCCTCAGTTTCCTCTTCTATATAATGTGGATAAAAATAGCACCCATCTCCAGGCTGCTGTGAGCACTAAATGAACTAGTGTCTGGCCCAGGGGCAATGCTACATACTCCAGAATACTACACTAAGTGGTAAATTTTTATCATTGTTAGCACAATGGTACACACCTCAGAAGTGTTGCTGAATGACTAAATAAGTGAAAACACGAAAGGAAGATGTTACACTAGAGAAGAGGAGATGGAGGCAAATTTTAGCCTGAGAACATTTCTGTTAAGAACCATTTCCTTTCATGCAGATGAGGATATGGACATCCTGTTTCATATCAACTCTAGAAATCAGTCATCACTGTGGGAAAATAACTTCATAATAGTTAATAGCTTTGATGTTGCATTACACGAAAAATGTTTTCTCCCTTCAAATGTTCTAGAAGCACAGCAACTCATTTTTAAAAGGGTCAAGGCAGGCAGGGTGGCACGTGCCTATAGTTCCAGCTACTTGGGAGGCTGAAGTGGGAGGACTGCTTGAGCCCAGGAGTTCTGGACTACAGTGTGCTATGCCAATCAGGTGTCCACACTAAGTTCCCCAACAATATGGTGAACTCCGAGGAGTTGGAGATCACCAGGTTGCCTAAGGTAGGAGGAACCAGCCCAGGTTAGAAATGGCACAGGTTGAAACTCCCATGCTGATCAGTAGTGGGATCATATCTGTGAACAGCCACTGTACTCCAGCCTGGGCAACATAGCAAGATCCTGTCTCTTAAAATAAATATTATTAAATTCAATTAAAAGGGGCTAAAATTCCAGGGTTGACAGAAAACCTATTAGCTGCCTATTCATAAGACAGGAGACAGGACTCCTAACATGCAGCCCAAAGCAGAGTAGCCAAACAGAGACCGAGCACCAGCCTCCCTGAATGCTCCTTTAAGTTATTTTAATCTACTGGAAGCTGGTCACTTGGAAAGAAACTTACATGGGAGAATCGCATGGAGATAAATCTGCTTTAGTTAAGGTGTCCAGCTTAGCTAAAAATCTTATTAAAGTCTTAATGCATGACAGAGAGAGATCAGGCTAAAGTGATAAGCTTTTGGGTCTGCCTGTTAATCTGTCTTGTCCACAAGGCAGGGGTCCTTCAAATCTTTCACCCCAAACAGGATTCTAATGTAAAAGCCAGCAGCAGATTGTGAGGTCAGCTCTCTACCAGCCTACACTCAGGGTTCTCTACAATGCCAACTTCAAGTTGTAAGACCCAGATTAGTAAAAACATCCCCAGAAAATAGGATGTTTTGTATAGTCATGTTATGAACATGGTTGAGATAATGTTTACTCCTGTTTAACCACCAAAACTTTTATAAAAGCTATGAGACAGAACTTGTTCTTAAGAATACATTACAACTCTTCTTCAATAGTATCCTATATGTAATTGAAACTTTTTTCAAGGTTCAGGGGTTAGTAAAAGAACCTCTCTCCTAAAGTGTGTCTGGCAAGTTATGACTGGCAAGAAGGGACCAACCCCTGCCTTAACAAGTTAAATCTCAACACAGAGCAGAAACAGATGCAGCATTATCCATTATCTTAACTTGGGTTTTCCCTGGACCTCTGATTCTCTAATGAACACAGCTCCTCATTCATGATTCCAGGTAAAATCTTGTCAGAGCTGAAAACAGATGAACTCTTGGTGGGCTACTACTCTTTTATACCCAGGTATAATACTACCAGTATTTTTCAAAGTCCTTACTTGGACCATCTGTGCCCTTCCATCCAATGGAATATTTACAGGCACTGGGCTCTCAGGCTGTTGAACCAAATATAGTACCAGCAAAGCCATATCTTCCCCTGGTGTCCCTGCTTCCAGCTCAGTGTTCTGGAAAGGCTTCTCTGTCACGCCCATCTGACTCTAATTCAGTGTCATTTTACCTGTGGTCCAGGGACATAATCACAAGCCCAATTCTCTTTCATCTCTCCTAAACTTCATGCTTGCCACTTCTAATCTTCTCTTGGCTGGGAATTAGAGGTTTATTAAAAACACTTGCAGAAATCAAGTCAGTAGTTTCAATGAGAGTTTAAGGGCTTCTCCCATGCATTAAAATACATGCATTTTGTAACAACCATTTTGACTACTCATAGATTCTCAGGTAATATTGCTGGAAGCTGAGTTCAGGATAAGTAAGAGGCTATTGTGGTAAAGTTCCCTCTGCTAGAGGGAACTTTGGGGGGTAAATGGCATTTACTGAGTACTTTACGTGTTCCATTTGCCTTGAATGTTGATATACTTTACTCCTTACTTCTTTCAGGTATCTGCTCACCTATGGCCTTATCTGTGACATCCTCCCCAACCACCCTCTATGAAATAACATTCTCCATTCCTGTCTTTCACTAGACCTCATTTGTTGCGTTATTTTTCATCATAGCATTAATCAGCTCTTGGCCTACAAAGAATAGTATGTTTATTTATTTGTCTATTGCCTGTCTCTGAGACATGAATGCTGCATTCATGAGAATGACAGTTCTACAAAGTAGTTGGCTTACCTGTTTTGCTTAGGCGCTCAACAAATATTTGTTGAACAAACACTCCAAGGGTTGTTAAATACTTTAAATATGTCATTTTAATTTTCCCTACCCTTCAAGTCACATATTCCCAGACTTTTTATAGACAGAGAAACTGAGGTTGGTTACTCAATACTTGCAGAGCATAATGTCATGGTTAAGAGCATGGTTCCTGGAACCAGCCTGGCTGGCCTACAGCGTGGCTCAGCCACTGCCTGTCTCTGTGATGTCAGGCAAGTCACTGAACCATTCTGCACATGGAGCTGCTTATCTGTACATGGCAATAATAATAGTACTGCTTTATCAAAGTTGTGGTGAGGACCTTAAGAGCTTAAACAGTTCATGGCTCATAGTAGGTACTACATAAGAGTTAAATAAAAATTAAATCTTAGCTGAGGGTCACCTTATAACAAGCACTAATTTTCTCATTCTGATTTCTTACTCATAGAATGACTTCCTGATTGTAACCAGGCTTTCTGGTTCATCCACCTACAGAGGAAGTACGGATGTAGCTATTCTGGCCTGTGTTGCACAGTTACATATTTCTTGTCATAAATTAATCAATCAGTGAGTTTTGGTTAATGTGCTAACAAAATCACAGTTCTGAACCAGTAAGACTGAAGCCCAAGCCCAGACAGTGTCACAAAGACACACCTCATGTAGTTGCTTGCTTAGTGACCTCCTAGCCACCTTCTCCAAATAATACCACAACTTTTTATTCAAATACCTACAACACAAGCTGTATCACTAGGGATAAGGAAGCACTGCCTGAGAACCCTTTTCTCTAATCAGCAGAGCATAGAGAGAGATGACAGGTAGGAGAGTTTCCAGGGAGAAGTGAATGCTTTGCCAGCGTCACAGCCCTCCCTCCGCTCCCTCCACGACTTCAGAATGGCACAGTCACTGTTTGTGGTCACAAACAACCTGCTGTCCAGGTTTCACTTGAACAGAAGGTGGAATGTTTCACCTCACAAAGAGCCTTGGCCCTCACTTGAAGGGTAGGGCCAAGTGTCGAAGCCACAAGCAGCCCACAGGCATTTGGCACTCCCTGAGGCATCTCCCTCGTGTTACCTTGCCCTGGTGATCATGTTTCATTTCCCATCCCCGCGGCAGCTCTAGCTGTTTGTTCGCGAACATGTTGAGGAATCCCACAAGGTCGCGGTTATGCTGGTAGCGTTCAAAGTGGTGGGTGTCCCTCCGGACTTTGGTGATCATGTGCTTCAAACACGTGTTGTTTGTAAACATGCGGTAGGCACTCTAAAGAAAAGAATGGAGAACCAATGTTAACCCACTTGTGACATGCAGAAGCACCAGAAATACTACACATGGGTATGGCTAATCTTCCAATAAGTAATGAAATGCATATATAAGCTTTGACAGAACTCTAGACCCATGTATGGAAACAGCAGACAGAGCAAAATATCTTGAACAAAATGAAACATAAAGACTACAGAAGGTAAGGCAGTATCCACAGCTGGTGTCTAGTTCTCTTTTTTTAACTTTTATTTGTATTTGAAGTTCTGGGGTACATGTGCAAGAAGAGCACGTTTGTTAAATAGGTAAACGTGTGCCATGGTGGTTTGCTGTACCTATCAACCCATCACCCAGGTATTAAGCCCAGCACGCATTAGCTATTTTTCCCTAATTCTCTCCCTCCCCCAGTCCTACTCTGAAACAGGCCCCAGTGTGTGTTGTTCCCCTCTCTGTGTCCATGTGTTGTCATTTTTCAGCTCCCACTTATAAGTGAGAACATGTGGTGTTTGGTTTTCTGTTCCTGTGTTAGTTTGCTGAGGATAATGGCTTCCAGTTCCATCCACGTTCCTGCAAAGGACATTATCTCATTCCTTTTCGTGGCTGCATAGCATTCCATGGTATATATATGCTACATTTTCTTTATCCAGTCTATCATTGATGGATATTTGGGTTGATTCCATGTCTTTGCTATTGTGAATGATGCTGCAATGAACATATATGTGCAGGTATCTTTGTAATAGAATGATTTATATTCCTTTGGGTAAATACCTAGTAATGGGATTGCTGGGTCAAATGGTATTTCTGGTTCTAGATCTTTGAGGAATCTCCACACTGTTTTCCACAATGGTTGAACTAATTTACTAAAGAACAAACATGTTGTGGAGTCTCACTGCACATGGGCCATTAAATCCTGAAGCTGGTTTTAGGAAAGAAACACACAGTCAAAATTATACCACACTGGCGATGAATATGCCACCTTACAGAGAGCCCTGACATAGCCAGTTTCTCCCCCAGTATTGGACTAGGTTATTGGCTCTCTGAGTGAGTGCCAGATGACACAACTAGTATACACTTAAGGGCCAAGTTGCATGGAAAAATGCTTGCCATACATTTCTATACTAGAAGGACATGCAATGGAATGAGTTGCTCTCACTGACCATCACACTCAACTGAGATCACAATAGACTGAGGTTTTAGAATCTCACCCTTCATAGAGGCATATAAGCTTGGTGAATGGAATAGCAGGCTGAGGTGCCTGGGCTGTACATCTCATTCTTTTTTCTTTTTTTCTCTTTTTCCCTGTGTATATTTGGTTGGATGTATATGAATGAAATGCAAGTTTAAAAAAACTCCACTATACCACCACACAGAAAAGTGATTGTTTTGTCCAAAACCTTACAGTCTTCATTTCTATGATATTTAAAGAAGATTCCACAAACTGACTATGTCATGATTGTCCACATATGAGTCAGTCAATAAATATTTATTGCATAATACCATGCACAAAACAGCAGAAGAGGAATAACTGTATGGCAGCTGTTTCCTTGAATCATCAGAGGGAATATGATATTCATGAAACTGACCAGGCCGTGAATGATCATCCTGGAACTCTATTCTTCTCAGACTGATTCAAAGGGCTTTGGATTCGTTTTATCTTTAGTGTCTCAGGGACACTAGACTGAGTCTGGACCTCTTCCAGCTTTATGGGTTCTGTTATCTATTTTAGTCTAAATCGTATGGGTTCTGTTATCTATTTTAGTCTAAACTTTATGGGTTGTTATCTATTTTAGTCTAAGACAGCCCAAGGCAAACCCCAAGGACTCTAGAGTCTCTGGAAATGATTTCATTTTAATAAACATTTATTGTCTTTGCTGTACCCAGTACTGTGTTCGTTATTAGGGATCAAAGAAGAATGAGTGTGAAGACAGTCAACATTGCTCCAGTCTTTCTAGGATCCCTCAAGATGTGTCATGTCCAGGTCAAAGCATTTATTGCTGATGTGAGTCCCTCTAGAGCTTTCTTCCCTTTGACACAGCAAGTGGCAATGTTTGAACAGGGATGCTCCCCAGCCTGGCTCTCTGGGTCCCTGAGTGACCACAGGGACCCTGATAACCTGACTTGGAATGAGAAGTAATCCTTTGTTAGCTTAAGCCACTGAGATTTGTTGGTCATTATTATTGAAGTATAACCTAAATTATTCTGATTGATTTACCGTCATTAAATACTTGTTCCCTATCAAAACAAATTAAAGGAAAGAAGAAAGGAAGGGAGGAGGAAGGGAAGAAGAAAGAAGACCACAATGAACCATCCTTGAACCTTAATTCCTCAGTACACTTGAGTATAAAATACTTTTGAGTCATATTTCAACCGACAGGCTAAATAAGAGGAGGTTTTGATGGCTGTGAGCAGTTGTGTGGTTCAGAGCAGAGAGTACTGTCAATGCAGGCAGGCCTATGCATGGGCTCTGGGCAATTAGAGAGCATGAGAGGATAGGAAAGTGATACCATGAAAGCAGAGAAGGAAATAACAGAAGTTGGGCAGTGTCAGAAAAAACCTAACTTCAGCTAAGTAACAGTTTTGGCTCTATTGGCTGACTCTGCTTTGAGTTTTAAATACAATCAGCAAGGCAACTGTTTTCTGCATTTGGCTCAGTGTTGCTGATATATTTTCACATAAGTCATTGCAAGTTAGAGTCCTGAGACCACACTAGTTTGTGTAGGGATCATAATGAGCTTTCAGGTCTTACTACCTAAGAGTAAAACAAATATTAAGTCTCTTCAGGGACAAATTATTTGGGGGATAATTCTGTCGGATAAATCATTACATTACCCATTGTTCTAAATAGGTATACCTCTTTATCGCCTTCACTGCTCCCTCTTCTCACTAAAATAACTAAATAGGCCACATTCTGATTTCTTATCTAGAGCACCAGAAATGCTCCTCACTTTGTTAAAAAAGAACTTCATTAGGGCAAGAAGCAGTGGCAATTAAGTTAAGAAACTCATCCCAGCCTCAGACCTGAAGTAATTCCCTGGGGCTGAATAGCTCTTTAAGCACAGAAATCTTAAGGCTGGTCTTATAATTAATTATGTCATTTCATCTTCCTCCTCTCCACTCAATGAAACATGTAGTATGGTGCCAAACACATCTGATCTTGCAAAGAGCATCTACCAAAGTAATTCAATGCAGGAGATTTCTCTCAGTAACTAGTAAACAATCTTTAGATCCACAGCCTTTTCAAGTCTGAATAGTAAGTACATGACTGTTAGGGTCTATACAAAACTCTTAAGCCAAACAGGAACATACTTCTAGACTGCTATGTTTCTATAAAAAAAACTATGTTTGAATAACTTCATATGTTTATGCAAAAACTGTGTGTGTATAGATATGTATATATAGTTTATGTGTGTGTATATATATATGTAATTTATATATCTATAGTTTGGGAAGGATATTTATACTCCACTTCATATAGAACTACAGTGCAGATTCTAGTCTCAGCTCTGTCACTCATAGAGACAAAGAAAACTACTTAATCTCTGTCTCAATTTGCTTAACTGTAATATGGGATAATAATAACTCCCTTGCTTTCTCCATAGGCACGTGAGATTCAAATCCAGTGGGACAAAGGATGGTAAAGTAATTTGAAAAGGTCAAAATCACTTTAAGAATACAGGCTATAAGTAAGTAAAAATATATAGGGGATTACATCTATCATACCTGTGTTATAACAGATAAAGAAAGTGGCAAAATTGTTCACCACTTTTAGTCTTTGAAGATCCTGGCCCAGCATCCCACATTCTATAAACTGAACAAGGGTCTCCTAAGCTTCATTAATTATGTGCTAAGCCATGTGCTAAGCCCTGTGCTAAACCCTGAGGATACAGAGATGAGCAAGGCCTGATCATTCAAAAGGATGAAGAAGGAGAATTATAGGGGGAGGTGGAAGGAAGAGATTCACCAGAGGCAGAAAGAGTTGGAAAAACAAAGGCCACGACAGTCGTGAAAATACTGAAACACACGGACAGAATGAACAGAGGTAAGAATGGGAGCAGTCCAAAGAGCCAAAAACACTAAACAGATAGGATTAGGTTGACAGAGTTTAGTCTTCATGAAGCTGATATTAACAAAGCTGTGGGTTAAGAGAAAATATTTTCCTTTGTTCTCCTGGGGTTTAGTGGTTCTAACTAGGTAAGGATCCTTTTCTATGTTTGTTTGTTTGCTTGCTTATCTTACAGAAAAAGATGCAGTAAATGAATCTGATATTTTACTTGAAACAAAAGTAGGTTAGAGGAGAGCCCATGATACCTATTTCATAACATAGTCTCATGATAATGAACAGAATTCACCTGGGAAGCCACTGCACGTGGACTCGAGTAGTTAAGAGGAATTGGTAATTGTTAATAGTAGACAAAGCCCCTTTAAATGATCTCTAAAGGAAACAACACTTTGTTTTCCTTTGACATAATTTAACTATTCTTTTTAGTTATTCCTTCTCAATTCCAAAAATCCCTGTTCCAACTTCCCTCCTGGTTGTTTCTCATCGTCCTAGCAAGAAATAAGCACTTGATGGTTGAGTGAATGATCAACTGAATTTCTTGAGTGGAGTTTTGTTAAATAACACTCCTTAGAACTTAAATGTGTTTTTGTTTGGTTACATGTTTGTTTGAGGTTGTAGAAGTAAATGTCATTGCCATTTGGCAGCAGAATAAGAAAATTACATGCAAATACTTAGTTCTTGTCAACCACAATGGAAATAATAATCAATCCCCTCTCCTTTTTTTGCAGGTTTTCCTTAGTGTTATGATGACCAAATGTCCTAGATTACCTGGCCCAGTCCTAATTTCACCTAATTCTGTTGTTTTCAAAACATAGTTAAGTACATTACTGATAAATAAAGTCTTTCTTTCATATTTCAGAAAGCCTTCATCAAGAATAGGCATTCTGAATTCAGGTTTGGAAAAGCACGTCACCAAATCTATAGCAAACATCTCTCATATTCACAAGGGAGCAGATTTGAGCACTTGTATACATTATTCACTAAACAAAATTTAATATATACAAAATCAAGAAATGTTTGCATAATATGTATGCAGAGATATCAAAACAGTCCTGTTTTATACAGTCTGTCTTCATAATATTTTTAATTTTACAGGATTTACATTGTTCTCATCTAGCTAGAGTAAAATGGAAGGGAATTTTCACATTAACAAAACTATCTACAAATGATCAATTCATCTATTTTGCAATAGCAGGAATTCCCAAGTTTTAAGAATATACGTATGGATTTTGGAACAGTATTTTTCTTCATTAAGTACTAAGAAACTTAAACGCTAGAATTAATGTATTTTTAGAGCTCATTAAAAGCCACAGTAGTAATTATTTGGCACGTATGTTGGAAAATTATTCAGTTGAATATAATGAAATATATTTATGTATGACATTAATTAGACAAATATAGGCACATCAGCTATAAAAGACATGGCACTAATAACTAAATCTTGAATTAACAAGAGAAATCGTTTGTCAGGACAATTTTGAAAGAAATCTGATCACAACCATTAGAGGGCAGTAGAATAATTCCTAAAGCAACCACAATGCAAAAAAAGAAAGAAAAAACCCACAAAATTTTCTTTCTCAAGTTTTACTTTAGTGTTATGACAACCATATATCTATTTAACACTTTTCTTTCCAGTAAGGATTACTAGGTATTACAACTACACGTAATCTATTTTTCTTTTTTTTTACATTTATTATTTTTTTCTTATACTTTAAGTTCTCGGGTACATGTGCACAACGTGCAGGTTTGTTACATATGTATACATGTGCCATGTTGGTGTGCTGCACCCATTAACTCGTCATTTACATTAGGTATATCTCCTAATGCTATCCCTCCCCACTCCGCCTACCCCATGACAGGCCCCGGTGTGTGATGTTCCCCTTCCTGTGTCCAAGTGTTCTTCTCATTGTTCAATTCCCACCTATTTTTCATGACTTTCTTTCAACATAAACTGATACCTTCAAGTCATAAAAAAATAGTTAGGAAAATTATTAAATACATTCCTTTTGCATATTGAACATTTTCAATAATACGAACAGGGAAGTAACTGAAAGAGGTATAGATCATAAACAATTCTAGCAAAAAACCCTAGACAATAAATCTTAAAATACAGAAATCAAATAAAAGTTTATTTTATAACATTTTCTGTTAATCTAGGAAAAAAGAAAACATTCCAGCAAGTAATGCCCTTTAGAAAAAATTGTCTGAGTTATCTCCATTAATTCATACCTTGAGACTTCTAGCAAGACAAATTCAGCTACTTCAATATTTGCCATATATAAGTCAGGAAAATAATACTTCCTAAACCCACAGAATTTAAGTCTTACAGAAATGTATAAATGTACAGCATGGATCATCTTTTTAGCTAATATAAATGCAGTTCATAAGAGGAAGAAAAAAATTAAAATGCTTTAGAAAGAATACTTTGAAATCAAGATAGACTATCCAGCAAAATAAATTCTAAAATCATGCCCAACTAAAGAAAAAGGAAACACGATAAAAACACGAAAACAAAATAAGTTAAAAAAAAAAAAAGCCTGTAAGCTGCTTAGTATTTTCATACTGTTAAAACATGTTAGTTGTCAAAAGTCCAGGAGAGTTATAGTTGTAACAAACACGGTAAGGACATTTAATGCAAAATCTCTTTATCCTAGGAGTTCCCAGACTACAGGCCACAGTTGTATCAGAATCACTTAAGGGGCCTAAAACAAAACAAAGCAAAATAAAAACAGACTGCTGGGACCCACTCCAGACCTACTGAACCAGAATCTCTAAGATCTGGGTACCAAGAATATGCATTTTATTTTTTAAAGTCACCAAGTTTAAAAACCACAGCCTTGGGCCTGGCGCAGTGGCTCACGCCTGTAATCCCAGCACTTTGGGAGGCCGAGGTCGGCGGATCATGAGGTCAGGAGATCGAGACCATCCTGGCTAACATGGTGAAACCCCGTCTCTACTAAAAATACAAAAAATTAGCCGGGCGTGGTGGCGGGCATCTTTGGTCCCAGCTACCCGGGAGGCTGAGGCAGGAGAATGGCGTGAACCCAGGAGGTGGAGCTTGCAGTGAGCCGAGATGGCGCCACTGCACTCCAGCCTGGGCGACAGAGCGAAACTCTGTCTCAAAAAAAAAAAAAAATTCCCGCAGCCTTATACCACAACTCAGTGACTATTTATCCAGTCTCTACTTGAAACAATGCAGCGATGAGGAACTTGTATGAAGACGGCAGCCCAAAGAGAGAAGTTAGAACTCTGTGCTTCATGATGTCATTGGTGGTTTGACATTGGCCATAGTGGGCGTATTAACACTACAGAAATCAGGAAATGCAATATCAGGGCTTGATTTATTGTTCTGTAGGCTGTCTAGACTGGGGTGGGCAATCTACAGGCCCAATGGCTAGCTGTCTGTGTTTGTAAACAAAGCTTCATTGGAACTCAGCCAGGGCCATTTGCTTACATGTTGTCTTTGGGCCAAAACCCTAAAATATTTACTCTCTGGCCCTTTATAGGAAAAGTTTACTGCCTTTTTCTTTACTTAAGGTCCAGACTTAAGAAATTAATGGAGAAAATTAGAATGCAGATGAAACTTCAAATTGTGCTGTTACATTGCAAATAGCACAAACACACATAACATGAAGAAATGTAAGTCTAATATTCAAAAACTATTGACAAAGGAATATGAAACTCCAACATGTCTCCCTTTTACACTGTTGTCTTTACTTGTTAATGCAAATGAAAATATTCTTGTTGGAATTATACTTGTTCTTCAATTACCACTGTAGGTAGCAAAAATCAACAAAAGCATTCAGTGTCTCTTTTACTATTATTTGTAAATTATAAGTCAGGAAGTGTGATGCCTCCATCTATACATATATATCTATATCTATATCTATACACATATATACATATATCTCACATGCATATATTTATACACAGACATATATGTGTGTGTATAAACACAGCCTACATACACACAAATATACACACACTTTTTTCTCCAGAAAGCCAGTGGTTAAACATATACTAGAAAACTCATGAACACTACCATGCAATCAGTTGCTCTTTTTTTTTCTTCATCTTTTAAGTTCAGGGGTATGTGTGCAGGTTGTGCAGGTTTGTTACATAGACAAATGTGTGCCATGGTGGTTTGCTGCACAGATCATCCTATCACCTAGGTATTAGGCCCAGCATCCATTAACTATTATCCCTGATGCTCGCCCTCTCCCTACCCCACCCCCGACAGGCACCAGTGTGTGTTGTTCCCCGCCAGTGTCCATGGGTTCTCATCATTCAGCTCCCACTTACAAGTGAGAACATGTGGTGTTTGGTTTTCTGTTTGTGTTTTAGTTTGCTGAGAATAATAGCTTCCAACTCCATCCATGCCTCTGGAAAGGACATGATTGCATTCCTTTTTATGACTGCACAGTATTCCATGGTATATATGTACCACATTTTCTTTATCCAGTCTATCATTGATGGGCATTTGGGTTGATTCCATGTCTTTGATATTGTGAATAGTGCCGCAATGAACATACATGTTCACGTATCTTTATAATAGAATGATTTATATTCCTTTAGTTATATAACCAGTGATGGGATTGCTGGGTCAAGTGGTATTTCTGGTTCTAGATCTTTAGGGAATCGCCACACTGTCTTTCACAATGGTTGAACTAATTTACACTCCCACCGAAAGTGCAGAAGCATTTCTTTATCTCTGTAACTTCGCCAGCATCTGTTGTGTTCTTACTTTTTCATAATGGCCATTCTGACTGGCATGAGATGACATCTCATTGTGGTTTTGATTTGCATTTCTATAATGACCAGTAATGTTGAGCTTTTTTTCATGTGTTTGTAGGCCACGTGTATGTCTTCTTTTGAGAAATGTCTATTCATATCCTCTGCCCACTTTTTAATGGGATTGTTTTTTTTTTTTTTTTCTTGTAGATGTGTTTAAGTTCTTTGTAGACTCTGGACATTAGACCTTTGTCACATGGACAGACTACAAAAATTTTCTCCCATTCTGTAGGTTGTCTGTTCACTCTGATGATAGTTTCTTTTGCTGTGTAGAAGCTCTTTAGTTTAATTAGATCCCATGTGTCAGTTTTTGCTTTTGTTGCAATTGCTTTTGGTACTTTTGTCATGAAATCTTTGCTTGTGCCTATGTCCTGAATAGTATTGCCTAGATTTTTTTGTAGGGTTTTTATAGCTTTCAGCTTTACATTGAAGTCTTTAGTCCATCTTGAGTTAATTTTTGTATATAATGTAAGGAAAGGGTCCAGTTTCAATTTTCTGCATATGGCTAGCCAGTTCTCCCACCACCACTTATTAAATAGGGAATCAATCCTTTCCCCAATGCCTGTTTTTGTCAGGTTTGCTGAAGGTCAAATGGTTGTAGGTGTGCAGTCTTATTTCTGAGTTTTCTATTCTGTTCCATTGGTCTATGTGTCTGTTTTTGTATCAGTACCATGTTGTTTTGGTTACTAGTATAGTTGTAAGTTACTAGTATAGTTAGAAATTACTAGTATAGCTGTAAGTCAGGAAGTGTGATGCCTCCAGCTTTGTTCTTGTTGTTTAGGATTGTCTTGACTATTCAGGCTCTTTTTTGGTTCTATATGAATTTTAAAATAGTTTTTTCTAATTCTGTGAAGAATGTCAATGGTAGTTTAATGGGAACAGCACTGAATCTATAAATTACTTTGGTCAATATGGCCATTTTCATGATATTGATTCTTCCTATCCATGAGGATGGAATGTTTTTCCTTTTGTTTGTGTCTTCTCTGATTTCTTTTTGAGCAGTGGTTTGTAGTTTTCCTTGAAGAAGTCCTTCATTTCCCTTGTTAGCTGTATTCCTAGGTATTTTATCCTTTTTGTAGCAATTGTGAATGGGAGTTAATTCATGATTTGGCTCTCTGCTTGCCTGTTGTTGGTGTATAGGAATGCTAGCAATTTTTGCACACTGATTTTGTATTCTGAGACTGAAGTTGCTTATCAGCTTAAGAATCTTTTGGGCTGAGAGGACTGGGTTTTCTAGATGTAGAATCATGTCATCTGCAAACAAAGATAATTTGACTTCCTTTCTTCCTAGCTGAATACCTTTTATTTCTTTCTTTTGACTGATTGCCCTGGCCAGAACTTCCAATACTATGTTGAATAGGAGTGGTGGCAGAGAGCATCCTTGCCTTGTGCTGGATTTCAAGGGGAATGTTTCCAGCTTTTGCCCATTCAGCATGACACTGGATGTTGGTTTGCCATATATGGCTCTTATTACTTTGAGGTATGTTCCTTCAATACCTAGTTGATTGAGAGTTTTTAACATGAAGCGATGTTGAATTTTATCGAAGGCCTTTTCTGCGTCTATTGAAATAATCATGTGGTTTCTGTCTTTAGTTCTGTTTATGTGATGAATCACATGTATTGATTTGCATATGTTGAACCAACCCTGCATCCTGGGGATAAAGTCAATTTGATTGTGGTGGATAACTTTTTTGATGTGCTGCTGGATTCCAGTATTTTATTGAGAATTTTTGCATCAATGCTCATCAAGGATATTGGCCTGAAGTTTTCTTTTTCTGTTATATCTCTGCCAAGTTTTGGTATCAAGATGATGCTGGGCTCATAGAATGAGTTAGGGAGGAGTCCTTCCTTTTCAATTTTTTGGAGTCATTTCAGTAGAAATGGTACCAGCTCTTTTTTGTATCTCTAGTAGTATTCAGCTGTCAATCCATCTGATCCCGGGCTTTTTTTGGTTGGTAGACCATTTATTGCTGCCTCAATTTCAGAACTCATTATTGGTCTATTCATAGATTCAATTTCATCCTGGTTCAGTCTTGGGAGGGTGTATGTGTCCAGGAACTTATCTATTTCTTCTAGATTTTCTAGTTTATGTACATAGAGGTGTTTATAGTATTCTCTGACACGGTTGTTTGTATTTCTGTGGGGTCAGTGGTAATCTGTCCCTTATCATTTCTGATTGTGTTTATTTGAGTCTTATCTCTTTTCTACTTTATTAGTCTAGCTACAGTTGCTCCTTCTTGAAGCCCTTTTTTCTCCTATCCCATATTCCAATCTATTAGCAAGAATGTCATCTCTGTCTTCAAAATATATCCAATATTCATCCATTTGTCACCGTCTCTACTGCTAACTGCGTTAGCCCAAGCCACTTCCATGCCTTACCACAGTAGCTTTTCACTTAGTCTCCCTGATGCCAAGCTTGCCCTCTAAAACCCATTCTTTGCATAACAGCTAGAAGGAACTTAAAAAACTCTAAATTACTCCCATATAGAAAACCCTTTCAGAATAAAGCCCAAATACCTTGCCAGATCATGCAAGCCCAACCTTCTGTAGCCCTGCACGCTTCCCTGACCATATTATGTGCCACAGAAAACTCATTCCTACCCCTGAGTCTCTGCACTTCCTTGGCAAGGCAGGTTCTGTTCTCAGACATTTACCTTATCGGCTTCTGGGCATTTTATGACGGCTTGAATGTGGCTCCCTTGGAAAGGCCTTCCTGTCCACCTGATCTAAAATAGTGCCTCCTTGTGAGATTTTGAGATTAAAAAATAAAATAAAATAAAATAGTGCCTCCTCCACCTCATCCCCAAGTAACTCTATCCCAGTGTGTGGTTTCAGTTGCCTCACACCACACTACAGTACCTGCATTATCTTTTTTATTCACTAGTCTGTTAACTATATTCTACTCTGTCTTATTTACCACTCTATTCCCAGAGTCTAGAATGTACCAGGCAAATCACAGGCATTTAATAAATACTGATTAAATGAAGGCATGAACAAATGAACAAAAAACAAAGGGGAGCTTGTGCCTTCTGACTCCAAGTCTGAGTCTCTTCCTATTAAAGCATGATTTTTTTCTGTGTTACAGTGACAACTCTAAATGTTAGCCCATTCTGCCTTGCATGAAAGCCTGTCACCTCCTAGAATTGTCCCATATATGAGTTTAGGTTTGTGTAGCCTAGCTTCTGTATCCCTTCCCAGGCTCAAATCTGACTTTCACTAGTGTCCTATGTTCTCAATACACCAGCAACACCGAATTGCTTACAATACTAATAATCCAGTTTTAGAACTTCTGCAGTAATTATCAAGACAGACTTGCAGCTTCACGAATCGATTGTTTTGCAAATGATGCTTCTTCTACCTAGAGTACTCCTGCCCATCTTGTTTCTGGGACAAGCTCTTAATCAGCCTTTAAAACTAATCTCAAATCCAAACCTGTCTATGGCCCCTTCCATGTGCCTTCCCTTTGGAGTTAATCGTCCACTCCAGCAGTGTATCTTCTATAGCCATCCATTATTGCACTTGTAATTCTGGTTATGACATTATAATTGCTCTCAAGTCTGGGATGCCAGGGCCCACAGTTGCTGTCATCTCTGTATCCCTAGGTCTTAGCTCAGTGCCTAGCACATAATCATCAACAAACTTGCGAAGCTGAGTGCTCAGTAAATCTAACCCCTCTCTCATAATATATGAGGATAGCTAGCATGTTATTCGTTGCTTACTCTCCTCCCAAGTCTTCTCTGCTCCAAGCTAAACCTGTAAACCAGGAGACAATGATGAGGAAAGGCAGACAGATGTTTATACTTGTAAAGCAAAGCTAAAGAAGGCAGAAAAATATTAACATAAGTAAATATGTATTAATATATACTAATTACCTCACCACATACTCCTGGTGATAGGACTATGTTGACTTTTATTTTTCTCTATGATCTACTCTGTTTTTCTGAAAGTGTAGGATATGTCTTGTTAAATTCAATATGTTCTCCTTCAATTCCTTTAACAAGTCCCTCATTCGAATTTTCCTAGTATTATTAATTATGTATTGTTCATTATTTATGTATTATTATTATTAATACTCAAGGTCAACTTCTTCAGTTTCTATTCTGCCTACTTACCCACCAAATCTTGTCAACTCCCTGTCTGCGATTCCTCTCATGCTGAATCCTTTTTGTCTATTTTCTTATATCCTAGTACAGGTTCCTATCAACACATGCCATGATGAATGGATTATATCCTGCTAGACTTCTATGGCCAATGTTTCCCTCATTCTAAATCACTTCATGTGCAGTTAAAATGACCTTCCTTTAATTACTATCTTCAGTAAGCCACTCCCTCAGCCCTCGGAGACTCGTGGAATAATCCTTTAAATCCTCCTGTTATGGGTCCGATGTTTGTGTCCCCCAGAGTTCATATGTTGAAACCTAATCACCAATATAATAGTATTAGGAGA
The DNA here is from genome assembly GCF_000001405.40 of Homo sapiens. NCBI lineage: Eukaryota > Metazoa > Chordata > Mammalia > Primates > Hominidae > Homo > Homo sapiens. The sequence continues at coordinate 196,306,046 of NC_000002.12, forward strand.
TGGGGGCAGGAGGTGACCTAAGAGGTAATTAGGAATTAATACCCTTATAAAAGAAGCCTGAGAGAGCAAGCACCCTCCGCCCTTAGACCATATGAAGATGGAGGGAGAAGATGCTATCTACACACAAGGAAATGGACTGTCATCAGACACCATATCTGCCAGTGCCTCAATCTTGGCCTTCACAGCTCCAGAATCATGAGAAATAAATTTCTGTTGCTTATAGGCCACCCAGCTTACAGTGCTTTGTTATAGCAGCCCAATGAACTCAAACGGTTTCTTTGGACTAAACCGGTTAAAGTGTACAGTGCTCAACACAAAGCTTGGAACACACTAAGTGCTCTGGAAACATTCGCCATTATCATTCCTGCTATTACTACAGAAACAACGATCATTTGCTTTGGCCTGCTGTTTTCCTTCACACTCTTTCAGATTCGCTACTCACAGGGTTAGAATGCAGCACGGTGAAGAACTCTGGGCTGATGAGGAACTTCACGGGGGGAGACTGTAACAGCAACGTGATCCTGGATCTGGAGGTAGAGTGAGGCAGGATGTTCTCCCGTCGGAAATCTAGATGGGGCAGACCACAGAGGCGGTCAGGGAAATCTTTCTATGATGTGAAAACTATCTACTCACTTCAGTCTGCATTTCAAAAGAATCATAGGATACCTACATCATGTGTCATCATTTTAATCCCCCAATGCTTTTTTCTTTGCTGTAAATTCATACATAAAACATGGCTGTTCTTAATTACACTAAAATTCAGTTAAGTAATATTTCTAGTTACTATGAACATTTTAATGCATTCTTACGTATTTTAAATGATCTGATTCTTTTTCCAGTATCCCACAGATCAAGAAATTAAAGAAATTTATATTCTACTTGGGTTTTGTGATTCCTTTCTTTATATTAATTAAACATTGAGGATTAGAAGAGGTTTCTGGTGAATTCTGTTTTTTGAGTTGGATTACCAGATCTTATTGAAGAGCAAAAGTTCTCCAAAAGAAAAGCCTTACTTGTTGGGAATCCTTATTTGCTTCTTTTTCCACTTTTATGAAATTACAAAAACAAAGCCCAAAGCTCTTACCTGCACTGGCTTGGTGAAAGTCAGCTTCCTCCCCTGCCCCATCAATAGCATTGGTATTTTCCTCAGGCCTCTCATTGGTCATGGTTCTGCGGATACTCTGATATCTAAAATCATGAGCCTAGAGTTACATTCCAGCAGCATTTAAGAGATGGGACTCAACTGCTCCCCAAGAGTCTAGAACTTTTCACTATCTTCTCAGCTTCAACTATTTCCTCCTCCAACCCCCATTCCCTGGACTTCTTGGCCACCTGCTGTTTAAATTACACTGCATTAAATTTCTTCTGTCCATTGTTTGGGGAACATCTTCCTGGCAAATTAATAACACTAAAAAAATTCTGTGGCCCTTAACTAAAGAAAAGTAAATTCCTATATTGTTAAAGGAAAAAAAACTTTATGTTCCACAGCAATTAATTCTTGAAAAAGAATGACTCATCTAAAAAGCTTAGGTTGATAATAATGAGAAGCCACAAATAAAGATTCTAGAGACTAGAAAAGATGTTTGGCTTTAAATAACAAATGTATATGTTCTGCTTTAGTAAACATCAATGCTTGGGCTGACTAAAGGGGTCACATTTATTTATTTGTTCTCTAGTTTCCAAACAAGGTATATATGTGGGTGAGTATTATTATTTTTTTTTAATCAAGAGAAGTCCAATTGAAGTCTGGGAATCAAAAGCGGTAACAGCTACACTTTAACGACAGGACACACAAAGATCAAAGAGACAACCATGTCTTCTACTTTGTGCCAAGTAAAAATTAGCCCAACCACAAAATACAACAGTCACAGCAAAATGTTCATCCTCACCGCCGGTTCAGCTGCTCCATTTGCTGTATGGAGTTAGATCTCTGCAGCACCTGCGGGGCTGGGGGAGCTGTCGGTCGCTGCCACGTCGTGGTTCTGTTTACGTGATCCACGTAGAAGATCCTGCCGTGGCTGTCAATGCGTGCCTCCCAGTCTAAATGGCAGTGAGGCACCGAAAGGAATTAGGAGGAGGAGCTGAGATGATTAATAGGGTTCATTAAGTTTGGCATGTGTTTTCTTTCTCTGACATGCTATAATCTGAGACTAATAACATACATCTCACTGCACTATCCCATACTTCTCCCCAGTTCACTCCAGAATCTGTTGTGACTGATTATTTAGCCTATCCTGTGCATATAATACCAGTCCCTTAAATAATCTTTAAATGTAGAGAATCTTTCCAAATTTGCCCACAGTGCTCACCCTTCACGTATGAGCCCCAGCATTTTAAAAATATATGTAGTTGGTTTCATAACACTTCAGATATTCACGTCAAAATGGGTATTGATGTTTATTTTCACCAAAAAAACCTGATTTCTCCATGTCTTTTCTAGCTTCAATGAAAGCCTCATAGCTGGAGACTTCCACACGCATATTCATGCACAATTGTAGTAAATTTAGTCCTCAGAAAAAAATAACTAAAATAACTATGCTCGCCTAGTGATGAAACAGTATCATTATCTACAAACTTCTATTTGCACTTTTCCAAAGATGACTACATTTTCAGAGCAAGTGCAATTTCTTGCTTCCCAACCTCAAATAAACATAACGTTTTAAAAGATTAATTTTATTTTTAAGTGTGTTAAATCTTTCTAGAGAGATATACAAGTGAATGTTCAGAAGGCAGATTGGTCTTCAGAGTCAGACACCCCACCTTTGTGACTCTCTAAAAGGCCATTCACCTACTGAAATCCACAGAGCATGAGCTGATCTTTTCAAAAGGCAAAATTTTGAAACTTATTACAAGTGTGAAGGGTAATTTGCACAGGAAACATGAAAACAGCAGAAATCTATTCTTTAACCAGGAAAATTCTTTGTGCATTTATATTTTTGTGTAAGTTATTTTTTGAAATTAATAAGCATTTTTCTCCTGACACATTCAACTATCCCAAAACTGTCCATGTGATCACATGCTTATCAACAGACACAGTGGGGCTAATCCTGGAGACCAGAAGGAGGGCATATTTTCTCCTGACCACCTATGGCATTTGCTCTGTAAGGGAACAGGGTAAGTATCCCAACAGAGTCCTTAGGGTTGGAAAGACCTGCATGGTAGAGCTCAGCCTGCACCAGACCATTGCTGAAGGCCATCACCTCAGCTAGGAGCAGAAAGACATCTTTTGTTGATCTCAGCACATTGTAATTTATGACAAATGGCAAAAGAAAGAGGAATTGGGCTGAACAAAAGCACCACACAGACAGCAAACAACTCAATGCCATTCATGTTCCAAGGTAACACAGACTCTACCATGAAACACCCTGCCAAATCTGAATTCTTTGGGCACTGCAGTCCCATCAATAAGACATTTTCAAAAGACCTCACGCCCAGCCTGTTGATATGCTCACAAATAGCAAGTACATTAAAGCATCTTCAGGAACCATTTTTCAAAACACTTTGATTTATTTCACTGTTTTGCTCTGCTCCTTGCATGCTTTTCCATCTCAAAAGATTTTGGGAACCAATTACCCCATCTCATTCCTTTCTCATCGGAGTCAGGGTAATTCAGGCACATAGACATCAAATCAAATACACATGAAAAGAAATGACCAATTCTTCTCCAAAGAATGTTTACAGTAGTCCCAATTTTAAAAATGTAGAATAGGTCAATTCAGGATAAAAAAATAGAGACCAACTAGACCAGCTAAAGGAAACAGAGAGAGAAGATGCTGCCAAACTCCCAAGATTAGATTATTACTAAAATTTGGCTCTTAATTTTCTGGCAGTTATGGCAGAAAAGAAAACATATTGTTGCATACTTTCCATTTTCTGACAAAAACAGTGAAAGAAATTCTCAAAGATGGAATTTTTTCCTGGAACTAACAAAGTAGGAATTTACCAAGTGAAATATGACTATGGCTTGCTTGAGGTCTATATGTATAGCAAAATGGCTAGGTGGAAGAGAGAACAGCCAAATTAATGTGTCTTGCACATAGCATGTAATAAATGAAAAAATAATTTAAAATGACACAAAGCCACAAAAAAGAATGATTCTTGTATTCATCTTCTACAAAGGCCAGTAATAGCCTTAATTTATAGTTCAATAAAGACCTTTCAATGTGCAATGGGGAGAATAAGAAAACAAGGACCAAAAATTTGCTTTCTAAGGTCATGGAACACTGAACACATATTAAAATTATCCCTATCAAATACTGTATCTTCACACTGATGTAATTACTCAAGACCCCATAAAGACAAATTCTATAGTGCCAATTTCAAGTGAATGCTTGGCTCTGAATCAGGAAGGGCTGTTATGCTATTGGTTTATCCATGAACTACATATCCACTTCTACCCACGCTGTCAATATCATTCTACCCAGGCAAAGGCAGCAGAGGTGCCTGCAGGAAGGTTAGCTCTCTGTTGTATCTATCAAAGTTACTTTGCTGGGTACAACTGCTCCAACATCTTATATGTCTTTATATTGGGCCTGGTTTGTTTTTGGTATAAGAAAGCATATGAAAACTCATTTCATAGCATCAAAGTTTCTTTCAGATAGACAATGCTAAAATGAGATAGGCAGAGTTAGAAGGCTGAGGACTTAACATTTACTTCCTTGTCTTGCCACATTGTCAAATATGTTATATAATCAGGGTGCAGTGAAAACGAGAGCAACGATTTTGTGTGTGTGTGTGTGTGTGTTTTGCACTGAATTGGGAGGTAGAAGGCCTGATTTCTGGCTGTGGCTTGACACACTTTCACTACAAGACCTTAAAAAAAGTCACTACACCCCTATGAATCACAGTTTTGAAAAATTAGAGGACACAATCAAACAATTGCAAAGGTCTCTTCCAGTTCTAGTATTCTAGGAATCTATAAAATTATGCCCATTTTATTATATTAAGTTCAGCAAGAACCTAGTAACATTTTATGTCTAGGCTAGCCTTACAGGGCCAGGAGATTTGAGTCCCTGAGGGACAGGGCTCCACAAACACCTGACAATCCTATTTTAGCCATGACAGCTCCAATGTTATTGCTGTGTATATTGGTGTTCCACATAATATTTCATTTGCATAAATAGCTTCATGACAATAATAAGGTTTGAAAACTATTACCTACAGAAATGTTTCTCAAGGTAGGTGGACTCTGACAACATGTGCCAGAATCACTTTGAGGATCAATAAAAATGCAGATTCCTATGATGCACCCCAGGTCTTCAGAATCAGACTATCTGAAGCTAGGGCTCAGTTATCTACACTTTTAACAACCTTCTCGGCTTATTCCTAGACACACTAAAATTTGAGCAACACTGACACAAATTAATAAGAACTTAAAACAGTAGCTAGTTTGCTGAACAAACCCATGAGGCAAATGCTAGATTTCTCAGAGACCATGAAATGGGGGCTCACAAGAAACTAAACCTCAGCGGCCGGGTGCGGTGGCTCACACCTGTAATCCCAGCACTTTGGGAGGGCAAGGCGGGCAGATCACCTGAGGCCAGGAGTTTGAGACCAGCCTGGCCAACTAGGTGAAACTCTGTCTCTACTAAAAATACAAAATTCAGCCAGGGGTGGTGGTGCATGCCTGTAATCCCAGCTACTCAGGAGGCTGAGACAGGAGAATCACTTGAACCCAGGAGGCAGAGGCTGTAGTGAGCTGAGATCACGCCACTGCACTCCAGCCTGGGTAACAGAGTTGGATTCCATCTCAAAACAACAACAACAACAAACAAACAAAACCCTAAACCTTGCCTAAAATCCAGGTGCAAGTAGACTCTTAGACACCCTAAGACTTAAATATAAATAGGCGCTTTTCAGTGGCTGGACATGAAGGGAAAGTCGGAGAATTAGAAAGTGGGTAAAACTACTCCAAGGTTACTGTCACAGCACTGGTCTCCTCAGCAGGGAACAGAGGCAGGTAGAACGTAAGGTCTTCAGAGTTTACAGTTTTTAAAATCAACATATGTGGGAAGGGCGCAGGGTTGTTTCTGTGATCCCTCTGCTCATCTCATCATCCTTTCCCACTCCCTTCAAATCAGACCTCGGTCTCCACTGGACCACTTGGCTTATGATCGGATGAGGTGTGAATACATCTCAGTGGATGCTGATATTGAGAAGTTAACAACTAAACAGCATGAATTACAACGTATCAGGGATGGGTGGGGGGGTGCTATGGGTAGGGTTTTGAATTGGTTATCATTGGATTTAGTAAAATCAAGCACCTGATTGTTGTGAAATAAATGTATAAATCCACTATAAAAAACTATAATAACCACAGGTATCATCACCAAAATGGCGAGATGATTAAGTTCTAATGAACTAAAGGTACTTTCAAGGAAAATTATAAGCTTTGTGATAAATGACAGATGACAGTGTTTAAAAATATTTTTTTCTTATTTGAACACTCAAGGAAGTAAAATTCCATTTGTATAAAGTACAAAAGTAGGCTAAACTTATCTATGACTTTAGGAATCAGGACGGTAGGTCCATTTCCCCATACGGAGTTGCGGTCAGTGATTGAAAGGGGGTACAAAGGGGACTTCTAGAATGCTGATGGCGTGGCCTGCCATGTATGTTTAGTAGAAAGAATTCGGGAGGCCATATGTGCTCTTTTCTGCTATTTTATTTGAACAAAAAGTTTTTTAAAAAGTCAAGTAGTTGCATATTTGGCACTTTAATCTTCAATTTTTAATAAGGTAGCTTTTTAGTTTAAAAGTATCCATTTTTTCCTCAAAACAAAGTTGTAACCTTAGAGAATAAGAGTCCCTAACCCTAAACATAGTAGAAATTCTAAGTTTAGATTAATTATACTTTTCAGATTCACTGCATGGTTTTAGGCCTTCATTTTAAAAAATACTTTAATAATGAAAGTATACAACCACAAAAATGATAAATGTTCCCCCATAGTTTGAACCCCTCACATAAGTAATAGACGAGTCCTAACAATATGCAACATCCTGGGATCCTATCAGAGTCCACTAACCCAGACTGTTCATCTTGAATCTAGGCCTATTCCTAGAAAAACTACCATTTTGGGGGAAAAACGTTTATACAACAATTCCATATTGTCTCCAATGCAGCAATGGGTTAAGTCACAATTACACTGGAATCAATAAGAGAAAAAGAAAATAGTTTTTCAGAGGGGCTGGGCTGGCGATTGTTTTTTCACTCATCTTAATGCTAAAAAGACCAACATTTGTCACACCGATAATATTTTAGAGGGCTTTAGCCCTCAACTACCTCTAGCTGACAGGACCATCAGTAACATCAGAATGAGAAGATACAGAAAATTCTTAAGGCATTCTGGGCATAATTGAGTCCAAGCTACTTCCCTGGGAGGCTCTCAACAGTGTCATGCTGACTCCAAGGCCTGGAACTTTCTTATTTTTTACGAATCATTAGAATATCTCTCAACCAGAGCTGGAGTTACACAAGCCACCAAGGCCACAGTGCACTCTGTGTGGTCTAAGGCAAGAGTAAGATTTTGAGAACCAATTGGTAGATCACCATCACCACTGATCAAACTTAGTACTAAGTCCAAGATCTGTTCCCTTCTTGAGATGGGAGAAATAAGAATGAAAAAAGAAGAAAGCAAACAAGTAAATCCCTGAAAATATGATGAAAAGGTGCTAAAATAACAAGAACAACAATAATAATGATAAAGAGAAAGAAAAAAGAATCAAAGCCAGACACAGTGGCTCGCACCTATAATCCCAGCACTTTGGGAGGCCAAGGTGGGAGGATTGCTTGAGGCCAGGAGTTCAAGGCCAGCCCTGGCAACATAGTTAGACCCCTGTCTCTACAAAAAATAAAAACACAAAAAAACCAGCCAGGCATGATCATGCTTGCCTATAGTCCCAGCTACTCAGGAGGCCGAGGCAGGAGCTTCACTTGAGCCCAGGAGTTTGAGGCCGCAGTGCACCATGATCATGCCACATGGTGGCCATCAAAGCTCAAACTACACTGCTTCAGTAGCTTGTCCCTAGGGTAGAAAGAGAGTGACCTGCACAGAGAGGAAAGGTGCTGCTGGGTCTAATACAGATGCTGAATAGAGCACATCTATCTGGACCACATGATGTTGGCTCAAACCCCTGCAGCCACTTCCCTAATAGGTGAGGGGCCTCCTTGGGGAGGGCCTCTTTGCATAACTCTATCCCAGAAGAAGAGAAAGCTGAGCACCTTTTGAGTCTTCCTGGTGGGTCTGACCTCAAAGCACTGCAATATATTGAAGTTTCAGTGAAACCCCCAAACCCTCTGATGTGAGGCATTGGTGGTGCCCAATAAATAACATATCACCGTGTAAGCCACCCTCTGCCTCAAACCAGACTTTCAGAATTTACATTCATCTACCCACACAATAGGCCCTTCCCTTCCAATCTCAGATCAGAATACCTGATAGAGGAGAGGGAATATTTGAGACTCTGTGTCAACTTTTACTTGCATGAAATCTTAAACAAATTACTTAATTTATCTGGGCTTCAGTTTCTGCAACTATAAAATAAAAGAATCAGATTAGCTGACTTCTGTGCAACAACCTATTAATTACAGACAAGACCTGCTTCACCTACCTCACAAAATTATTGAAAGAACAAAAAATAAAGGAAAGCATGCAAAAGTGTGCTTTGTAAAGTGTAAATCACCGCAAAAATGAAGTTATAATAACTAACAGTGTTAAAAATCACAACTGTTAGCCTTAAAATTCAATCAGGTCATTTAAGAGATGGGCCAATCTGCACGATCCAGCCAGACACCCCAAGCTGAGCCCAGAAGCCACAAGACACCACAGAGTGTAGATGCCACAGCTGTAAGTCAGACGCATGACCAGAGGTGGTAGCAAAGTTGTCCAGTTAGAAAAGGAGGGCAGGGATCCAGCTGAGGTGAGGACAGACAAGTAGCAAGGGCAGCCAAGCGATTAACACTGTCACAAGGATGAGACACACATGGGAATGGGAGACAGAGCTGAACAGCAATCAGGTATGCTCAGATCACAATCCAAAACCTATCCATGAGAATACACATCCCCAGATTTGCAAGTTGCTTGGTCCTACAGCACGAGTGTATGAGTGTGTGTGTGTGTGTGTGTGTGTGTGTGTGTGTGTGTGTGCATAACTTATATTTTTAGAGGGAGGCATCTTCACTTCTGAGTTTTTAAAATATAAAAATTCTGTTTATATTTTACAAAAAAAAGTTATTTACCAAGTATTAAATAAATTAGCACAGATAAGTGTTTCTTAGAGTGCACACTGTTGAATTTTGGGTGGGACAATTCTTAGTTGTATCAGACTGTCTCCCCATTGCAGGATGTTTGATACACTGGCCCCCCACCCACTAAATGCCAGTAGCACCCTTCAACCACTGTTATACTGAAAGGCCACCCCACCTCAACTCTAAACATCGTGTAGTGGGAGGCACCCCCTGCCATCACTGAAAACCTCTGAATAAGAGGGAACACTTCTTAAGAATTTTTCTCCTGTTTGTCAGTCACTGATTAAATACCATGAGTCACTAAGTTGCCTTTACTTTTGCAAATACATCAACTCATTAAAAGGAACTGCCAATTGTAAAAAAAATTTCCCAAGATGTATCTACGGGTGTAATGCAAACACCAATATTTAAACAATACATTGAGATGTCACAAACATCTTATGTCATTTATGAATTATGGTCATAATTTCAGCAGGAAAGTATCTGTCTTTATTAAATACAATCAGGAGACCAAACTTGTATACAGCAAAAATTACAGCAATTGGATGTGGCTAGGAAGACGTGATTTATCAACACACTTCTGCAATGCTCCTGTCCAACCCTCTGAAACTCTAAATGACTATTAATCTGTATATACATAAAAATAAAGCTCTCCCAGAACTCTCTCCTAGTGTTCTGAATTTGTTTTGCTCCAATTATACCTAAATATCTTCCAGAAACATTTTCCTTTTTTGACTCATCTTTTCTCTAAAGGTTTACCAATTGTTTTATCAATAAGGAAGTTTTCTGTGGCCCTCTCGGGTCCCTGGGCCCCTCTACCTGCTTAAGATGATACAAGGTTAATTAATCTCTCAGTCCATTTTATTTTAAACTGCTTAAAATATGTTTGTTATGAGTCACGGCCCTTAGTTATCCAAATAAACAAACAAGGGAAAGATCTGTGCCCAAAAGAATTTCAAAAGGATTAAGCTGATATTTTGATAAACTCTTCATAGTACCATTCAGCTCTTTTGTCACTACTTGCCAGACTAATCACTCAGAATTGTAACCCTTTAAACGCGTCCCCTCCCTTCTTTATGTTCCACCATTTTTAAAACAGAGGAACCAAAGCATCAGCCTGTTGTCATGGTCACATATAAGATGGGTAAGTGGAGGGGGTGAGCAAGAAGGGAAAGCGGTAAGGCAAAAGGGTATACCTTCCAGTGTTTTTTTTAAAGCAATGTTTACCAGGCTTTATCAATATTCATCAAAATGCATTGCTCTCATAGAGCTACATCTCTTTAAAGGACTGTCGAAATTTAAATAGAGTTTACACTTCATTTGGATTATGATTGGCTAAGGGTATCACTCATACCTTTGAATACAGATTATGTAACTATATCCCAGCATCCCTAATCCTCCACCATTTCTCCTTAAGTGCTAAGTGTTTTCTGAAAGTGAAATAAATGAAATGTCTTTCAAGTCCCCAGCTAATTGTCCTATCCCAAATAACTAGTAGACTAATTTCTGAAATTAACAATACTTCTCGCATATCCCTAAGAAAAAAAATCAGAACCTTGTGCTTAATGATTTTAAATGCTGTAAGTGAACAAAAAGGCAGTATATTACATAGAGTGAGGTTTTTCTAAGAGAGTGTACCAATTTGTCTATTAGCTGAAAGAACATTCATGCTGTGGTTAGGCATAATTTAAAACAATTCTATTATGCACCCAATTTCCCAAAATATCTGGATCTACCTCCATTATTATTTACCCCATGGGCAACACAGGATTTACAGCTGCCCTTTCTTTCAGCATAATGGTGCCAGAGAAGAGTCATTGGCCTAGCACGTCCCGGACTACACCTGCTATGTCAAGTGGCAACCCCCAGATTCCTTCCGCTTGAAGACCATGTATCCATCTTTTGAGACTCATGGGAATGGGTCTGCCTGTCACCTTTCACCGTTTGATTAAGGTGGGCCCTTTTAACTAACAGGTCCTCACTTGGTGGGAGAGCCTCGTCCACCCTCTGGTACCGGCTAACATCCTGGCGCACTGAAGGTAGTGATCGCAGTGGCTGGTGGCCGTTGGCTTGAGAACCTAGGATTAAAGGTAGAAAGTTACCAGGTATTGTTTTCTCTTTCAGTATCAAAACAGACTCTATACAAAAAACCTAACATAATTCCCAAGGCTAGTTTCTTTTCTCTGTTTAGTCTCATTTCCCATATGAGGACCTAGAAACAAAAGAAGAGAATAGGAGGTGAATGCTTAGAAGAGGGCTTCCTGAAGAAATGTCCTCTGCATGTATCCCCCGCTCCTGCAGCTTCCCCTGCCTCATCCCTCACCCATAACGGCCTCTGTCCTGGTCATGCGCTAATGCTTTAGGGTCACATGGTGGCTACAATATAATGAAGGAAACAAAATTTAAAAAAAAAAAGGAGGAGGAAGAAAAGAAGGGGATCATGTAGGTAGAAAAATACATTACAGAAAAAGAAAATCATTCCTATTTCTGAGTTATGCCAGCCAGACATATGAAATTGCTCTTTGATTTTTAATGCATCCTTACAGGGCATATTAAAGGAATCATTCTAGAGAGCTGCATTCACTGAGCGTAATACAAATTTCAGGTGTAAATTTGTGTCCTTGGATACAAAAACAGCTTATTCTCCAAGTCAGAAGACATCACCTAACTTAGTTGACATTCCTAAATTGTAGAAGACAAAAACACTACCTTTGATGCATAGCATACATTAATCTTCCACTGTGAAATTTTAGAAAGGAAGAGTGGCTAGGTGTTTCTCATAACCTTTGCAGATTACACTAAGGTTGAAGCTGCCAGCCTGTTTGGTTGTGTATCTACAAACCCCGGTTCCAATAGAGACCCATTATTTAAGTTTGAAGATTGCTGTTTAACAGGCCTGTTACTTCAGCAGCAGAAGAGCCATTTTTTAAAAGAGCACTGAATTTGAACTCAAGCCCATCTGGATGCAAACCATGCTGCCTTCTTCCTAGCTATGTGATTAAGTCCCAAGGTCTCCCCGCTCAGAAACAGGAGGCCTAATCTAGAGGAAGGGTTTCAGCTGCCCACTCATTTGTTACCTGTTTCCTTCTCTTCCTGGCCCTGTTTTCAATCTTGCCTCTCTTCTTGCCTGCTGAACCTCAAGGTGAGGAATTCAGGTCATATGTAACCTGCAGCCTTATTTACATTGAGGGGAAAACTACAGAACTTCTCTCTGCACAGCTACGCTCGAGCCAAGAGCCACAGTGGTGTCCATATCCTACCTCCAGTAGCGCCCTCCTCCTGGGCAGTTGCCCCTTCACAGGTGCCTTGGGCCTCCCCAGCACTGCCTTCTTCTTGCGGTGGGCTCTCGGCAGCAGCTGCAGCTCCCTCCAGGCTCCCCCTCCGCTGCCAGACCTCCCCCAGCTCCTCCTGGTCAGGTACAGTGGCCGATTCTGCCCCTGGCCCTTCATCCTCCCCACTGGGCACCTGTACCACAGGTAAAGAACCAGCAGTGCACACGGATTCCTGCGACCCTTCGGCAGGGCCACTGCTGGTGGGCTCTGCTGCACAGGCTCCGTCTTCCTCCTCCTGAGAAGAAAAGGCTGGGGTTTCAGGAAACCGTGCGCTCTCAAGAGAGGAGCACCGTGTGTCCACAGAGGACAGCTGCGTGGTCACACTCTCATTGCAGGAGCTGTCAGCGCATTCCAGGTCACTCTCTCCCTCAGGCCTGGTGCTGGCTTCGCTCACACTCTCTGTCCTGGCAGGATCACTGGGTTCTGTTTCAGAGGACACCTGGGAAGGCTCAGAGCCCTGATCGAGAGACTCGGTCTCACTGACGGCTCTTCGGCTTCCTCCTGATGCATCGGAAGTCCCTGTGTCTGCGCCACTTGTGGGCTGATCTACCTCTTGAGAGCCACACAGTTCAGCACTGCCCTGGTCAGCACTGGGTTGAGGCTCTGGGCCGCCTTCACCTTCCTCTGGGGCTGGGCCTGCAGGTAAGGAGCTCTCTGCAAGCTCTGGAAGATTTTCTGGCTTATCCTCAAAGGAAGCAGCTTCGTGTGTGGAGGCTTCCTCATTCTCAACAGGGTTGTCCTCCAGCTTTGTCTGAGATGTCAGGCTTCCATCATCAGCTCTGGATGCCCTGCTAAACATGATCAGGCCTCCCTCCTCCTCCAAGGAAGATGGGTAACCCAGGTCTTGCTGGAACTCGTGATCTTCTTCATCTGAATCAATATGAAGCATGGCATTGAGTCTTGTGTCAGTGGGAAAACTACTCCTCAGTTTCGGAGAGGCACCCATGGACCTCTCAGAGCAGGTCGCTGTCCCCGGCCTGGAGTGGCCATTGTGTTCGATAGCATCTAAGTAATCATTGAGTGAATCCTGACGTCCTCTGGGAGGTGAGGTCCTTGAAGACGTAGAGGTTAATTCCTCTGTGTCTATTTCCAGAGTGGAGCTAGTCCTGAATGAATGCTTGGGGGTTCCATCGGCAGCACTGTCCTCAGAAACTGGCCCATTAGAGCACACCTGGCTGTCGTGATGGCTCCCTGGCATGTCCTCGTCATCGGAAGGGCTACCTAAGTCTCCATTCACAGAATTGACTCCAAGTATTGTGCCAACAGCTTCTGGAGAGGCATCTGAATGAGAAAACAGCATTTCTAAAAAATTAACCAGAAATAATAAGTGAACGTTTTATGACTTATTTGCTTTGCCACCAATAAGTTCAAAGAAATCAGTCATTCTGAGGGCTTTCTACTGACTTGCTAAGATTCACCACTCACTACTAAATGAGGAGACTGCTAGTCAGCTTGGCACAGGAGCTATGTATGTTAGCATGGCTGAAAACTCTACAGCCCAGTTTCAAAATGCAGGCATCAATCTAAGAGACATTTTTGGGCAAACAGCCTTTCCTACTTGCTTAGAAAATTTCAGCAGGTAATTATTTGACAGCTATTTTACTTTCAAAACAGAACATGAATTCAATTCTGTTCAGAAGCAAACTGACAATCGAGTTAGGTTTAACAAGTTTTTCCTATAGCAATGTATTCATACAGATATATTTATATCTCACCTTCATGAACAGAAGACGTAACCTCCACTTTAAACTGGAGGTACCCACTCACGTGGTCAGCTGGGAGCCTTCTGCCAAGGTTGTAGCTGAGCATTTGATCACTGCAAGAAGAGAAATGCTTCTTTCATCCTGACTACGCTGGAGTCAGCCTTCGCCGTCTTTCCACAGGCCACCCACCAAATCCCTCCTATCTCTCTTAAAACTTTCAGACTCACAAGAACATTAAAGGCTCAAAGCCCATTATAGTCCAATGTAATATTATTCATTCATACAAATGGAACACTTATAAACCCGGAGATAAAAGGAAATGTTGCCATAAGAAAAATTATTATTACGAGCACAAGACATCATATGCTATGTGATATTTTTAAGGACACTGATTCACTCTCTCACTTTTAAGGGTGACCAGGAAAAGGACATTTTGAAGGTCATAAAGGAGTTGTGAAAGGCCTCAAGTTTTAGGGGTTTTTTGACTCGGGTGTAAAAGGGGAGAGAGCCTGGTTCCTCGGCATTTAGCACAACAGAAAGCTGGTTCTAAAAGGACACTCACAGCTAAGGATTATCACCCAACATGGCACGTAGGGCACTGTGCTATGCCCTGAAGAACAGGAGCTGGGACTTAGGGGAGAGAAGCACAAGAACACAAGAATGAAAGCGCCCTTCATAGCCAAGACAGCAGCCCTGGCTGTGTGATGGGGAGAGGACCGCTAAGCTCTCCTTCCTCACCTGTAGAGTAAGGAGGCTGGAGCTGCTGGCCTTCCCTGCTGGGAAGCCTGGCCTATCACTGATTCTCAGGGTGCCTTGTAAGCAGTGCTGATGGGATGGTTGGCAAAGCCAGATGTGCCCCTGTGGTGGGGTCATATCCCAGATCTGGAAGCAGGTTTAGTTTTTGCCTTGCCTGGGCCCCGGGCTTGGACTGTCTGCCTCCTGAAGGATGGAGTTTTCCATCTGTTTCAAGTCTGTTTCTTTATCAAAGTCAAATGCAGTCATTTCATTTTCCTGCACACAAGTAACAATCTTATTCTGAATTAAATGACTTATTCTTTTTCTCTCTTTTTTTTTTTTTTGAGACAGAGTCTCGCTCTGTTGCCCGGGTTGCCTAGGTTGGAGTGTAGTGGTGCAATGTTGGCTCACTGCAACCTCCACCTCCCGGGTTCAAGCAATTCTCCCAGCTTCAGCCTCCCAAGTAGCTGGGATTATAGGTGCCCGCCACCACACTCAGCTAATTTTTTTGTATTTTTAGTAGAGACAGGGTTTCACTATGTTGGCCAGGCTGGTCTCGAACTCCTGACCTCGGGTGATCTGCCCACCTCGTCCGCTCAAAGTGCTGGGATTACAGGAATGAGCTGCCGTGCCCGGCCAACTTATTCTTAATTAAGGAAAATCATCAAAAGGATAGTGCCAAATCACTCCACCTCTGCCCTCTAATGGCTATTTCAGAAGGAAGATACAATGTTTCTTCTATCTACTCTTTGCTCCACTGTACAGTTTAGAGCCTCTAGTCAGCTATGCATTATTAATTTGCATAACTTGTTTTTGGTCTTCTCTATCTCCTCAGTATGACTTACTACTTTACTCACAACTTACAAAAAGCTCACAAAAAGAAAATAGACATTAATTACACATTAAATTTTAAGAGAATGTCAATGAATAAATTTTAGTTGCTTGAATGAATGTATATGTCTAGGAGCTTTATTATAACACTTCTTCAAGTCTAGGTCTCGTTTTAAATGGCTCCAAGACAAGATTGTTTCCGTTTTTCAAGAGTAACAAGTTCTCTGGATGGAATTATTTAGGATAAGGTAGGCATCAACCTGATCCAAGAATTCTGCCCCAGGGAGAAGTTTTTATAAAAAGCTCCAATATACTGAGAGACAATCAAACACTATGAGATTTGACACTGAAATATTAACAGTGGGTACATCTTGGAAAAGATAAAGACGCAAAAAACATATATAATTAAAATAAACTACTTTTTTGTCAAGTACATTTTAATAAGTGTAAGGACACTTTTATTTTTAAAAGAATTGTGTTACTACTTCTTATCAGTATGAAAAGTCCTAGGACTACCAAGTTTCATGTCATTTTTTCCTATATGAACTAATCTCAACAAGATCCCCAAAGGTAAGGGCTGATTACCCGATGGCTTGTCGCTCCAGCAGCCTCTGGACTGGAATGGTTAGTTTCCCCAGAAAACGCTTGATGATGGGACGGCTCTTGGCAAATTTGTCTTTAATTTCAATTTCTAAGACATCAGTAAGAAGTGCAAAAAAGGAATATTTCTGAAAACACAAACAGATAACATGCTGGTTTAAAAGAAAGACAAATATGATACTATATCATTTTATTTGTATAGGAAATGGTATCTCTTAAATTCTAACAACATACAGAGTTCCACATAGCTAGAAATAGCTGCAGCTATTGTCAATCCTTTATTCACTCAGAATGATTAGCATTCACCATGATTAAAAAGCAGCAGTCAAGGATCTGTATGACAAAAGAAGCCCTCTCAGTCAATCATGCAGCCCTTCCTAGTTTCACAGTTTTAGGAGATGTTATCAAATATTAAGTTATGCACAATGCAATTTTAGTACTCCCTACATTTATTGTATCTCAATTCTTTGATATTTAATATCTTGTTATAGAATGGATTAGAATTAACTAGTATATTTGATTGACAATTTGAATTCCTAATCTCATGAAATTCTGAAGTTGCAAAACATAGTTGAAAATACTCCTCCACTTAGTGGTTAAAATAGGAACATCTGCAGAATACTGTGGTTTCCCTGATAAATGTTAAAAGAATGTTTAAATGGAATTTTTCCTTAAGTTTAAAAGGCATACAGGGTCATTTCTTCTGGGACAGAAAAATAAAAGTATGAGGTTAAGATAGCTTTTGTTGTTTTCATTTTAAGAATGCCACTGGGGAAATTTGGATCGGACATTAATAAGGATATAAAATAAATATGAAGAGCTTTACTCACAGAGACTTTTACATATATTATCTTCACTTTATCTTTACAACGATGTAACTTTCTTTTTGAAGATGAGAATCTCAGGATAAGTAAATGATGGTGCCAGGAATCTAACCTAAATTATTTCACTGCTTCCCTGACAGTATCCATGCAACTATAGTGATGTGAATAGTGTTAGCCAACTTTTCACTTAGGTGCCTCTAGGTTTATCTAGTCATAACAATTAAGGTTTTCCAAAGGGCCAAGCAATTTGGCAGTCTGCTTAATGGAAAAAAGTACTTGCTTAGAATAAAAAAGCCGAGTTTAATCCCCACTTCTGTCTCTGAATAGCTAGTCCCATAAACACTTTAAGCTTCAATTTCTTAATCACCAAAATGAAGACATAATAATCTCATCCTTCGTGCCTCCCTTTCAGGCTTGCACTGGTGACATGGTCAAAAACTTTGCAAATTTAAAATGTTAGGAAAATAGTTACTGCTTGTTTCATTATCATATCTATTATGTGCTTTCTAGAATCATATTGAGATATATTTTTATTTCTTCTAGGCTTTGAAATGCATTAGACTAAGTGGCATGCCCTTAAGAGTTTTTTTTGTTTTTTGTTTGTTTTTTTTTTTTTTTTTTACCATGATGAGATCATTAGTAGTTTCTTAAACCAAGTGTAAGAATACAAGCAATATTCAATATCTAAAACCATAGGAACTGCCCAGGAGAAATGCCTTGCTGTGTTGGCAAGTCTCAGATAACTATATCTTTTCTGCAATCGGTTTTAGATCCCCTGATATACCTCTCTCCAATTAAATATTTCTACAATATTGTTAGAACATATTGTTGTCATTAAATATTTAGGGTATGATCTAATTAACTGTGTAACTCCTATGCCAGCCCAGAAAGATTTTCACACTAGTTATGTAAAACATGCCTCAGATCTCCAAGAAATGGAGGGAGAGCTCAAGCTTTGCTCACTAGATAAGAAGTGTCTATTTGTTCATTCTTTGACTTTCCGTAGTTCAAATGAGAAAACCCTTTGCTTGATTTCACTGATATGGTGCACTAAGATGACTGGTAGCATACTGTAGCTGTGAGGAAGTCTAAAATACCATCAACACAATCTGGCTTCACTCAGGATGATGACTCCTTGAATGGCTCATCTAATTAACAAAACTCTAGAAATTCATAAAACATTTGCCAAAGCCCGCAGAGAGAGAAATTCCTTTAATTTGTACTAAATGTATGCTACAACAAAATATCAAAATTTTAAATAAAACAAGATCAGTATTGCTGATTTTTCCTCTTGCCTCAGGCCCTACTATGACTCTACAAGGCAATGTTACTGATCCTGTCCTTATTTTAAATGTTCATATTTTATTCATTATGAATTTTTTGCATTAATTGTGAGTTAAAAAAAACTGCATTAAGACCTTTATTTTAACAATTGAGTTTTTTGGAGGCTCCTTAAATTGTTCCCCTGATGTGACAGCTTCATTTGTCTTACCCTAGACCTGGCTCTGGAGAGATGGGAATAGCTCATTCTCATTGTACCCCTTCCCAGCAGAACCCCTAGACACTTCATAAACAACCTGAGGGATGCAAAAGTCTCAAGGAAAGAGAGAGACTGGGCTGACTTCCTCACCATCAAGTAGGAGACCCCCGAGGATCATCTTACCTCTCGGTGCCAAATTGGATTGGTGGTGTTACTGATGATAGTAGACCGTCTCTCCTGCCCGTGGTGGGCACAGGTGGGGAAACTGCTCTTCTTTCCTGGCTGAATTGACATCTTAAGATAAGGGTCAGGATTGAAGAACATCCCTTTCTTTAGCCCAACTGCCCTAAGATCTTTAAAGAAAGAGGGAGAAGGAGGGAGGGACAAAGAGAAAGCAGGAGGGAGGGAGGAAAGAAAGGAGGAAGGGAGAGAACAAGGGACAGAAGAAGGAAGGATTCATATGTCCTGATTAGAACAAGCAGCTCAAAGATAATTTGTTCTTAAATAAACACACAGGAGGCTCTAAACAGAAACGGCTCTGTAACACAATAGCAGTTATTCACACTATGATTGCTTAGATAAGTGAAGACAAATGGGTTATGGTAGTAATTTCAGCAGAGGGGTCACCTAACAGGCCGCAAAAGTGAAGCCAAACCTTTAGCACCACCTCACATCCCTAAACTGACTTTTCCTGGGAACTCTTTTGATTCCAACATGTGCATCTTCACCACCTTTTTCCTAGGGCAATGTAATTCGGCAACCAGAATTTCAGACAATGTCTTGAGGGAAATACTGAGTAAGCAGTTCACTGAAAAACATGTTCCTTCATGAGAGAAAAATGAATCTTCTACATATACATAGAACTAAGTTTAATTGGAGATGAAACATCAGAGCATATATCCATTTGTACCACAAAATGTCATATATATTCCATAAATGTGATGAATGTTAGGGGAAATGTTTTCTGAAATGTAAGTGCTACCTGCTATTTTAAATAGCCAGTAAAGTAACTTAAATATTTGAAGAATGTCCTATAACTCACCTTAGATTCACAAATTGCTGTTTCACACTATATGCTGCTAAAAGTCCTAGCCAAAGTCCATTTAGTGAGGAGACTGTATGTTTTTCCATGGTCAGGCTAAGAGACACAAACATGTCAGGAAATAAAGCTGGCTCCACTGAGTCTTCAACATTTCTGAGAATATCAGTTTGAATAAGATAGGCCTGGGAGCTAAATAATCTTAGAAAATGCTGGAAGATTAATCTAGGGAGGTTCTGAACACTGTGGTTCAGAGAGAAATTCTGCATATGGCCCCTGAACCTCCAAAGACCTTTGAATTACCCAGATTAGCTGGCAACCAGATCCTGGATAGTGACTCTTAAATTATAGGAGGTCACCAGGGTCATCCCACATAAGCCCATTCCTGAAATACAAGGTCTTTCTTAGAAAAATAGAATTGGCCTGAAATTGCCCATAGAACCGTATTCTTGAAGGAGAGCTCCCAGGAGGTGGCTCACCAGTGGCCCACAAGAACTCATGGCCCAGGTACATGTGCTGAAAACACTCCAGAAAGGTCTAATGACACACACCTGGCAGTAGAGGCGGAAAGTTTGATATATCTGCAAATATTTAAAAATTAAACTAAGAGCAATTTTTTTTTTTTTTGAGACAGAGTCTCGTTGTGTCGCCAGGCTGGAGTGCTGTGGTGTGATCTTGGCTCACTGCAACCTCTGCCTCCTGGGTTCAGGTGATTCTCATACCTCAGCCTCCTGAGTAGCTGGGATTACAGGCACGTACCACCACACCCAGCGAATTTTTGTATTTTTAGTAGAGATGGGGTTTCACCATGTTGGCCAGGATGGTCTTGATCTCCTGACCTCATGACCTGCCCACCTCTGCCTCCCAAAGTGCTGGGATTACAGGCGTGAGCCACTGCACATTGAGAACACTGCATGAAATATATAGCAAGATCTTTGATCTGAAAACCAGTAGGAGAAGGAAAAGACGGGTAAAGAACTAGATAGGCACTTCAGAGAGGCTGCCATAATCTCATTAGCCGTGCAGTCCCCATTCCTGACACTTCGTAAACTATGTACTCATTATTAAATGCAGAATTTGCATCTTACTGTCAGTTTAATGATGCTACTTTCACTTGGCTTTCTTCAGCAGGGAACAGCTTTGAGAAGAAAATGCAATTGCCACATTCATTTTCTTGCCTTTCTTGATTATGTTGCCCTTGAACCCAGACAGAAGAATGATATTCTTTATATATTAAATCTATGCCCAAAAAAGGGTTCTCTTTGTAGTAAATAAAGAGTAACATAGACAGAAATGAATGCCACAAGGTCTGACAGAGCTAAATCATTCACAAAAAATATTCCTTTGAACAAAAAGCATTCCACCAGACAATTAAGTCACTGCGATAAATAATATCACTGTTAGATAAGCCTGATACAAAATTTTTCCACAATGGGACATTGTACAAATAAATCTTCCTTAATAAATACAATAAACTACCAGTGATTTTTAATCTGATTATTCAGTTCCCTTTATCCATCTCATTTCTGATCTTTTCTTTTTTGTCTTTTACATATGCTATTGCTCACAAATATCCACACCATATAATAGGCCAAAGAAGGACTCAAAGTCACAAAGGTTTGACGTGTTAAATATCCTAAATAAAGCCTTATTTGCAGCATGTTTAAAATATTAATGAAAATACATTTTTAATTTTAGCCATAAAATTCAAGTATTTGTGCCCCTACCTATCCATAGATAATCAAGAGTGGAACATTTGTAGGCAGCCATTCTAAAGTGCTTAAATGTTCTCAGATAAATATTATCATCTGCTGTTAGTATGCTACAACCAGATTAATTTTTAGAATTAACATTATAGAATTGGTTTCAGCTCCTAGTCATTTCTGTACACTGTCTGCAAATGTCTGGCTATATGGTAAGAAATAAAACAGATGTTAGGTAGCTAGCCTCCATGTGAATAGAGGTGCGATGTTGGAAGAAATGTGTAAGGAAGAAGCATTTGGCTGTGCCTCAAAGCTTACTTCCTACTTTTTAGGAAAATGCCCTAGGATTTTTAACTTGCAGATGGTCATTCTCACATAGTCAGTTAATAACATCCCATCTGGAGTCAAAACCAATAAGTGTGTGTCATGCTTAGAATGATACGGATCACCTAAAAGCATAGGGTAATAATTTTAAACTAAGAAACCCATGGTTTATATCAAAACATCATGCTGTACACCATAAAAAAATTTTTTTTACCTGTAAATTAAAAAAACAAAAACAAGAAACCCATGGTGTGGTCATACTCTAAATTTTCTGAGCTATCAGGGTCGACAAATTGTTTCCTGCCTGTCACCAGGGATTTTAGTAGCTTCAGACCCTCAATACTGTGAAGGTTTAAAGCACAGGTGTCCAGCCAAAATGTTTTTAGGAAACAGGCAGATAAGAGGGGTAGGGAGATAGTACCACAGGCAGTGGTTATTTTTAGTGCCCTTCTGCAAACCTAGATATTTTTTAAACCCTGATGGTTCCTAACAAAACAAATTTATTGGCCAAATTTGAACCATAAGTCACTAGTTTACAGCTGCTGAAATTCACCAGGGAAGCCAAGCAAAAAAGCAAGCTCATATGGGAAAAGGAGAAACATGCAAAACCAAGCACAGATACTCAGAAGGCCATGGGCCAGCAATGAACTGATGTGTACACTTTAGTCATATGTGGTAATTATGCTTTGTGGAATAGTCTGTTTCAGGATCAGGTCTTTTAACGCTCACTCTCACAACACGTTTTTTGTTTGTTTGTTTGTTTTTTGCAATCAAGAAAAGTGGATCTAATTTAAATTTTGGAAGTACTACAACTACAGAAAAATGAAAACAAAACATATTCCAGTGAAGGAGATCCATTAGACTTTATTTTCTATGTATTGTAGCATAGTTATCTGTTTTAAAAGTCTATTTCAAATATGGATTTTCTTATTCTTGACTTTATGACTACCAATTTATTTTCTAAAATCAGTGCCCTTCAAACTTTTTCAACAGTGTCCTATGTATGAAATACATTTTACATTGCAACCTACTACACATAAATATAGGGATGTATATTATTGTATATGAAAATTTTCAGTTTATATAAATTGATGCTTTACCCAAAAAAAATCCCTTTAGTGGTAAACTCTGACATTATTCTTTTTTTTTCAGTTACTGATTTTAACTAAATCAAACTTACAAACTGGAAATGAGTCTTGTCTCATAACTTGAAAAGCCGTGCTTTACTTGTATGGTAAACATACAAGCAATTTGAACATTTTACTAATCAGAAAACAAGCCAAAAATAATTGGCTTATCCACTTTCCAATTTGCATGTGTATTCCTCCACAGATAAAGAAGTATATTGGCTTTTGTTTTCCAGTCTTCAAATTTTTTCTTTCTCTAGCTGAAGTAAGAATAAATTATTTTCAATAATCAAAGCTCCTCAGTGAGGTTAGCACATTACGTTACAGTTTTTCTTGAAGTAACTATACATAGTTATATAGACTGTCTATCGCCAGAAAACTTGGTAGAAGAAATAATTTCTGAATTTATATTAATAATTAATTTATCATGGTAAGAGATATACTTGAATTTTCAGAAGTATGACCCCCCAAAACTAGTTCACATATCATCATATCATATACGAAAGTCTGCAGAAAGAAGTGACTATTCATACCTTCGAAACTGTACACTTTCAAACTGGATGTCACGTTTAAAGACATTCTTACCTGACAATGTAAAGCTAACAAGTTTTCGAGAATGCAGGTTTCCTGAAGCACCTCCCTCCATGCCTTCTGCCCCCATCTGAAAAGAAAAAACATGCATCTGAAGTTTCAGAAGCATATGATGCCACTGGATCTGACTAGGAAACCATGTATGTTCCTAAATGCAATGATTTTTGCATCAAACGGGTATTGTATCATGTGTCCTTTCATTTCCCAATCTTGGAACAGAGACACAAATGCTGATTCTTGGAGGAAAGACTAAAATTTAATCTTTACCACAAATAAAAAATATATAAGCTTCAAAATTTCCAATAACTATGAATCAAACTATGTCTTTTTTTCCCTTTGATAAGAATATAGTTGATTTGTAGTAAATATATTACTATTACTATATTAAACATTCTCTTTAGTTAAAAACCAAACATCAAGTTCCTTCAGATTTGTTAGGAAAACCTAGAATAAACGAAACAATTGATTCATATCAGACCTACCCATATATACAGAATTATGCTCTCTCGTCAAGTATTTCTGAAAATCCACATGGAGTCCTATCTCCCTTGTAGGCTTGTGTTCTATTGTGCTGCAGGTACATGGCACATGCTACTATAATTAGCAATAATAAGAATTTGCAGTGCTATTATACTGATAACCTTTTCCTGAAAGCTTTTGAGTAAATTATACCTCACAAGAAGCCAGTAATTTATAAACCACCTAGCAAATTTAGACCTTTCTCTCAAATTATGTACAATTAATGCACAATTTGTGGTACATTAGGAAGAAAAACCTTCATATTACTCTGCAAAATAAGTCAAAAGAAGTCAACAGAATTGAAGGCAGAATATACCCAAATGTGGGAAATAGAACCACATTTTAATTCTGAAGTTTAGATTAAATTCTTCTGACAAAGATTATTTCCTTGAGCAAACTTTACTCAGGCTCTTTGGAGCTCTCTGCTCAACTAGGCAGGCCTTGGGCTTTTATCTCCATCCTTATAGAGTTTAGTTTTAGCAAAATCCCTGGTAAGTCAGTTTAGAGTCAATCCCCACCCTCAATATGTGATCACCCTTGATATCAGATCGAACTCCTCATCTCCCACCAACCTCCATGCGATATCTGATCACTCTGGCCCCGCCATCAGCAAGAATTCTGTTAGGTCAGTTTAACAAGAATCCCCCTAAGCTCTTGGTAAATTTCCATCTGCCAATCCCTCCACTCCAACCCTGCTTCTTGGCTACTAACCCCCACTTTCCCTTGTTGTATCTGGAATTGAGCCAATTCTATATTGAGTTCTCTTTTCCCCTAATGCAATAGTTCGTGATTTGAATTTGCTTTTACTACTTAACTACTGCCCAGGTCTGATTTTTTTTTTAAACTCTTTCTCCCCTTTATCTTTGCTGCATTCCCCACACTCTTATAAAAATCACACATCCCCAGGAGATAAAAGCCATCACTAATCCAAGCAAAGTTGAGAAATTCCATTCAAATTTTGAAGTATAAATTTCTACTGCCTCCGCTGTAACTCCTGTACCTTAGTCAAACTATTTTGTGTGCCACTTAACTGCATCCTGATTGCTTCACATGTCCTCTGCAACACACCAGGGTCCATCCAGGTATCTGTTTTTCCTTCCATCTATAGATCCAATTCCTGGGTCATAGAGTTGGCTCTCAACAAACATGTGTGGTTTATTATATTGTATTGTACTCCTCTGACTCAGCGTTTCCAGATTAACTAGGGCAGAGGCAGCAGTACACTGGCCAGAGAACTAACTGCTGTGGCTATCTCATCCTGCTTTCACCACACACTACGCTGGACTATGACTGAGACACACCCTCGGTAACCTGCCATTCCTTCTGTGCCTGGGCACAGGAAGATATCCTAGAAACTGCGGCCTCTCTGCAAATGGGCCACACGCCCCAGTAAGATGTGCCACCCCTCAAAACACATCTCTGTCAGCTATGGATATTTGTGCTAAATGAGTTTAATGAGGCTGAAACAATTCATAACCTGTCTTCATTTAAAACCTATTTGAAAATTATAAGAAATTATGAGAAACGAAAGAAAATGTCCTCTAATTCTCATTTTTCAAATGTAATTCACCCTCTGGCAAAAGGCTTCCTGAAACAATTCTCAAAGACTTCACAGAAAAAGTGTCCTGAACAACAACTCTGGCAAAATGCTCATCTGAAATCATATCCAAATAATTCAATTTTTATCATTCATTACAATAAAGCCAGGAAAAACCAGGCATTACCACTAGATACAGGGATATTAGGGATAATAAACACATCTGCACTCAATGTTTAGAGACTAGCTTTAAAATAAACTCACTCCATAGATTCATTCCAGGAAAACCCAGAAATAAGAACGTCAACCAAGTGTTGAAACAATACATGGTAGTGAGTAATGGCAGCCTTAATTTGTCCCTGAAGCCGAAAGATTTCCTGTTCCAAGTATCTAAGACACATATCACTGTGTATGCTGATGAATGACAATGAAAACAAAATACAAATGACAGAGAGGTCCCCCTTTTTTTTTTAATCTTCAATTCATCGCAATAGGATACGTGAGAAAAGAGACCACATGATTAGCATGACAGCTCATTTCCTTCCCTGTGGAGTTTCTCAATTACATCTTCCAGGTCTATTCTTTGTATCTGGCCATGGTATAATTGTACTAAGTGGGATTTGTAAGTATCAAGGATGTTAATCAGTCACATAACTAAACACATGTCATATACCTAGATGACCATCATGCTATTATAGAAACATAGTCCTGATCCCCAAAATGAGGTGCCCATGAGGTACAGCCTTTCAATTTTGGACATAGACCAAACTGTCTCAAGCTTGGTCAGAAATCGATTAAAGACCCATGGCATTATTCAGTCTCTGAACCAAAATACACTATACTGATTGCCAGTGTTGTATCTGTGACACTTTCAAGATGCTCTGAAACCTGTTTGAAGCAAATTATCTCCAAACTATCCACAGGCTTTGACAGAGCAATCTCAATGCAAAAATCAATGGAATAAGATCAGTGTTCAACAAACCGTAAACTCCCACTGCCTTCAATGATATCTAAATACTGAAATTGCTCAAGTCTAAAAAAATCTAAATCCAGAAAATGCTTAAAAATGTTTGGAAGCTGTTGTCTAATTTCAGACACAATGATTTTTTTAAAGATTTTATTAAAAACAGCCCCACTCTTCTAGTTTTGTAACTTTCCGTTTTTAGAATATTAACTAAAGTCTGTTCCAGTGCTTACTATGTGACATGGCAGACTTTGTAATCAACAATTGCTATTCTCTTTGTGACCTTCAAAGTCTTATATAGTAAATGTAGGCTTCTCTTCTATGTTCTACACTATGTTTACTACAATGGAAACTCAAATATAATTCTAATGTGAGCAGAGTACTTAGATGTTGAGGATTTTGCACACACTATTCCCTCTGCCTGCAACGCTCTTCCCTCCCTCTTCACCTATAAAACTTCTATTCATTCTTCAGCTTGTCTCTCGGACACACCTTCAGGTAAGCCTTCCAGGAATTTCCTGATCAGGACAAATCCTACTACACAGAACATGCTCTCTTGCCCCATTTTGCTCCCTCTCATACAATTATCACTCAAATAAATATAATATTTGATTGATGTCTCTCTTCTGCACCAGACCTACGAGATCAATGACGGCGTTTTTCTTCATCATTTCATCTGTAGTGGTGGCACAATGCTTAGTACTTAGCAGACATTTAATGAATATTTGTTTAAATGAATAGATGAGAGGGAAAGACTGCTTGATACAGTGCTTGATAGGTACAAGCACTATCAGAGACAGCATAGGGTGAGTCTGAACAATTTCAAAGTGCCATTTGCAAAGACTGCTTTCTGAATTTCAACCTGACTACTTGCCTGTTTCCAAAAATGCAAGCATCTATAAATGTGTATATACACATACACCCACACATACAATGTTGTAAAGATTCTATGTCATAGGAGTCAGTATTTTTTCTATGCTTTCATGACCTCATTTTTAGTAATGACTAATTAAAACTGAAGTAATTTACATATCTTAGACTCTAAGAATCTCCCCAAACCATCTGAGTCCAACCACCCATATACAGTGTAGCTGTGTATTGTGAGACTGTTAGATTCTAAAATAAAATTTAAAAAATCACAAAATTGCCATGTTGGAAATGGGCAGGCTTTCTTTCAAAAGTCCAACACAACAAGTTTCCTACAAAAGTAAATTAGGTATCTGTTTCTTCAACTGAAGGCCTGACTTCTGAAGTCAACTTCTGAAGTTAAAGAAGTTGACTTCCATTGAGTGGCCACATTTTACCCAAAATATGAGCCATATCTCTAGACACTAGATCCAAACTCAGCATTGAGAAGGAACCAGCACTAAGACCTTAAGGAAAACAGTGCATTTGTGACTGCCAACTTAGACTCCCTTCCGAGCAACGGCTCCTTAAGTTGACTGGCAGGTAAATCACCCATAATTTAAATAGTTAAAATTCACATAAGATGCAATGCCACTCTTTCCTACCAACTGGTCACCCACACTAAGTTTAAACCTTCCAAAATGGGGCACTTGCTACTTTGCTTCATGAATGGGTTCCCCGGAGAGTCGACTCTACAAATGGCTGTTACAAATCAAATCCTATGTTTCCACTGATTCGAATTAGGGATTCAGGTGTGCCAACCTTGTAAGCTATTTCCTTTCCTATAACAGTGCCCACACTGTTATGTGTTTCCTTTTTCATTGTTCCTCATAACCCTGTCAGGGCCGCACAGGTAAAAATAGAAATCAAGACCCAGCATGGATCTCACAAGGAAGCTGGCAGCGAGGGGCACTCACCATCACAGCTGGGTTCTTCACGGTGATGCAGGGGGTCGTGGCTCGCAGGGCTCCACTAATGCCGTGGTAATATTTAAAACAGATTTTTATCTCCGCTGCAAAGCAATTGGAGAAAACAGTAATTTAAACAGTGAAACAAGTCATGGAGGAATCAGCTGTGGAAATCCACCATACCACCTCTCAGGGAATCCTACTCATGACTCTGAATGACCTCTTTTTTCCACTCAGCGCCAACAAATTACATCAATTTCTGTTTGATTTTATATGCTCCTCCAAAACTTTGTAACCTCTTGAACATATCAGAAAAATGATGCACCAAAACAACATGCCAAAATAGAAATAGTGTAGCGATAAGAATGGGACTAGCTGGCATTTATTGAGGTGCTCCTTAACGTGCCACAATGTTATGTCTCACGTTCATGTTGTTAGTGAACCCTCACAGAACCTTGGGAGGCAGAAATTCCTTTCCCCATATTACAGAAGAGATGTTGAGGTTTGCTGCAGGTCAGACAGATAAGAAATGAGAGTCAGGACTCAAACCTGAGCTGTCTGATTCCAAAGCCTTCACTCATAACCTCTATCTACATTGACTGTAGCTCTCAATGGAAATAGAGGAAAAGCAGTCTAACAAAGCATGGAAGTATACTGTAGTAGATTCTCTAGTGACAGGATCTGTAAATTTATATTATTTTAATTTTCCAAGTCATTTAAATACACCCAGTAGACAGGGATCAAATCTACAAACAACTGATGTCTATATCTCACAGCTTGTGGCAATCCACACATTTCATACATTTTTTTCTGATAATTCCACTTTGATAGAAAGTAATACAAATGCCAATTATGGTTTTTGGAAAGTAACTACAATTCCAAAGCACGAAACCAAACTGTGTTAAAGATAAACCTACAGTCACTGGAATTTCTCTGTATACAAAGCGTCTGAGTCACTGAAGTGTCACTGCGAGATGCATTTCTCCCAAGGTGTCGTTCTAAATATGCAAGGATGCTGATGGGCAGGCCCTGGAGGGAGAATCCTAGGCTACGGGAGGGAGTTCCTCTCTCAAATGAGTCACCAGGACTATTAAAGTGGGGCTGCTCAATGTATTTCCCTAAGGAAGTTCATCTTTCACTGACTTTCTCGACTGTACCAAATGGCCTCCTGCAGGGTCTTTGGTTTCCTTATTTTAAGAGAAAGATATGATAACTGAAGAAAAATCCTCTTCCAGGAATTTATATCATTACACTCTTCCTACCAATGAACAAATACTAAATCTCAAAAAAACAAAAGTTGTTATGGGGTAAAAATATTGAGTCCTTATATTATTTATGTGAGTCACTATCCAATAATTCATAATTTAATAAGCATCATTGGCCAGAAGATTTTTACTACGTACCTGCCACAGCACATGGCCAGGAAGCAATGTGCCAGAAAGTGCAAGGGAATCAAGGAAAGGTTTCTGGTCTAGTGGCTGTTCTGTAGTGTAGCTGCTGAGATGCCAATCACAGGCATGGCAAAATACAAAAGACACACACTAAAAAGGAAGAGCACCAGGTCGAACAGCATAGAGAGCGTAGAGAAGATGAGAGAGGACATGGTGGAGTCAGAAAGGTGTCATGGAAAAAACAGGTCTAATGGATGAGCAAAATGGGGCTAGAGAGAGTTAAGGAGTGGCAAAAGCAGGGAGGCACAGATGAAGCATGCTGGGTTTGAAGAATGGCGAGATGACCTACGCAGGAATTCTAGCTTTACTATTACTTTGCCTCCCTGAGAACTCTTCTGCAAATGACTTTCCTGAACACAAACACAGATTACTGGTTATTTCTGAAATAGTAGTAGCTGGACAGACCTGAGCAAACTTTACTCTCCCACTTGCTTTTTTCCAAGACGAATAGCATGTAGTCTGCAAGAACAAAGCTAAGTAGTGTGCACGAGGACGGTCCGAGCAGAATAAAGTGTGGTAACATGCATGGGGATTGAATTCTCTGGACATGAGCTCATTGGTATCACACTCTTCATGCTGGGGAAGCAAACATCCGTGGCTCTGTCTACAGGCAGCACCTCATAGATCAAATCAATGGTTAGCGAGTGAGCAGGCCATTTTTCCACAGAGAGAAGTGCATTTTTATAAGATATCTTCCCCTAACTCTGTCTCAAGTTAGGATGCCATCTTCTTTTCCTAAGGTTTTAATAGTCGACTAGGTAACAGACAATGAGATAAAAAAAATGTGACTGCTTATTTTTTTTGGAGGATGATGATAATCATGCCAACTTTGCTAGCTGACCCATTTTGGGTGTTACTTTATTCCTTGCTATAACAAAAATCTCCAACCCAGATGACAAAGTAGAATCCCTGAAACTAAGATCAATGTATCTCGAATTGCACAAAAGTAGATTTTGTGGGCATGATCCAATCCCCCCACCCCCACCAGTGCTACAGAGCTGTGTGTCGCAGGAACAAAAAGCTGAGGGGATTTCCACAGATCACCCATTACAAAACCACACACGCTGGTCACTAGAGAGGAAAACAGTCCTGGACAGAATGAGGAGTGGTTTGCGTAGGGATGAAAACTAGCTGGATCCTTCAGCAGGACATCAGTGAAGATTCCTGCCCCTAAAAATATCAGAATGTTCCACTCTGAGTGGGAGTTTTCATCTTTAAATGTTATTTAATGTTTTAGAACATCATACAAGATTTTTTAAAATGGTGTAACTAAGCAACATCCCCTCTGACAAAGGGGGAGAGCAGCATTTTGATTAATATATTTGAATATTTTGGTTATTGGAAGAGGTAACGGAAGAATGCTCAGAAGGATGGAAAAGGGAAGTTGGTGCCCAGGGGCACAGGCTTCTGTTGCACCTACAATGTGTAACCTCTGACTGCAAGAGGAGCATTTTTTTTTTTTGTAAAAAGCTATTTCTGAGAAATATATACAAAGGCAGGTGGAAGTAAGCACAGGCACGATGACTGATTAGGGAGGACCCCAGTGATCCACAGAGCCCAGCCCTCCTGTTCATAAGCAGGAGAGATGGAGGACATGGACCAAAGAGCAATGAATGAGTCCATCTATCCTAGCTGCTTTTTCCCACAGCCTGATGTGGCAGGCAACATCTCCCCCTGCTGGCCTCAAATTATGGGAAAAAAATAAAAAAATATATATATATAAAATATATATTTGTATAGAAACATTTTAATATTTGCATATACTTATATGTATCCAAATATATAATATATGTTATATATCTATCTACCTCCATTCTTTTGGGCTATAAAAAGAGTATTTTGAATTCACTAATCGAAAGCATGTTGCCTCAGAGGGCAGTGAGCTAGGAAAAGGGAAAGGCATCCTGTACGAACCTGTAAGGACCTGATATCGGCTGAGCCAGGTCTAGCCTCAGGAGGAAGAGAACAGAGGATGAGCGGCATCTGCTCTCTGAGGTCCCTTCTGGACAGCTGAAGCCAGTCATAGATCATGGCAATAT
The DNA here is from genome assembly GCF_000001405.40 of Homo sapiens. Taxonomy (NCBI): domain Eukaryota; kingdom Metazoa; phylum Chordata; class Mammalia; order Primates; family Hominidae; genus Homo; species Homo sapiens. The sequence goes on from NC_000002.12 coordinate 196,337,905, forward strand.
AAGGGCCCCTTTTGATAATCTTCAGGATACATTTGCTTATAGCATTGCTAAAATACAGATTTAGCACTCTGTATTTGAATATTCTTTAAACAGAAAAGCCCCATTATTTTCAAATTTTTGACTTACTAATTTTCATAAATACAAATGAAGATGTCCCTCAGGGTAGCAGCATGCCTGCTCCCCTCTACCATGGGTTGGAGGGTGGTCATTTGTGAGACGTCACTTTGGGCATATTCCAGGGCAAGTTGGGGAGGCGGAGGGGCTTTGAACAGTGTTTAGGAACTTAAACCTGTTCTCGAGTAAAGGGGTTTCTGTAACTGTGAAATTCTGACACTGCATTTAAAATCAACCATTCTACCACCTGTTTAAAAGAAGAATACATTTCTGGGTTTGTATATGAATAAAATATTTCCAGATAGATAACTTGACACTGGTTGTAGTGGTTGCCTTCAGGGTGGGAAAACTGGCAATTGGACATGAAGCTGGGGAGACGTTTACTTTCAATTTTTATACTTTTTAAACATTATACTCTTTCGTATATTACCTATTCAAAATTATTTTTTAGAAAAGCAATCACAACTCAGCTGTATTAACCCTAGGCATTTATATAAGATTATATTTCAAGCCCTCTCTGCAAAAAGGTTCTACAAGCCACTCCCTGCAAGAAATGGTTTTGCCTCAGACTAGGATCTCATCCATCATCTTAAATAGCTACACGATTCACTCAGGCAGTAGTTAACAGCCTGTTCCTATTTAGAGAGTCTGGATTTTCCCCAAGTTTCTAGAAGTTGAATATTTGAAGCATAAAGATGGATGGAATAAAAATGTCCTTCTTCCTTTAATCATATCTATTTTACTTAAAAGGTAGAATAATCTTAAAGAATCAAGCTAATCGTAATTTATTCTAGAACATGACTTTCACCATTGTCCTATGTGTTTTCATTAAACTATTAATATTATGATTCTTATTCACAGCTTTACTCTTCATGCTTTTGAGGAAATTTACCCACATGCCAGTGACATGCTCACTTGTCAGTTACATGTCACTGGAAGTTGTCTTCTCTTTAACAAGGGCCAGTGGAGCCTGAAATGGCCAGGCTTTCCTCTGCTAAAACTCAGAAAAACAAAAGGGACAATATCCATGCAGATGTGGCAGAAACCTAATAGGACTAGAGAACTAACTGGGCCTAAAATATAAAGTGTGAAGATGGGGGATGAAAAGCATTAAATCTCCATCCAAGGGGCAAAAAGACCTTTCTGATATTGGTGGGAGGGGACTTAGGAATGGTGAAAGTTACAGAAAAGGCTCTGATAGTAAAAATAAGAGACCGAGGCCACCCCATCTACACCAAATAAAAAGGCACCCATGACACATCTATTCTGGCAAGGTACCAACCTGAGCACCACTCAGAGAAAAGACTCTCACTCACAGTTGTCACTTGCATACTGTTTCCTAATCCTATATACATTTCCCAGGGCTGGGATGGGTAAGTATGTGAAATCGCTATGTAATTTATACAAATATCAGTGTTTTGTCATATTCCTCAATGATCACATATCAATTCAGTACATAGCAATGTAGGATGAAGTTTAGTACTCTAAGCTCACTCATTGATACAAGATTTAGTGAGCACCTAGAATAAGACCCAGCACAAAGGTAGCACTCAATGAATATTTCAGGATAGATGAGGAGATAGATGGACAGATGGATGGAAGGAGGGAAGGAAGAACAGAAAGCAAATATGAATAAATGAATGACCACAACCCATAAAAGACTGTATAGAATGAAACAGACATTCTGGCCTGCCAGTACTTTTGAAACCTCTTAAATTTTAAAACTCACAAATGCATACTGCACAAATGACCCATTCAGGTTCTGTGAGCCTGAGCTCTCTTGAATACTTGACTGTCTTATGACAAGTAAGTGTAGATGAAGCTGGCCCTCCTCTTGAATGCCCTGAGGCTCATCTACCCACATTTATACTTGGTTTTGTCCTTCAAATCCATTCAGGTAAGCCCTATAATGAAATAAATTTGGACTACCTGCCTCCTCTGGGGATTTATCCAGACAAACTAAAGCCATCTTAAATTCACAAATAGCCTACGTAGTGCTCAAATCCAGGTTTTCCCTGGAACTTTAATAGATCAATTTTCAGAGATTTTTAAACCTTTGTTTGGACTTCTGGTGAGTTAAAGATAAACAAATTTCCTTTCTGCAGATAAAAACAAACATTTTTAAATACTTTGCATTTTCAGGATTGGAGGTGGAAAATATTTTAGAAACTGTCTAATCTCTTCACAATTTTAAAAAAAAGTTCCATGCAATCAGCTCCAGAGATTCAACCAACATTCCATTGTGAGTCCCTTTAAGAATGCTCTAGCCAGACAATGGGTTTTAAAAATGACATCCAGCCGGGCACGGTGGCTCACGTCTGTAATCTCAGCACTTCGGGAGGCCAAGGTGGGTGGATCACTGGAGGTCAGGAGTTTGAAACCAGCCTGGCCAACATGGTGAAAACCTGTCTATATTAAAAATACAAAAATTAGCCGGGCATGGTGATGCATACCTGTAATCCCAGGTACTTGGAGGCTGAGGCAGGAGAATCGCTTGAACCCAGGAGGTGGAGGTTGCAGTGAGCCAAGAACACGCCACTGCAGTCCAGCCTGGGAGACGCAGCAAGACTCCGTCTCAAAAAAAAAAAAAAAAAAAAAAAAAATGACATCCCAAAGGCATAGACTATTTCTAGGCACTATAAATATAATTACAACTTCTTTTATATTGCAAGGGTAGGGGGTGAGTGTTTTGGTGGGGCAAGGAGTGCTTCATTCTGATTAATGAAGAAAGACTTATTCAAAGGAGAATCTTTCTGAAATTCCTATTCACTGTCCTGAACTTTACTTATACTACATTTCTCAGTCTTTAAAAAATGCATCACTGAATATTTCCAGTTTTACAATTATGCTCCGCAATACTCCCAATTTTATGTGAGAAGAATTAAGGTGGAAATGCTAAAATACGGAGAAAAGAAAAAAAAAAAACCCTTCTCTTTTCTTCATTCCCAACTCCTAGTTTCAATATCAAGCCCATTTCTATTAAATACTAGGGTGAGATGTAGAGAAATCAGTCAAGACAGATCTATTTAACTATAGCCTAATCAGCCAGGACATTATGAATCTCTAACACTTTGGGAGGGAGAAAGAAAATCAATCACAGTAAAGGGGATACTCTGTAAATGGGCTTTTTCTCACATTATATTCCAAACTATAGCAGCATGTGGTACTGACTTCTTCCCATGGGTTCACATGAGCCTTGTAATATCAATCTGTGCACTCCAACAGGCAATAATTACCAGCAGCCTTCAGCATTTTGGAGTGATTTTGCCAAAATCACTCCAAAGGAAGTGATTTTACCTTTTCCCCTGAAGTTCAGTTGGCAATATTTCTCAGCTAGATCAGCCTTTTAAACACCAGGATCCTTTCAAAGGAGGAATCACACTGAAAGTAAAACCAGCTATTTCCCATTCCATTTTCCCACATTCTTTTATCACTTATTTCTTCATTACTTAGATAGTCGTGCCAGCTGGGGCAATGTTGGAAAGTTACATAGACATAAGTCGGAAAAACAAATCATCCATAATTCCACCTGCCAGAAACCATCCTCATTCACATGTTGGCAAGTTTTCTTCCAAACTTTCCTATATGCTGTGCTATTAGCTAGGATTCTGCTGAATGTACCTACTTCCCCTTTCTGACCTTCCTTTCTCTCTGCTTTTTGTGAGCATTTTCCCTTAAAAATGACATTTCTTTTAAGGCCTAAGAGAGAATCCAGTCAGAAAACTGGAATATGAAAAGAAGACATTTCTTATGGGGCAGAAGCAGGATTAGAGAAAGTTCTAGAGTGCTGATTTACTAGTAAGGATGGTAAAAGAAATTATTTCATGCCTTTAATGGCAATTCAAAGTAACAGATGTTAACCTTTTAAGATAACTGTGTATTAGAGAAGTTTGATATGCTTCACAAAGATATGCTTGTGGCAGGTTTCCATTTAATCAAATCTTTAATGTTCACGTTTAGTAAGTGCTATCTTTAAGTACTAGTACCCACACATTCTCTTTTATATTAAATCTTTTGCATATACTAATCTTAAGGCTCACTCAGAGCTCAACAACTCAGAAAAAGTTTAAAAAGCCCATTTTTTTTTCTACATTAAAGAAAAATGGCCAGGCACAGGGGCTCATGTCTGTAATCCCAGCACTTTGGGAGGCTGAGGCGGGCGGATCACCTGAGGTCAGGAGTTCGAGACCAGCCTGACCAACATGGAGAAACCCTGTCTCTACTAAAAATACAAAATTAGCTGGGCGTGGTGGTGCATGACTGTAATCCCAGCTACTCTGGAGGCTGAGGGAGGAGAATTGCTTGAACCCGGGAGGCGGAGGTTGTGATGAGCCGAGATTGCGCCATTGTACTCCAGCCTGGGCAACAAGAGCTAAACTCCGTTTCAAGAAAAAAAAAAAAAAAAGAAAGAAAGAAAAATAAATTCTATAAATGTAGAAGTTAACCTGGACCAACTAGTAAAGCATTTATTCCTTCCTTCTTCTATATATTCCACAAAAATGTACTGAGTATTTACTATTTTTTCAATAATATTGGTGGCAACTATAAATAACACCATCACCCAACAGAAAAAGGGACAAGATATTTTTGTGAACCAGGCACTATATATGAGCATTTGAATTTATAAATGACTATAACACTGAATTAATTAGGTAATAGTTGAGTTATCTGCAGCCAATGTCTGATTTTCTGGTAAGCCGACCTCAATGTCAGTGAGCCCGTCTATTTCATCAACACTTTGAAAAGACTGGGGTCCACACACGAAGTTATTCTGCCGCTGGCAAAAATTATAATGAGATATTTCAAAGGCAAGTCATGTTATTAAATTAAGCGATATCTTGACTTATTCTTTCTGAAATTCATATGAATAAATATTAATTATAGATATAAAGGGTATATAAAAATGTGTAAAGTATTAAAGTAACCATATATAATTTATATACCATACATTATGTATATGTAAAATATAAAATATACTATATATATTTTTGTATATATACATGTATATGTATGTACATGTAATATTTGCATATATATGTAAATGTGTATGTTTGTGTGTGTGTGTGTGTATATACATATACACACATGCACATATTATATAGTTGTCCCTTGATATCCACGGGGGATTCGTTCCAAGACCCCCATGGGATACCAAAATCCACAGATGCTCAAGTTCCTTACATAAAGTGTCAGAGTATATGCATATAACCTGTGTACATCCTCTCGTATACTTTAAATCATCTCTAGATAACTTATAATACCTAACATAAATGCTATGCAAATAATTGTTATACCATATTGTTTAGGGAATAATAAGAAAAAATGTCTGTACTTGTTCAGTAGAGACAAAATGACATTTTTTTTTCCTGAATATTTTTGATCCACAGTTGGTTGAATCTGTAGGTGTGAAATCCACGGATATGGATGGCTAACTGTATATTTAAACACATACAGTTTTTTCAAAATATGTGAACATTCTTTACTGAGCATTTTCTAAAACAATATATTTTCCATCATGGCATAAATATGTAAATCCAAACCAAAGAATTTCAAAATAACATTCAAAAAGACTCCATAGAATTCTGCATACTTATGCAATGTTCAATAATAAGTTTATATTTCACACTTAGTTACTTACGTTCCATGAAATAGGGCCCAGGCTCAATTCTCCATACAATTTGCCCTTTTTGTGTTCCAGTCACACCCCTGTTCTTAGAATCCCAGAAGTTGGCTGGAGAATTCTCATCTAGAAAAACCAAAGAAACACTTTTCAGATTAATTATAACCTTTCTCTCCGTAGCAGGAAGATTAACATAAGTTCTAAAATAAATGGAAAAAAGATAAATGAGAAAATATAATGCACATTATTCTTAATGACTACCTCCCAGCAGAGTATTACCCGAGTTTCTGTGCTTGCATTTATGTGGGAGAAAGAAGGCTGGGGGGAAAGAAGATGGCATCTCTGGGCTTGGCCAAGGTGGTCAATGTTGCCAAAAGACAAAACTGCAAAGAACAAAGGGTACAACTGCTACAACTTTAGCTATGAGCTGATTTATAACAAAGGGGTTGGGTGTGCTCCCATTTGTAAAACGCTTTTATAAAAAGGAAAGGAAGAACAGACCTAGGAGAATATAACAGAATTCAAGATGGGATGAACAAAAGGGACGTTAAGCTACGAAAGTGAGTCAAGATACAGCACAGCTTTGCCAGGAACAGTGTTTAGGGAACACAAACCAAGTTCATCACATCTGTCAGGACAGTCCTTTGCAAAAGACCAAAGGCATAGACCTTGAGACAAGATAAGAAAAAAAAAAAAAAAAAAAAAAGAGTCTCTATAGGCTTTTGTGTTGAAGAAGAATAGAAAGAACAGTGATCCCCCCAAAAGGCCTGAAAGCAGCATTTTCCAAGCTTTCTGACCTCATGGCACAAAGAAAGTGGTAGTATTTGTATGGCAACACTAGATTCAACAGAGGCCATGATTACAATTTAATATGACAGGCAGGGATGCTCTGGCTTCCTCAGACTCTGCCCCCAGCACCCTGAGGACTGGGGATTCATATTCTATAATTTGCTCACATTACACTAGTTTGAAGCTCTGTCTTAGTGGCCCAGAATAGGAAATGAAACTAGAAAACACGAAAAGGAGACAATTTGGAGTTTTATAGGCACATTAAAAAGTATATAGTGATCCTGGCTCTTAATGCCAGATGTACCTCATTTGTTTCCCCAAATCCCTTTCCAAGGAGGAAGGATTAAGGTTGCACTTTAACTGAGAGTTGGAATAAAGAAGACGGGGTGAAGTATGAGCTACACTAAAAATGGAAAGATGGAGAAAAGGTCCCAAGCCCAAAGGAATAGTCCTGAGGAGAAAAACCTTTCTTCTTTTAAGCATGAAAGAAACAGAAAATGGGTCAAAGCAAGGGGACAGAGGGATTTCTGGTTTTTTTTGTGGTTGCCCTACTAGTTTCATCATATTGAAAAGCCAAAGAACTTTGGGAGGGATGGTCCTTTCATGCATTTGCATTGAGCACATTATAAGTCAAAGGTTCTTTACTGTGAAAGGCCAAGAAGCAGCCACTGTTCTTTATAAGAATGGAAAGACATAACCCATTCATGGCATCACATCCTCTCCTAGATAAACAATGCGAGCAAACAACTCCATTTCATACAGAAATATAACCAAGATGCTGATACTTAGATGGTACTCGGGCAATCACTTAAAAATCACTGGATTTGAAAGGTATCACATGGCTCCTCAGGGCAGACCCTGCTTGCTGCATAACCACTGAGCTTCTACCTTGCCAACTGAACCCCAATTTTGTTCAAGGCAACAATGTGCCCTGTTAAAAATACCTCTCCAAAATCCCATCCAGCTAATGGTGACATGTGGCCTGGTTCTGCCCAGTGAAATGTAAGTGGAAGTCTACTAGGTGGAACCCTATGGAAAACTGTAATTTTCCTAATAAGAAAAGGACAAACTCAACATCCTTTTGCTCTTCCCTGTCCCCTCTTTTTGAAGTAAAGCCACATTGCTAAGATGGCAGAGCAAGAAGCAAGACGCAATCAGGATGATCCATTGAGCCCTGACCCACCTGCCTTCAGGCTTCTTGCTACCTAGGAAAAAAAAATCCCATTTGGTTAAGCCACTGTGGTTGTGTTTCTGTTACCTGCAGCTACACACAATTCTTAACAGATATACCCATCCTAAAAACCACTCAGTGATTCAGACTCATCATTTCTGACTTGATCTGGAATCCTCAAGTTTGGATCACTGCTCCAGGTTAGACAACAAGGGTATTTGCTTCACCTTCTGAAAGATACTTTAATTAGCAGAGCTGCTTGGATGCTGGGAGAAGAACTCTCCTATTTTCACAAATAAATTTACTTATTAGCTACTGGTCACTTGGAAGGCACAGAAGGCTGGACTCTAAAAGAAAGAGAACACACACATAGGAGATAGAGGGTGTCCACCTATTCACAAAGCTTTTTAAAAAAGTAGTTATGTACATGGGAAATTTCCTAAAAACGTTGTTGTAACAGATTCCTTCCTCTTGAGGCCTCAGAAAAGATGAGGCAGTATCAAATCTGGTTTTAAGGAGCAAGTACTAGAATCAAGAAGATAAAAAGCAACTGTAAAAAAGTTGTACCTGTTAATGTGACCTCACTGTAAAAGTGTATGCATTATTTGGTATTACTAAACTTTTTCTCCCCAGGCAATCAATTAAGCCAATAAATTAATCCAAACGCATTTCTGACATGACAATTTTGGGAACATGGACCAGTGAGGGTCAAAAATTAGAATGGATGGGTAGGAATGGGATGAGGATGAGGCCTGAACCCTGGACAGAGGAGATCCTGAGGCTCCTTTACATGGTCCCTAGAAGGGAGCTTGGACAGAGAACTGGTGTCAGCATCTCTTATTCTAAGTGGGTCACTAATATCACTTCCTTTGCTAGTTAGGTTCATCTCTAGGTATAAATATTGTACTACTTGCATACCCTTGCTTAGTCTCAGAAGTAGGAAATAAGGGAGAATAAATAACGTGTGCTTTCTTCCCAGACCCTTTACCATGAAACAAGCCTAGAGTTAAGTGTTCAATCCACCCACCAGCTCCTGTAGGTTGGGATAAACTCTATATCTCTGTAACTCTGCCTTAGTTCCCCTGGTTAGTTCATAGGCCATGTAGAAAATTCCATTTCCAGCCGGGCACAGTGGCTCACACCTGTAATCCTAGCACTTTTGGAGGCTGAGGCAGGTGGATCACGAGGTCAGGAATTCGAGACCAGCCTGGCCAACATGGTGAAACCCTGTGTCTACTGAAAATACAGAAAACAAAAAAATTAGCTGGGCGTGGTGACAGGCGCCTGTAATCCCAGCTACTCGGGAGGCTGAGGCAGGTGAATTGCTTGAACCCGAGAGGTGGAGTTTGCAGTGAGCCGAGATCACGCCACCGTACTCTAGCCTGGGCGACAGAGTGAGACTCCGTCTCAAAAAAAAAAAAAAAAATTCCATTTCCGTTTGGTGACTTTTTATTTATTTATTTATTTTTTTTGACATGGAGTCTCATTCTGTCACCCAGGCTGGAGTACAGTGGTGTTATCTAAGCTCACTGCAACCTCTGCCTCCTGGGTTCAAGTGATTCTCCTGCCTCAGCCTCCCGAGTAGCTGGGATTACAGGCGCCTGCCACCACGCCCAGCTAATTTTTTTGATTTTTATATTTTCAGTAGAGACGGGGTTTCACCATGTTGGCCAGGCTGGTCTCGAATTCCTGACCTCGTGATCCACCTGCTTTGGCCTCCCAAAATGCTAGGATTACAGGTGTAAGCCACCACGCCTGGCTAATTTTTGTATTTTTCAAAATACAAAATACAAAATAGAGATGAGGTTTCACCATGTTGGCTAGGCTGGTCTCGAACTCCTGACCTTGGGTGATCAGCCTGCCTCAACCTCTGAAACTGCTGGGATTACAGGCATGAGCCACCACACCTGGCCTGGTGAAATCTGTGACATTTAAAGAAATAAAAGTTAGCCCTTTGAAGCCAAATGGGTAAATTGTACCATGAGTATTCAGGTTCACACAGAACACAAATGTTCCATATACGACAAAAAATGGGTCAGAAGCAGAATGAGCTGACCCTGAGCAGAAGCTGGATGGGCCTGTTTTGATTACAGAAAACAAGTTCAAATGCCATGGCCAGTGACCATCCTTTGGCCTTCATAAGGAAGGAAAGCTGCTGCGTTATTCCTTGCCAACCATGGTGCTTGTCAAGTAAGAGACCCTCAAGTTAATATTCTGGTTATTCTAGATGGAAATTTTTCTTTGATGTGATCATATTCTTGATAATTCATTATCCTTGACAGATACAAATACTTCCGCCACTGAGTGGCAGCAACCCTTAATTGCAAATATGAATCCTGAGAAATAAGTTTAGGGACACAGAGTTCACATTACTGTGAAATGGCTACTACAATCTCTACAACTGCCACTGCTCCTACTGTGGCTAGCAGAGCTATGGCCAGCCTTGGCACATCATGCTAAGAAATGCCTAGAATGACTAATTCCTTTGTTCCAAGAAGATCAATTTTAATTAGTCCTTTAGATTAAATTTTTTGTTCACATCTTTGTTTACGTTGCAGTCAATTTTGGTCTAGCCTGAGAATCATTTTAGAGTGGTAGCATTTTCTCTGCTCAGCTCTATTGTTCATGGATTTTTTTGTATAGGCCAACATATTTTTTTTCCTATATTCAATGAACTATTCTTTTTTATCCTCATTTAGTACCTGTATGAGGTGATTTGGTTTTTTCAAAATGCCCCCAACCCAAAGTAAGAACAATAGTGGGCCCAGGTGCAGTGGGTCATGCCTGTCATCCTAACACTTCAGTAGGACAAGATAGGAGGATTGCTTGAGGCCAGAAGTTTGAGACCAGCCTGGGCAACACAACAAGACCCTGTCTCTACAAAAAAAAAATTTTTTTAATTAGCTGGGCATGGTGGCATGCACCTGTAGCCCTAGTTACTCAGAAGGCTGAGACAGGGGTGTCCCTTGAGCCCAGGAGTTTGAGGCTGCAGTGAGCCACGATTGCACCACTGCACTGTAGCCCAGATGACAGAGCAAGACCCTAACTCAAAAAAAAGAACAATAACTGAATATAAAAAGGTATATCAAAGAAACAATTCTAAATCCCCCACATGTGTAATATAGAAGTAATTATAACTTTATTTCTTCCTTTAACTGAGTAAAGGTTCCGACAAATCATAGAATGCCACTGGTCTTTAAAACCAAGTTATACTTGGCCACTTCCCTTTCTCGTTTCTCTTAACAATTCCAAATCTGTCTCTGTCCTCACATCCCCTACCTAATTTCCACCCTCACTGGAACTCTGTGTGAACTCTGTGTCCCTAAACTCATGCATTCTGTGGCATCCAAGAGGACATTAGGCCTGATCTCCCTTGATTTCTCCATCTCCCTACTACTATCTCCTCTGTATCTGTGCCTACTTCTTGCCTTCTTGCCCAGGGTTCTACTCCCCCTTACAGTGGTGCCTGCGGCACCCTCTTCTCCACCAGTCACTTTCTGTCATCTTAATATTTAACCTTTTTCTCTAGAGGGACCTTCCACTCAACCTAGACACCTGTCAGCTTCCATGAGGCATATTCTCCTGCTTTTGTCTTTGTTCTTTGACTATTACCTTCCTTGCCTTCTTTCCCATCCTCATTCCTATTTCCTCTCGTACTAGGATTAAAGTGTCTGTTTTTTTGTTACAAAACAGTCTATATTACAGGAGTATATATTCTAGATTCTTAGGTTACTTCCTAGTGGAAATATAATTACAAAGAAAGGGACATTGGAGATGTTAATACATATATACCCAAATACCTTCTAAATCTAATTTTGTTTGGTAGGCTTTATATTAAGCTTGTCCCTTTGTGTCTCACGACTTCTTCATTCTCTTACAAGTCTAGTTGGCTACACATTTTCTCTAAATAGAAAAGTGAAACGTGTGTGTGTGTGTGTGTGCGCGCGCACACATGCGTACCTTGGCCTCCCAAAGTACTGGGATTACAGATGTGAGCCACCATGCCTGAACATGATACTTATCCAAAGTGATTTCATTTATTATTATTTTAAATTACAACTTAGAGCTACTCCCATTAATCCTGTTACTAATACTGGAATTAGTTATGTTAATTCTGCTTCTTCAAGGGAGAAACAAAGTGTTTGGACCCAGGAGATAAAAGAGTAGAAATAGAAGATTACAACACACAACCCTCTTCTACTAACTATATAATGACACAGAGAAACTTCTCAGAGCTTGTTAATGAGGTGAGAAATAGGCCCCTTTTCCTTCATTAAAACCACATTATTTTTAGGAGGAACACCTAGGGGTCTTAAACAGAATCTCTATATAAGCAGACTTACCAAAATCTCCTGCACATTCACTGTCACAGATCCTCACGGGTCACCATCTCTTTTAGCTACCTGATCCTCCAGGGCAACGAATGCCCAACTTCATGGCTCACAATGAATGAGGGGGTGGGTGGTGCTTCTTTAAAATGCTACTTCCTGCATGGTGGCTCATGCTTGTAATCCCAGCACTTTGGGAGGCCGAGGCAGGCAGATCACTTGAGGTCAGGAGTTTGAGATCAGCCTGGCTAACATGGTGAAACCTCGACTCTAATAAAAATACAAAAAATTAGCTGGGTGTGGAGGCACACACCTGTAATCCCAGCTATACGGGAGGCTGAGGCAGGAGAACTGCTTGAACCTGGGAGGTGGAGGTTGCAGGGAGCTGAGATTGTGCCACTGCACTCCGGCCTGGGCAACAGGGCGAGACTCCGTCTTAAAAAAATAAACAAATAAAATGCTAATTCTTGTGCTGCTCTTCCAGAGACTTTGAATTTAGTAGGTTTGAGTCTGGGCTCAGGAATCTGAATTTTAGCAAGCACCCCAACCAGATGATTCAGATGCAAGTACCATAAAGACCACATTTTGAAAAATTCTGCTTCATGGTTATTTCCAGGGAAGTTGAGCAATCACAGCAATGCTGTGGACCATGCATATGTCTTTGACCATTGTCCCTCTCATTTGTTACCTTGTTCATTCATTCATTCATTTGACAGGTATTTATTGACTGACTACTATGAAGACCATAAGCATCTATTTCCTGCCATAAGCAGCTGACGGGATAAGGGGGGATATTTCCTGCCATAAGGAGCTGACGGGATAAGGCACATAGATATATAATGCAATGCGAAAATTACTATGGTAAAGGTAACCATGTTTTGTTAAAAGAGGAAAAAAGAGGAGGAATGATTAGTCATCCTGGTGTCTGTGCTTGATTCATATGGTTCTGAGCTGTTAGGTTTAAAGTGTCTTTGGAAGAGTTTACGGAGATCTCCTTTGAGAAGTCTACAAATCTAAGCCAGACATTGTTTCCTCATCCATTCCCTAGACATATGTATTTCTTTACCTTCCACAGTTCACATTTTTGGTTCTATGAATGGTCATCAGAAGCAACATATTTAAAGCTGAATTCAGAGGTCAATGTTACCATTTTTGCTTGGGCCTCAGGAGATTATCCTTTTCTTCCCTGGAAAAGTTGATAATTATATTAACCTACAATGTAATTATAAAGAGTAGTCTTTTAAAAAACTAATTCTTTTTTTTTAAAAAAAATGACACACCAAGCTAAAATAATTTAAACAGAAAAACTTTAAATTTTTTTTCAAGTTCTTTCTTCCCCATAATATTCCACACACAGAGATGGGTGTGAAAACTATTTTTAAAAGATTAATTTTTTTCCTGTACATGATTCTTGGATTTCCAGAAAATTATCCTTTTAAGATAATAAGAGAATATATAGGAAACATGAACAGACATATCAGACATATCCAAACATATTCTAGATTTGGAAATGTTTTTATGTCTATGTTAAATAACTCCAAAACCTCCATACGGTACTTGAAATAAAATAGAAACAAAAAAAGTATCCAAAGCACTTACCCTCCTACCAATCAACCCAGGAGAGTTAAAAATAGACGAGAAATTTTTTGAGAAAGATGCCATGTGACCGATTGTGCCAGAGAGCAGAAAAATAATACTTACAAATTTTCTTTTGCTTTAAAGTAATTCCATCTCCTCTCTACATTTTCTTAAAAAATGGCATAAATTCTAAATTGATTTTCAATTATCTTTTGTATATAAATTGAAAACAACTATGTCCTGAGATTGGAACCATAAAGATGCTTGATCTTATTATGGGTACACTCGGGAATTAGATGCCTGTCTGGAATTTGGGATTGGAGAGCAATACTAAGCTAGGAGTTGAATCAAGATTATCATTCTAGACCTGGGCAAAGAACACCCCTTCAGAGGGACTGCTTGACTGTTAAAATGGTACAAATTTACCAGCAAGTACCAGGCCAGTTACTGGAATCCCAGAGCTACATTGAGGAGAAAACTGTGACGACGACTTTGAGAGCTGAGCTATACTGTGGAAGACAGGTGGGTCTTCACAACTGAATGTACCAAATGGAGCACCAATTTTATTAAGTGCTAGGAGAATTCACTGGCAAACTTCCTTATGAATTTGCAAACTTAGCATTAGTTTTTAACACAATCTCCTTAGATGCCCAATTCTTTATATTAAAGTCTTCTCTGAATGGAGACAAGAGTGTGTCTGACAATCATGGCACCACCAGGCCACCTGCTAAGAGGGCACCTACTGGCGACTACGGCTTTGAAGCCACTTGAATGGCACCAGAATGATTTGCTGAGAACAGTGTGCCCGAGAATGCAGAAATGGGCACCAGCACATTACTGGGTAGAAAAAAACAACACGGGCTTAGAAGAGCCAATGACAAGACTGCAAGGTCTGGCCTTGGGAATATCTGTGCACTGAAAGGTGTGCAGGACACTATCTCTGACATGGACCTCATCACTGCCCTGGAAAGGAATGCTGGCAGAGTGGAGAGGCACAGGGCACACTTGTTGAACTCACAATATGTACTATCAAGTTTAAGAGAGATGTTTTATTGCTGTATCCTCTATAGCAGGGTATCACAAGCAGGGAGCCAACTGGAGAATGTGAAATGTCTTACTAGATCCAAACTGGGTGACATATAGTCAAGTCTGAACCACACCCCTGAGGGGTCACCTGCACACTCACACTTCTAGATGTACTAGGCAAAGGGAGGAGGCTCTGCTCAGCAACTTCCTAGATAAAAACAATTGGTCCTAAACTATTTGATTAAACACTCATTTGACAAGGAAAAGAAATTACTGACAGCCCAGTGAGAAGAAACACTTGGACTCATTTCAGTAAATCCCTCCCAAGAGTTACAGTCATGGCCCAGTATACCAGATAATAAGGAGCAGTTCAGAAATGGCTTACAAAAGAATCAATTTCAAACACACGTCACACTGGCATATAGAAACATGTCTCTCTTCTGTTCAGTGGCTCCCTATTCTTCTCAGAGTGAAATCCAAAGTGTTTATGATGGCTTGCAGTGTCCACAGGACATGGCTTCCCACTCCCTCCAATTACAGCTCTGACCTCACCCTTTCCTACTTTCCCCGCCTCGCTCCTTACCCCCTTCCAGCCACATTGACCTCCCTGATGTCCCCAAAGGTGTGGTCAGGATTTGGCTCCAGGGACATTGCTCTGGCCATCCCATTCACCTGGAACTTTCCCCGAGATACTGTTATGGCTCAATTCCTCCCTTCAATTTTGTGGCTTATACATCACCTTTTCAATGAGACCTACTCTGACTGCTTCATTTTGAAACGCAAGTCTTCCTCCAGCATTCCCAGACTATCTTACTTTGCTCAATTTCCTATCCATAATCCTTATCATCTTCTCACATACTCTATAAGAATCTAGTTACACATTTAAATATATTGTCTGTCTTCTTCTGTTGAATGTAAACTCCAAGAGGTCAAGGAATTTTGTCTATTCTGTTTACTGATGTATCCCAAGTGCCTAGAATAAAACCTGACACATAGTAGGTGCTAATATTTGGTTGAATGGAAGATATTGATAATGACAAGAGGCAGATAAATGCCTAGGTACATAGGGGCGAATCCCTGATGAAATGCCACCTTCAAGCCAAAAACAGCCTGAAGGCTGAAAGACCACACTGCTGGTTCTGGATGAAAGCCGTGATTCAGAGTGAGAACCTCTGTTCATGTTTGCCCACCCTTTCCCCATTGATTCTTTCTGAATAATGCTTTTTAACCAACCAAATGTTGCCTTTTCCAATACTGCCTATGGTCTGTCCCTCTCCCATCCTGTGCCTATAAAAACCTCAGACTCAGCCACACTGGCAGAGACAACCTGACTTAGGGTGATAGATGACCTGACTTAGGGTTAGAGACTACTTTCCTGTCCCCTCTCCATTGAGAGCTGTTTCACTGCTCAGTATAATTCTCCAACCTCATCACCCTTCAATTGTCAGTATGACCTCATTCTTCTTGGATGTGGGGCAAGAACTCAGGACCCACCGAATGCAAGTAATCAAAAGGCTGTTAATACTGTGGCCCTTTGCCCTCTGCCAGTGGAGGGCAGCCACCCCATGCAACAGGAAGCAACATCAGGGCCAAGCCCCAGCTCTGGAGCCACAGGCCAGAGTGGGGCTAGGAGCTAACTGGGCTGTTAATACACCACCATCAGTCAGGCTGCAGATAGTGGGACTAAAAGAGCTAATTACCACATTGTAACACCCCTTCTGAGGCTTCAGGGTTGTGGCCACCCCTGCCTGGGCACCACCGCATTCCCATCAGGGTGACATGGCTGGTCCAGCCACAAGCTCTGCATGGAGCCTGCTGCTGTACCAGTGGTTGGAATGGCCGGCCAGACCCCACACTCACTTGCTCACATACTCCCTCCCGCTAGGGGCTGAGCACACAGTCGCAGTGGCCCTGGGTTCCACACTGGAGTGCAAGCCAACCAAGGCCTGGTGGGCTGACTAGACAGGGTGCCTCCTGCTGTGGGGGCTGAGAAAAATCCTGCATCAGTATCTTGATATCTTCTTTTGATTATATGATATTAATTGAATATTAGTACTATATTCTTTAAATATACAAAAAAGAAATAACATTTTCACCATGGAACACACAAAGCCTTTTTAAAGAGATCTCCATCTTATTCAGTGTAGAGAAAAACAGGGACAACATTGCAAATTCTTGGTAAGCATTATCAGGCGAATTCCACAAAACCAGCTTAAACTCTGGATCTTTATAATAAGAATTTCCAATTAACATTCACACTTAATTCATCCACACTGCTGATGTGACATTCAACTTTGTTTATATCCTACAGTTGGTCACACCAAAGCACAAAAAAGATTAAGAGGCTTACCTAAGATCACATAACCAGTTTCGAGTAAGGCCTTTGAAACATCTTAAAGTTCCTTCTTGACAAGGATTTTCAGAACATTTCTAAATTAAGATTTTTTTCCCCAAACTGAATGTTTTACTACATAGGATTTGTGAGAACTCAAATTCTTTGATAATGCTCAAATGGAAAATTACTAAAGGCTTACTTACATCAAACAAGAAACTTATAATTTATGGTGGATATTGTAAAACTTACTATAAATCTCATGTGAAAACAGAATAAGGCATTTGCAATAGTTGCATCCAATTTCATGATAAAAATGTTAGCAGGAATGAGGTGTTCTTTGTAAAACTTCAGACTTCAAGATTTCCAAAGTCTCTTTCAAGTACACACTGCTGTCAGTACATGATTTTCCCCATCATACTTGCATGGCTACTTTCCTTTGGCAATTATGCTTTATAATGAAAATGTAAACCCGAACCCTTTTAAATGGTGAAGTATGGCCAGCATTTGGTAGCTCGGTAAACACCTTAGCACAAGATCCAACATTAGGCCCTTCAAGAATTTTCTATGACAATGATGATAAAATGCCTCAATCCTATCCCCTGTAACAAGGCTCAAAGTAGTAGAACAAGACTTCCTGCTGTCAAAGAACTTTCATAAGAAAGAGCAGAGTAAATGCTCTTTTTCCATTTGGATAAACAGGCCAAAGACAGTTGAAAAGAACATTTTAAGCCTCAAAGACAGAATGAAAACAGCAATTATAGAAGGGATAGAGAAAATGAAATTTACAAAAATTCATTCAACAAATATTTATTGAGCATCTACTATCTACCAGGCAATATTCTAAGTGACAGGGATTTGGGTAGGAGTAAAAGAGTCAAAGTCCCTGTCCTGGTGGAGATTTTGGTCTGGTGGGGAAAGTGGTCAGTAAGCAGATACATAAGCAAAAATGTAATGTCAAGTAGTAGTAACTGGCTTAAAGAAAGAAAGCTTGGGAATGGGGTGGAGAGAGGTTGGTAGGAGAGTACAATTTTACATAGGTTGGTCAGGGAAGCATTTGAACAGGAACCTGAATGAAGCAGGGGACTGAACCACAGGGAGATTTTGGGAAAAGGCGTAACACAAAAATGCAAAAGCCCTGAAACAGAAGCAAGCCTACCATGTTCCAAGGAACAGCCAAGTGATGCAGCTACAGCAGCATGGATGAGGCAGAGAGTGGGAGAAGAAGACATGAGAGAAACAGACAGGCAGGGGCCAGCTTCCGGACTGTAACAATAACAATAACACTCTCTAGAACCTACTATGTGCCAGTGCTGTTCTAGTGTTTTACTTTGATTCACTCATTTAAACCTCTAACAACCCTTTAGGGTAGGAACTATTATCTATAAAATTTTTAACAATGAGGAGAGTAAAACAGGAAGAGATTAAGAAATTTGTCTAGGATGATAAAGCTGGTACGGCAGTCACCTCGTATCCATAGTTTCACTTTCTGCAATTTCCATTACCCAAAGTTAACCTTAGTCTGAAAATATTAAATGGAAAATTCCAGAAACAAACAACTCATAAGTTTTAGATTGTGTACATTCTGAGTAGTGTGATGAAATTTTGCATTGTCCCTTCCATCCCGCCCGGATGTAAATCATCTCTCTGTCCAGCAGGTCCATACTGTAGATGCTCCCTGCTTGTCAGCCACTTAGTAGCCATCTCAATTATCAGATCAGCTGTCATGGTATCTCATCACGCAGGCATTTTGTCATCTTGCATCATCACAAAAAGAAGAAGAAGGGTGAGTACAACACAGTAAGATATTCTCAGAGGAAGAGATCACAATCAAAGAAGCTATTTTGAGAGAGAGAGACCACATTCACCTAACTTTTGTTATAATATATTGTTATAATTGTTCTATTTTGTTTTAGTTACTGTTAATCTCTTACTGTGCCTAATTTATAAAGTAAACTTTATCATAGGTATATATGTATAGGGAATAACAGTGTATGGTAGGGTTCAGCACTATCTGCAGGTTCAGAATCCACTGGGGGTCTTGGAACGTATCCCCCGTGGATAAGGTGGAATTACTGTATGCACAGAGTGAACCCAGTCTTGCTCCAGTGACCATGCTCCTCAACACTACACCTTACTGTCTGTCTAGACCACACTCTGAGGATAATGGAAAGTCATTAAAGGATTTAAAGCAGGGAAGTGACATGATCTGCATTAAAAAATGATAAAGATAACTCTGGCTGCTGTGTGCAGAACAGATGGTAGAACGGCAAGAGAGGATGGCACACGATGCTTCATGCCCAGGCCAACGACCAAGCATGGGAGCCATAACCTGGACATGACTCACCTCCTTCTCCATCCTCCCTGTGCAGACAGAGCTATAGCCGATACAAATATCCACCTTAGTGCAAAAGGCTGTGACCCAATCTCGCACTCTTCAGTTTGACAACCCTGGTGGGGGGCTTGGGCGGGGGGGCGGCACTCATCCTCCTCTAAGCCCTCTCCAAGTCAAACACCATCCTGTAATTTCACTGTCTACCTCCACCATGCTCTTCTCCTCCCTCTCTTTATTCAAACAACTCCCAAAAGTCCAATTTTCCCCACACTCAATTTTAATCAGTCAAAATATAAAGCTCTGATTGTCCATCACTTTGTAGCTCAGTAAAACCCTTAATGCAACATTTTTACTATAGCACTAGTGTTCAGCCTACATAAACCTTTATTCACCAACAAAGTTTGGCTCTGTGTCCCTACCCAAATTACCAAATTGTAATCCCCATGTGCCAAGGGAAGGACTTGTAATCCCCACATGTCGAGGGAGGGAGGTCATTGGATCATGGGGGTGGTTCTCTCCATGCTGTTCTCATGATAGCAAGTGAGTTCTCATGAGATCTGATGGTTTTGTAAGGCAGTTTTCCCTGCTTTTGCTCACTTCTCTCTCCTGCCACCTTGCGAAGAAGGTACCTGCTTCCCCTTCACCTTCTGCCATGATCGTAAGTTTCCTGAGGCCTCCCCAGCCATGTGGAACTGTGAGTCAATTAAATCTCTTTTGTGTATAAATTATCCAGTCTTAGGGAAGTTCTTTATAGTAGTGTGAAATGGACTAATACACCAACAGAAGTACATTTTCCTTTTCTATGTATATATCACACATTACAGGTGCAATGAGAATATTACACCACTTGATACTCATATTGCCAGGCTGCCACTGCTGGGTAACAGCTGATTTGGGTTTAAATTCCATTTCTCCCATTCGCTGGATTTATGACCTTGGGCAAATCTTGAAAACTGCATAGACTCCATTTTCTTAATCTATAAAATGATAGTAATCACACTTCGGCTCAGAAAGCTGTGAGGAGTACATGAGTATAGTATGTGAACCTGGCATATATCAGGAGCTAAACATACGAGTTTTAAAAACCTATTTCGGACCGGGCACGGTGGCTCATACCTGTAATCCCAGCACTTTGGGAGGCTGAGGCAGGTGGATCACTTGAGTACTTGAGTTCGAGATCGGCCTGACCAACATGATGAAACCCTGTCTCTACTAAAAACACAAAAAATTAGCTGGGCATGGTGGCAGGTGCCTATAATCCCAGCTACTTGGGAGGCTGAGGCAGGAGAATTGCTTGAATCTCCCTTGAACACAGGAGGCGGAGGTTGCAGTGAGCCGAGATCGCGCCACTGCACTCCAGCCTGGGAGACAGAGCAAGACTCTGTCTCAAAAAAAAAAAAAAAAAAAAAAAAAAAAAAAAGAAACTCTATTTATTCCTTCTTTTAAAGGGAGCTATGTTTTCATTTCATTACTCAAAAGCACAATTCTCCAACTTCATTTCCTTAGCTTTTACTTTTAAAATTTATTTTATTCTAATTTCTCATAAATATACATAAATTAAAACAAAGGCATGCTTATTTATGTTTCTTGAAACTCTGCTTTCTTAATCCATAGATGCCAAAAGAACAGGCAGCATGGGTGAAGTCCTTACTGTACAGTGATTGTAAACTATGCCACTAAGAGCATAGCACAGTATCTCACATGTAGTATCTCCATACTGCCCAGTTCTTCAACAGAAGGTCACTCAAAGCTTAAAATTCTGTCAATGAGCTTTAAGCCTGGCTTGATAAAGAACCAGATGGAGGTGCCCTCATCTCCCTAACACAATGAAACCAGGACCTTGAATATAGTGTTCAACTTGAGAATCTCTACCTTGTCACTATGTGTGTAAAGAGTTACCAGGAATGATAATAGCAATTTGATTACACACCCTCCTTTCTTTCCTCTAATTATTTAAAACATACCATGCAGGCCAGGCACGGTGGCTCATGCCTGTAATCCCAGCATGTTAGGAGGCCAAGGCAGGTGGATCATGAGGTCAGGAGATCGATACCATCCTGGCCAACATGGTGAAATCCTGTTTCTACTGAAAATACAAAAATTAGCTGGGTGTGATGGCACACATCTGTAGTCCCAGCTACTCAGGAGGCTGAGGCAGGAGAATCGCTTGAACCTGGGAGGCAGAGGTTGCAGTGAGCCGAGGTGGTGCCACTGCACTCCAGCCTGGCAACAGAGCGAGACTCCATCTTAAAACAAACAAACAAACAAACAAACAAACAAAACCATGCATATATTAAGCCTGCTCTCAAAGATAATCTCTTTTAATAGTAAGTGAAGTTTAGCAAATTCTAGAACCTGTAGGATGTTACTTTTACATTGCACCTAAGGCTGAAAATTCAGAGAAATATACAATCATTATGAAATACAATGTTCAATACAAAAGCATCCTTTGGTTAGGAGTAAATTATTCCTTTGATCTTAATGAGTTCATATAATATGGATGAGGAACTATAATAGCTAATTTTATTTAAAGAAGGAGGTTACTCTTATTGAACTAAACCAAATACTTGTTGGAGCTCATCTAATCTCAGCCTGAAAATATTAGTTAGAAGCATGTGGGAATGGCTGGGGGCAGTGGCTTATGCCTGTAATACCAGCACTTTGGGAGGCCAAGATAGGAGGATTGCTTGACGCTATGAGTTAGAGACTAGCCTGGGCAACACAGCAAACCCTGCCTCTACAAATAATTTTTTACAATTAGCTGGGCACGGTGTCACACACCTGCAGTTCTAGCTACTCAGGATGCTGAGGCAGGAGGATTGCTTGAGCCCCAGGAATTCCAGACTGCAGTGAGCTATGATCATGCCACTGCACTCCAGCCTAGGCAACAGAGAGAGACCCTGTCTCTAAAAAAAAATTACACAAAAAGAGCAGGGTAGCAAACCTCCAAAGAGCTAAAAACAGAACTGCCATTCGACCCAGCAATCCCACTTCTGGGTATATACCCAAAACAATACAAATCATTCTATCATAATAGCACATGCCTGCGCATGTTCACTGCAGCACTATTCACAAGAGCAAAGACATGGAATCAACCTAAATGCCCATCAATGACAAATGGGATAAAGAAAATGTAGTACATATACACCATGGGATACTATGCAGCCATAAAAAAGAATGAGATCATGTATTTTGCAGGAGCATGGATGGAGCTGGAGGCCATTATTCTTAGCAAACTAACACAGGAACAGAAAACCAAATACTGCATGTTCTCACTTGTAAGTGGGAGCTAAGAGATGAGACTCATGGACACAAAAAAGGGAACAACAGACACTGGAGCCTACTCGAGGGTGAAGGATGGGAGGAGAGAGAGGATCAGAAAAAAAAATTAAGCCTAGTGGCTTAGTACCTGAGTGACAAAATAATCTCTTCAACAAACTCCTGTGACACAAGTTTACCTACCTAACAAACCTGCATATGTACCCCTGAACCTAAAATAGGAAAAAAAACAGGTGGGAGAAATATTTCTGAAACATTCATTGCTCCTGATCCTAAAGAATAGTGTTATGAAGTGACTGCTCTCTGTGGGTCCCTCCCCAAAACTGCTTTATCAGAAGATCAGTTACCTTTCCAGAGATGACTGCTCATGTAAGTCTTTACTAAATCTTCAACATACTTTTCACTAAACTGTGCTCAATGAGGGCACTACAGGCATTCTAGTGGGTAATTCTTTGTGAGAGTCTATCCAATACATTGCAGAAACATTAGCATCCTTGGCTCTCAGGCACTAAATGCCAGTTGCACCCTACATGGCAATAAAAATGAACATCACCACCCCTCTTGAGAATCACTGACTGGCATTTAA
This sequence comes from Homo sapiens, assembly GCF_000001405.40. Taxonomy (NCBI): domain Eukaryota; kingdom Metazoa; phylum Chordata; class Mammalia; order Primates; family Hominidae; genus Homo; species Homo sapiens. The sequence goes on from NC_000002.12 coordinate 196,361,063, forward strand.
TAGCCAAAAAGTAAAAAATTTCACTGTATAAAACTAACTTGTAAGGAATTAGGATAAAACTAAAATTTTGCCCTGGAGTTGTTCCAGTTTTTAAATAATTAATTAAAGTGGATTTTCTGCTTGCAAATTTTAGAGGTCTATAGAAAACTGAGTCAGTTTGCCACAGTTGCCACAAGATACTACATAAAAACCATGGTTTTATTCTCAAGTTAAAAGTGTTGCTGTAAGACTGTCATTCAATCAACAGTCTCTAGAATATGGATGTCTATGAATACTTGTCCATTTGAACTTTACCCTAAAAGTAAATCTGTTTTCACATCTCACTCCCTGAGAGAAGAACTTTAAAATTTGTCAAAAACCATGATTATTCCAGGGACAGATAACCGGCCATGAAATCTATTTAGACTCAACCTAAGGCAATTTTCAAAAGCATTTTCTTGTAGGTAGAACCTGTACTTAACAACACAATCCATTTAAAACAAGCAGAACCCTAAAAATTCACAATGAGGTGACTGTCTATATGTAACAGTTTTGCATGCTTTAATCTCAGCACTGATCTCTTATATCCAGTTGCCAAGTGATAAATGTGCCACATAGTTTGTTAATAATTGTCCCTCAGCCAGCTGGGAGGGGACCACTTTTAAGAGCTTTTCAAAGTGAAAGGCAGAGAAAACTGTAAATCCCAAACAGCTGGACAAGGAAATCAAGTGACAGTGGAATTCATTCCACAGCACTTTCCAATATCTTACCTCATATAATCCCAAAGGTTTTAAAATCCATCAGTCAAATGAGACTTAGGCAGCAGCAAGAAGAAACATGGCATTCTTCCTTAAAATCATACACCTGGCCAACCCACGTGGCAGTTTCATTCATAGGAGCAGCCAGAGCTGAACTGAAGTCAAGGCGGGTCTGGAGTTCTAAGGTGGCTGTGAAAGCTCTGCAGGTCCACTTCACGGATGCTCCTGCTTCTCTTCCTCTTCCCCCAAAGTTCTAGAAATGAAATACTAGACAGGATTCCGGCAGGTCTCTAACAAGAGGCTCCTGTCCAGTATGAATGACACTAAAAGCCACTCCTGCCTTTCATCAAGACTTATCACTGTCCAGGCATCCTAAGTGAAAAAATGTATCACATCCCCTCGGCTGAGGCAGTCGTGGCCACACCCCTGTAAAGGGTACAGGATGCAATCGCCCCATCCTCCCCTCAGCTTCCTTCCTTTGCTTTTCCATGGGAGAATTCCAAAGAATGAGTTATGTGTACACACACACACACACACACACACACACACACACACACACACACACACACACACACACACACAGAGTGGGCTGATGTCAAACAAGCTGACTGCAATCCCAGAAAGGGGAGCTTGCTATTTGATTTACTCAGAATAGAGTGGTCACTACCTGAGAACTCCAACTTACCATTACCATAAATCAGACATAGCATTCATTTAGGTTACTGAAATGGGCTTACAGTATTTTAACTAATCCAGAGAGAAATTTGTGGACTTGTGATTTCAAACTGTGAAAAAGGACTAAAGCTTTTTCAAACGTAATATAGCTTTAATGAAAATTCAAACATGCGGTTATCAATGCAGAAGTTATTTTCAAACCTGACTTTTAATGTGAAAACAGATAGAATCATCAATCTAGCTAATGCTCTTGTCTTATACTGGAAAGAGTTGGGGTAGGGAAATCCCCAGTCCAGATCCACCATTCTTTAATGGAGAAAGGGGCTTTCTGAAGCTGTTAGCCCACCTGTGTCAGTGGTTGCAATTACAAGGTGCTGGTTTAATGTAATCAAAGGCTATAAGACCATCTCTCTCCAGCAACCTCCAGGAAAACTAGATGAAATGGTCTTACATGTCAGGTACATTTGCTGTGAAAAGATGCAAACTAGATTTAAGCTTCACACTACATTTGATGGCTGCAATTACCTCTCTATTGTTCCCTTAACCCAGACACAGTTTGCCCTGAAGCTTCGAAGGGCCACAGAGCTTTGGGCTGATTCTGGAATTGGATGAGTGAACACAGCAAGCCAGGCACTCCAGGATCACCATCACCCTGTCCAGGCCTCTTCTGGACATGCAAACCCAGCCCAGTTTTAGAACAAATCACTATGACTTTCCAGTGTCCTAGCAAACAACAATAATAGCAAGCATGTTCAGAATGGTTACTATGTGCCAGGGACACATAGAAGATGCTTTAAAAATAGTATCAAATGAGTGTCACTGTGCTCTAAGAATAAGGTCAGTAGTGTCATTAGGCCCATGTTACAGATGAGAAAACTAAGGCTCACCGAGAAGAAGTGATAACAGCCAGGATTTAAAGTCTCATCTGAAAGACACTTAAACCCAAGCTCTTTTAAGATACTCTGCCTTCCTCATATAACACTCTTGAAAATGCCAGCAACCTCACTAATTTAGGTGGCCAATGGGTCCACAGTGGGCTCAGTCACCACTGGGAGATTAAGAAAAATAAATCTAGGCCAGGAACCATGGCTCACGCCTATAATCCAAGCACTTTGGGAGGCCAAAGTAGGAGGGTCGCATGAGGCCAGGAGTTCAAGATCATGGTGAGACACCATCTCTACAAAAACATGTTTTTTAAACTTAGCTTGGCATGGTGGCATGCACCTGTAGTGCCAGCTACTCGGGAGGCTGAGGTGGGAGGAGCGCTTGAGCCCAGGAGTTTGAGGCTACAGTGAGCTACAATCCTGCCAATGCTAATCAGCCTGGGCAACAGAGTGAGATCCTGTCTCTAAAAAGAAAAAGAAAGGAGGAAAAGAAAGAATAAGAAATCTAGAAAGAATAAATATATTTCCTCTTTTTGGCATCAAAGTTGGCTACAGCCTATGGACAACAAATAGACTTCTTAACAATGTAAGCCTCTCTGTTTTTATCCCCAGGCAGGAATAGAGTATCATCTTGAGCTCTTGACTACTTTCTAGTTATGGACCAATAGACTCTGTTGGGTAGAAGAGAGACTCACCTACTCTGCTTATGGTGCAGCTCTTACTATCACTCACTCCCTGGTCTCTGAATCCCACCTGAGGCTCCTATAACTCTGGTCCTCCAAGCAATGATTCTTTGCCTTCCAAATACCATAACATTTGGTACATATACCACTTTACCTGCGCTCTAGGTTCTGGATTACCCACGTATTACCAACACCTACATGTGACTATCTATTTTCCTATATGGAGAAAACCTACTTCCCCCCAGCATAAGACACTATCATAATGGAATTAGATTTCCCAGCTAACCAAGAAAGAAACTAAAAAGTGTAGGGCCACAGCAGTTGATGAATGTTGGAGCTTCAATTTCAAGCCATCACACATGTACTCTTTCACTGGGATGGTAATTTTTTAAGCACAAGTAATTCAGCCAGTACTACTTTAATCATAGCAAATGATTATATTGAGAAGGTATATCCAGAGTATCATAATTCACATATGCTTTCCCTTCTCCAAACCACACCCCTTTGTGGGGAAAGTCCAGCAAAACCAAGAGCAACAAATAAAATGGGGAAGCACATTAATAACGACTTTTTATCAACAAAACACTCTTATGTTTTTACTTACTATGATATCATATGGTGCTAGGCACTAGGAGGTAGCTGAGAACAAAATAAACATAGCCCCTGCCCTCACAGAGCTTATATTTTAAAGAGAAAAACATTAAATAAATATAAAATGAATTCTTTAATTACAATTATGACACATGCTACAAAGGAAAAAGAAAAGATCCTCAGAGTATGGATGGGCCATCAACATGACGTGGTCAGGAGAAAAAGAGAAAGCTCACTCAAGGCATTGGCATATGAACCATGCTCTGAAGGGATGAGGCTGGTGAAGGAGAACAGCATCTAGAAATTTCAAGAATTGATGTAAAGGGATAGAAAGGGAAGCTTAAGAATGAAGGAATGGAAATTATCCCCCAATTATCTTTCCCATTTCCATCAGATCTCCCACTGCAAGCCCACCTGATTATTACAGTTTTCAACATTCAAAGCTATTGATCTAGCAAGGATGCCCATGGGTGGAAATGTGATTTATGGATGCTGAATGGATTAATTATACACAATTAAAGACATCACTTAACTAAAGTAGCTCATTCCCCAAAGCTCGCAGAATATTTATTGCAAGTAAAGCAGGGAAGAGCAAAGACACAGTCCTTAGATTACAACACAAATTGGCAATGGAAAAATTCAGCAGTGCCTCCTCCACCTATCTTTATGCTGGTACTAAAAACACAACTAGAATCAAGGTTAGCACATCAGGAAGGAACAACCCTTTTCCTGAAAATCCCATTATGAATTTCCTTTGTGTTTTGCATTTTGCATGCCTCTGAGGCTGACATCACTTATATACATTATTGAAGCCTCACTGGATGTGTCTGCCTATCTGCTGCAATTTTTATTGGAGACTTTTTCTTCGAACCCTGTGTTCCTAAAGCAGCCAGAGGAATGCTTGTCCCGTTGTCACTCTGTTTTCAGATTCCCAAAATGTTTCAATGGGAATACACATCAGTCTGTGTATAAATCAGAAAGCTTTTTGAAAATATATACAAAAGTGAGGTAGCTGCTAAAATATCAAGGGTAGGACCTCAAATCTAAACCCAAGTTGATACATGTGTACAAAATACGTGTATTTTTAAATTTGGCTTAGAAAGTAGGCCGTTAAACTCACTAAAAACGATCATGACTATTATTTGTTATAATAACTGAATACATGCTAGGCCCTATAAGTGTGTACACACACTCATTTAATCCTCAGAGTCACCAGAGTAACAATCCCTATGTCATAAATGAAGAAAACTAGGGGATAGATTGAATAACTTGTTCACAGAAGATCACATAGCCAGAAACTAGCTGGATTTCAAATCTTGGGTCTGTATAACATCAAAGCTTACCCATACTTTTGCCACTCTTCTACAGCTTCCCCCCACAATAACTACCTACCATTCACTAAATGTCAAGAATTACGCTCAGTAATTAAGAATCATCCACTGAAAGAATTCTCACAGTAATTCTGAGAAGTGTTCTTAGCCCCTAGATGAGGAAACTGAGCTCAGAGAATTCCAGGAACTTGATCAAGGGAGCACCACAGCAAGGCTGAAATGTGCAGAGGGAGATTTCCCAGAACCCTGCACAATTTCAGAAGAAATTTGTGTGGTACAATGAGTTTAGTAAAAGTAATTAAGGACTTGTTACTTTCTTAAAGTTTTTCAGTTTTATCTGGGAAACTATTAATATGCTTTGGAAGAGAAGAAAATTCCCAAAGGACTGATTTCCTCATCTTCGGTGGACAAGGAAATACCTCTAGGAATGTCCATTCAAGCCAAAATATCAGCATTGTGATCCATTACTTTCGTACACAAAAATAAATGACCCTCAGTTATCTATGTTTAACAGATCAATACCCACAAGCATATGTAATGTGCCAAAAACTCTGAAAGCTATACACAAATCAGAATAAATGTAGTTCTTTTCCCTTCACCTACTTCCACCACAGAATTAAAGACCCAGCTATAGTGGTATCTGCTTTATTTGATTGGCATATGTCTTGAAGCTCTTAGGATGTAGTATTTTTCCTCATGGGAGAATTTCATATTAACATCAAGAGTATTATATTTTTCCTTAATGGTGAACTTTGTGTTAACGTTGCATTAACTCCATATTAATGGAAACACAAATGTTTCCAAGTGAAATATTAAGGGGTTTAAATACAATCCCCCTTCTCTAATTCAATTTATAACTCTTTAACTGCACAGTTAATGGGTTCTTCAGCTATGTTATTTTTCATTCCAAATTAAATTATATTATTGTAAACCAGGGGGAATTTAAGAATAGGTTTTAAGCATGCAAAAATCTTCAATTAAGATGAAACTAGTAGAGAAAGATGTAAAATTATTTTATCTGTGTATATATATGTTGTTTCTGTCTGTAAAATGGGAACATTACCCTTTTCCAATAATGCTTTGCATATAGCAATGAACACAATAATATACCCTGGAGATGCTCTCCTGAAAGAACACATTCAGAGACTCTAACATATTCACATTAGTGAACAAAATTGGCATTTATACTTTACCACCATAGTGTATGATTCAGAATTAAACATATCGCACAGATTCCCACATGCTGAAAGAGTAGTTCTTAAATTTTACGTGTCTTAGAATCATCTGGGACTCATGTTTAAAATTCAGACTCCATAGAGCAAATTACAGAAATTGTGATTCAGTAGGTATAGGATGGGTCTTAGGCGTTTGCATTTTTTAATTTTTAATTGTTGTGGGTACATGGTAGGTGCCTATATTTACAGGGTACATGAGATACTTTGATACAGGCATACAATGCATAATAATCACATCAGGGTAAATGAAGTATTCATCACCTCAAGCATTTATCCTTTCTTTGTGTTAAAAATAATTCAATTATACTCTTAGTTACTTTTAAATGTACAATAAATTATTGTTGACTGTTGTCACCCTGTTGTGCTACCAAATGCTAGATCTTATTCATTCTATCTAACCATATTTTTTTATACATAAACCATCTGCACTTCCCCCGCAACCCACTACCCTTCCCAGCCTCTGGTAACCATCATTCTATCCTCTATCTTCATGAGTTCAATTGTTTTCATGTTTAGTTCCCACAAGTAAGTGACAACATGCGAAGTGTGTCTTTCTGTCCCTGGTTTATTTCACTTAACATAATGACCTCCAGTATCATCCATGTTGTTGCAAATGACAGGATCTCATTCTTTTTCATGGCCGAATAGTACTCCATTGTGTGTGTGTGTGTGTGTGTTTGTGTGTGTGTGTGTGTATGGTACATAGATACATATATATATGAGATACATAGATACATATATATATGAGATACATATATATGATACATATATGAGATACATATATATGATACATATATATATATCACATTTTCTTTTTCCATTCGTCTGCTGTTATAAACTTAGGTTGCTTTCAAATCTTGGCTATTGTGAACAGTGCTGCAGCAAACAGTGCAGATATCTCTTCGATATGCTGATTTCCTTTCTTTTACATATATACCTAGCAGTGTAATTGCTGGATCATATGTTAGTTCAATGTTTAGTTTTTAGGAACTTCCAAACTGTTTTCCATAGTGGTTGTACTAATTTACATTTCTACCAAGGTGTACAAGGGTTCCCTTTTCTTCATATCCTCACCAGCATTTTAAAAGCCATTTTAACTGGGGTAAGATGATATCTCATTGCAGTTTTGCTGTGCACTTCTCTGCTGCTAGATATATTGGAAGTCCATTGTACGTTGTTTCTTTTCTCCTACTGCTTTTAGCATCCTTTCTTTATCCTTGACCTTTGGGAGTTCCATTATTAAATGTCTTGAGGTAGTCTTGTTTTAGTTAAATCTACTTGCTGTTCTATAACCTTCTTGTATTTGAATATTGATATCTTTCTCTAGGTTTGGGAGGTTTTCTGTTATTATCTCTTTGAATAAACTTTCTACCACTATCTCTCTCTACCTCCTGATTAAGGCCAATAACTTAGATTTGCCCTTTTGAGGCTGTTTTCTAGATCTTGTAGGCATGCTTCATTCTTTTTTATTCTTTTTTGTCTCCTCTGACTGTGTGTTTTCAAATAGCCTGTCTTCAAGATAATTTTTTCTTCTGCTTGATCAATTCTGCTGCTAAGAGTCTCCGAGGCATTCTTCAATATGTCAGTTGCATTTCCAACTCCAGAGTTTCTGCTTGACTCTTTTTAGTTATTTCAAGCTCTTTGTTTAACTTATCTGATAGGATTCAAAATTCCTTCTCTTTGTTTACTTGAATTTCTTTTAGTTTCCTCAAAACAGTCACTTTGAATTCTCTGTCTGACTGACCACAAATACCTGCCTCTCCAGGATTGGTCACCAGTGTCTTATTTAGTTCCTTTGGTGAGGTCATGTTTTCCTGGGTGGTCTTGATGCTTGTGAATGTTCTTCAGGGTCTGGGCTTTGAAGAGTTAGGTATTTATTGCAGTCTTTACAGTCTGGGCTTGTTTGTGCCTGTCTTTCTTTGAAGGTATTCCAGATATTTAAGGGACTTTGGTGTTGTGATCTAAGTTTTTGATCACTGCAGCCACATCTTCATTAGGGGGCATCCCAAGCCTAGTAACAGCGTGAGTCTTGCAGACTCCTATAGGTACCACCTTGGTAGTCTTGGATAGGATCTAGAAGAATTCTGTGGATTACCTGGTAGAAACTCTTTTTCTCTTCCCTTACTCCTCCTAAACAAATGGAGTCTCTCTCTCTCTCTCTCTCTCTCTCTCTCTCTCTCTCTCACTGATGAGCTCTCTGAACCTAAGAGAGGAATGACACATGGACTCCTGTTGTCACCACCACTGGGACTGCACTGGGTCAGACCTGAAGCCAGCACAGCACTGGGTCTCACCCAAGGCACATGTTAACCACTGCCTGGCTACCACCTATGTTCACTCAAGGGCCTAGGGCTCTACAATCAGCACAGCACATAACAAAGCTAGCCAAGCTTGTGTCTTTCCCTTCAGGGCAGCAAAATCCCCTCAGTCCTGGGCAGGCCTAAAGATGCCATCAAGGAACCAGGGCCTAGAGTAGGAAACCTTAGGAATATACTTGATGTTCTATTCCACTGCAGCTGAGCTGGCACCCAAGCCACAAGACAAAGTCCTTCCACTCTGCCCTCATCTTTCCACAAACAGAGGCATTTCTCCCTATGGCCACTACTGCCCTAGGTCCATGGTGAGCACTGCCTGGCTACTACTGATATTCATTCAAGGCTTACAAAGCTCTTTAGTCAGCTTGTGGTGAATGCTGCCAGGCCTGGAACTCTCCCTTTAGAGCAGTGGGCTCCCCTCTGGCCCAGGGTATTTCCAGAAATGCCATCTAAAAGCCAAGACCTAGAATTGAGGACACCAGTGGGGAGTGTCCTCACCCATTGTGGACAAGCTGGTACCTAAGCAGTAAGACAAAGTCCCCTTACTCTTCCCTCTTCTTTTCTCAAGCAGAAGGAGTCCCTCCCCTTAGCTGCCACAGCTGGGAATCTGCTGGGTCATACCTGAAGCCAGCATGTCTCCAAGTCTCAGCAAGGCCCATGGTGAGTACTACCTGGATACTGCTGCTGATTATTTAGGGCCCAAGGGCTCTTTAGTCAGCAGGTGATGAATCCTGACAGGTCTGAGTCCTTCCCTTCAAGGAAGTGAGTTCCCTTCTGGCCCAGGCTGTGTCTAAAATGTCATCCAGGAGCTAGGGCCTGGAATGGAAGCCTCAAGACTCTGTCTGGTGTCGTATCCTACTGTGGCTGAGCTGGTATCCAAGTTGCAAGACAAAGTCCTCTTTATTCTTTCCTCTCTTCTCCTCAAGTGGAATGCAGGGGTCTCTTTTGGAACTGTGAGCTGTGCTGCCTGGGGGTGGGAGAGGGATGGCACAAGCACTCCCCTGGCTACCCCAGCTGGTGTCTCACTAGGTCACAAGCCCCCAAAGTCTACTGGCTCTAAGCCCAGCACAGCACCAGGACTTGCCCAGGAATTGCAGTCCTTGTGGTCTAGACTGCCTTTAATGTTTATTTACAACCCCAGAGCAATTTAACCCATGGTGGCGAGGCTTCCTGGGATTCAGGTTCTGACTGCTAGAATGAGTGATTCCCCTCTGGCTAGGGCTGATCTAAATGCTCCCTCTGTGGGTGCCAGCTAGGTTCTGCCCAGCGTTGCTTTCTGCTGTGACAATACAGCACAGCATTTCAATGCAAAGTCCCACAATCACTGCATTCTCCCTCCCCTAAGCGCACAGATTCTCTCTCTGTGCCACTTGCTGCTGCTGGAGGATAGGGGGGATGCAGTGTCAGCAATGAAAAACTCTCTCTCCTACCCTGTTCAATGCCTCTTTCAGTGGCATGAAATTAAAACCAGATACTGTGATTGCTCATCTGATTTTTGGTTCTTATGAAGGTGTTTTTTTGTGTGTGGAGAGTCGTTCAATTTGGTGTTACTGTAAGAGGACAATCAGTGGAGGCTTCTATTCCACCATCTTGCTCTGCCCCCTAAAGTCTGCATTTTTAAACAGTTACCTCAGCTAATTCTGATACAGGTACTCTTTGAACCACATTTCTAACAGACAATGGTGTAGAGTCTTAAAATCCAATAGTCCATATATTAATGTACACGTATAGGTACATGTCATTTTTGATTTTGCATATTCATTTTATTAAACTCAAAAACAGACATACATCTGTACCTGTAATGTGTCCCCTACCTTAACAGCTCACAATTATTATGTTCAATCTACTTTTAAATAAAGAATAAAAAAGCATAGTAAAAGGACAAGCAAGTACAGGAATAAAGAAGACAGAAAGGGGCACTAACATGAGAACAAAGTTTTAGATTCTATTTAAGCTGAGAACAGTGCTCCACAAAATGTGGGCCATGGGTAAGTGCTGGTCCATGAATTGGTTGTTTATAATCTGAGATAGGTCTAGAAACTGACTGGAAGCTCTTAGAAACTTTTACAGAAATTTGTCAGAGTAATTTTATGTCTATTCAATCTAATAATAAAATTTTGGACTCATATTTTATAGATCTTGTATTTTATTCCATTTCTTTTTCTACTAGCTTATTTTCACTCTATTTTACAAAAGATCAATGTCCACAGGTAGTCTGCGAAGCACTGGTGAACTCTACAGAGAAGAACCGGCCTTCTTGGTTAGTCCAGTGAGCCTCTCCTAACCCAGGATTTTAATACAAAAGTGAATATCCTCAACTTCTCATAATTACTTACTGTGAATCTGTCAGCAATGAACGATCTCTGTTTTCTGTGAATCTACCAACTTCTTTTTAGCTTGTATCCCCTTTTAGAATAACATTTTAGTAACATTTCTTAAAAGTTTACTTTCAACAGTGTAAAGTAGTACTTTTTCACTTTTATTTTTCTTTTAATTTTCAAAGAGACCCTTGAGTCTTAACATTTGAGGATTCAGTGACGAATGCTATCATTGTATTAATATCTGTACCCTATCTGTGCATTTTTGCTAACATGAAACTATGGTCTCTCATTCTGCTATTCTCAAAAAGCAGGTCCTTTAACTGCTTTGCTCATCTTAATGCCAGGTCCCTATCAACTATCTAATGATTTTCTTGATATGTGGCAATAACAGTAATAAGAAGCACAAAGTATCAGTAAATTATTCTAGTCATAAATACATGGGACACGGATCTCATTTTGTGGTTTCCCTGCCTCCTAGTAAACTTTGAATCATAATTTTCTCCCTTATTGAAGACCTGCACTGTGAACAGTATTAAAGTTAAATGTTAGATATATTCTTTACGGTATCTGCTTCCTGGTTGATAATATCCTTTGGTGGTCCCCTACAGTTTCTACTTTTGGTATATAAGTGTTGCCAAGAATAACATTTTCCCTTTCCAAGTTAAACATGGTGTTTATAAAAGGTGTAGGATGGAGAACCTGGAAGTATGAATCTGTGCATACAATGGGTAAAGTCACAATAATAGCAACCACTTTCCCAGTTGCCAAGATCTCTGGCCAGGAAGAATAAAAATGAGGATTTTTTCCTCCCTACCTAATTGTGTCCCCCTTTGAGAAGAGTTAGGAAGTCAACTATTAAGTGTCCAAATTTGCTTTCTGATGCTTATAAGTTGCACACTAAATTTGTTCATTTTATTTGCTTAACATTTTTTTTAGAAACCCAATTTTTAAGACATTTTCTCATGTAATCGGTTAACTATATGACTAAGAACTCTCTGACAGCTTGTAGGCTGTCCAGAACAGCTTTGGTTCCGCGGCCAAAAATGGACACCTTTTTAGCTGTGTGAGGTTGGCCAAGTGATTTAACTCCCTAAACTTTAGTTTTCACATCTGTACAATTGGGATAACGAGGCACAGCCAGTACAATTTTGAGAGGATTGTGAAGCTACATAAAGTCAGCAGCACACGACCTGGTGCAGAGTCCACGCTTGCTGCAGTAAAAGCTCAGATATGAGTGTTGTTATTCTTAACAAGGAAGACTCTAAATCACTGAAATAAAATCTAGAGAAGTTCTTGGAATTTTCTCACTCTGACAAGTACACAAAATAGATAAAGGATAGTCCACCAGGAAGGCAGCTGGCTAGATGAACTGGCCTCTGCAGTCTCCTTGATCTAGGTTATCTAACATGCCCAAACCATGTTCAAATTCAGTACTTTGTTTGTAATTCAAGTAACATCTTTGGAGAAAAAGAATTGCCTGTTTTCAATTAACCAAAGGAATTATAATTATGTTAATTTCTTTTAGTGTACCACATACATTTGTTTCAGCACACTTTGGGAAAGGTTAAGTGGAGCAAATATAACTAAAATCACAGGACATCTTTGTAAAAGCAGATGGCATTCATCCAAAATGTCCTTCCTGGAACAAACTGTAACAACTTGATTCACTCCCACCCTTCCCTACCAAGCTATATTTAAAGGTCCGTAAGCATTTCCATCATAAACTGCTGTCATCAGGATTTGTAATTTTACCTTCTAACCTATTTCAGGGTTTATATACAAACATCTCAAACTTAAAAAAAGCTATTGTTTTTAAAATTTAACAACTTCCTTCAGTAAAGGATAAGAGTACAAGGGGAAACAAACAAAAAAGTAATGATTATACATGAAAAAAATTATCTGCCATGGCTTGATAAGCAAAATAAGGTGCATGCTCAAGAAATATGTGCCACCATTGGGAAGCCGAGGCGGGCAGATCACGAGGTCAGGAGATCGAGACCATCCCGGCTAAAACGGTGAAACCCCGTCTCTACTAAAAATACAAAAAATTAGCCGGGCGTAGTGGCGGGCGCCTGTAGTCCCAGCTACTTGGGAGGCTGAGGCAGGAGAATGGCGTGAACCCGGGAGGCGGAGCTTGCAGTGAGCCGAGATCCCGCCACTGCACTCCAGCCTGGGCGACAGAGAGAGACTCCGTCTCAAAAAAAATAAAATAAAATAAATAAATAAATAAATATGTGCCACCAAAGATTATATAAATTCAACGGTGAATAATATGTCATGATTCATAATAATTAGAAGCTAAATAACTGTCCAGAAATTAATGAAAAGGTAAATTGTGGTACAGTCATATTATAGGGTATTATGTAGCCATCCCATGATATTCTCAAATAATTTTTAATAACATGGAAAACGTTCATGAGATAATAAGTGGAAAAACATACTGCAAAATTATATGTACAATAGGAGCTTAACTGGATTATAAAATAAATATGTATACAATCTATATTTAAAGTTGTAAAAGAAATATGCCAAAATGTTCATAGTAGTTATAGCTTGGCTGGAAAACCTAAGTCCTTCATATTTGTCCATAATTTCCAAGTGGTGTACAATGAACTTGCATTACCTTACTAATCAGAAAAGAAACGCTTCATTGTGGCTTAGTGTCACAGACAAATACAGAAACAGTAATACAGGAAAAAAATGAAGGCTGGCATCTCTCTCTTATCTTTCTACATCCTCTGCACTGCCCTTGCAAATCTATCTTTAATCATCAACTATTTTGACATTTGAAAATCTTATTTGTACTGTGGATTTATGAAATATTCAGAAAGAAGTTTTCATTTATCAAGCAGTTTCCCCAAAAAGTGACCTTGTAGCTATCCACAAAGTATTATCAACAACTCATATCTCAAGATTCTAAAAAATACAAGTATCATCCACCATAAGGTCACCTCTAGGGGACAAAGCATAGACGTGGGATACATCCAGTAAGGGAAGAGTAAAAAAAAAAAAAAAGAAGCAAAGACGGCACATGAAAACTAGTTTTGGCCGGGCGCAGTGGCTCATGCCTGTAATGCCAGCACTTTGGGAGGTCGAGGTGGGCAGATCACAAGGTCAGGAGTTCAAGACCAGCTTGGCCAACATGGTGAAACCCCGTCTCTACTAAAAAATACAAAAATTAGCCAGTCGTGGTGGTGCGCACCTGTAATCCCAGCCACTCGGGAGGCTGAGGCAGAATTGCTGGAACCCAGGAGGCAGAGGTAGCAGTGAGCTGAGATCATGCCACTGCACTCTAGCCTGGGCAACAGAGTAAGACTCAGTCTCAAAAAAAAAAAAGAAAGAAAAAAAAGAAAAAGAAAACTAGTTTCAATCTGTTGAGCTGTTGTATTCAAAACTTCAAGTATTCAGCAGATATCAACTTAAAGAGAACTGTCCCAAATGGAATCATGACATCAATTTAAATCAAACATAAATATTAAAAGAATTCGGAGTCCCAGTCTATCTTAGAGCCTCTCTAACTCTGACTGGAAACAGACACAGACAGACACACACAGAAATCACACTGCAATCAATCATTGTGAGCATTCATGATCACAGATATTTCCAGTTTCTCTATAAACTTTAATAGATTCTACTTTTACTTTTTTCATTGAAATAATAGTTTTTGCCAGTTTGGGAAGTATGTTTTTAATTTCACAGCTTGTTACCACTGGGTTTTGAAAGAAAAGGAAGTGGTAACCTTTTTCAAAACATCAGGACGGGTAAAAGACTGGCAAGTGTATACTTGAGAATCAAAATTGATTATTAGTGGGAACACAACAGTGGAAAAAGATGTGGATATTGGTATCATGCAATGGCTAGGAAAAAGGAATCAAACATGAGAGGTGGGAAAACGTCTACAGAGAAACATCATCTATTTCAATTTTTCTAATGGAGATTGTCCAGAATAAAAGTGAAATAGCCTCTACTTATTACTGTATTGCAGTTATGCAGATATTATGAATGACACTTGTTCTATATCACCAATGCCATACATTTTTCCAAGGCTGATGAACACGTTCTTGAAGCTTATATGTCTACTATTCAAAGTACTTTCGCATGTACCTTCTTATGCCAGTTAGGAAAATCTGGTCCATTTGGATACACTGTCAGGTCCAATTCCCTCTATCAGTCTACGTTCCTTCAGGCTCAGAACCACGTTTTATTAATCTCCATTTTCCTAACAATTACCTAATGGTGGGAAGGGCACAATACATATTTTTGATTAAAAGAATAATAACACATTCTGAATCTTAGCTTTTATTACCCTCAAACTTTGCCCCAAACCAGAAGTGTGAAGTACTTCATAACTTATTGGTCTCCAAATTTGTATATTTAAGAGCAACTATTTAAACAACAATTTGAAGAGATACTAAGAATATAATAGACAAAAAGCCACATCAAAAATAATCTCATCATACTGAGAAGTAAAAAACAAGAATCCAACAACAAAACATAAATTAAAATAGATTTTCGGCTGGGCACAGTGGCTCATGCCTGTAATCCCAGCACTTTGGGAGGCCGAGGCAGATGAATCACAACGTCAGGAGTTTGAGACCAGCCTGGCCAACATGACGAAACCCCATCTCTACTAAAAATACAAAAATTAGCTGGGTGCAGTGGTGCGCACCTGTAATCCCAGCTACTCAGGAGGCTGAGGCAGGTAGCAATTGCTTGAACCAGGGAGGCGGCCATTGCAGTGAGCCAACATCACGTCACACCACTGCACTCCAGCCTGGGCAACAGAGCAAGACTCTGTCATAAAAAAAAAAAAAAGGGCCGGGCATGGTGGCTCACGCCTGTAGTCCCAGCACTTTGGGAGGCTGAAGCAGGCGGATCAACCTGAGGTCAGGAGTTCGAGACCAGCCTGACCAATACGATGAAACCCCGTCTCTACTAAAAATACAAAAATTAGCCAGGTGTGGTGGCATGCACCTGTAATCCCAGCTACTCAAGAGGCTGAGATAGGAGAATCTCGAACCCGGGAGGTGGAGGTTGCAGTGAGCCAAGATCACACCACTGCACTCCAGCCTAGGCAACAAGAGCAAAACTCCATCTCAAAAAAAAAATCAATACATAAAAATAAATGAATGAATTAATTAAGATCGTTTTTCATTCCTTGGGGGAAAAAACATAGAGTTACAAACTCTATAAAAATTATTGTTTGATCATACTCAAATTTCATAAACATGCCAAGGAAATTTTAATAACATTAATTCCTAAATCAAAGAGAAACCAGGTTGGCCAAAGCTATCCGCTAGTTAGTGCCACGGAAAAGTAGCTTAAACTTTCAGTGATAAAATAATGAGTAAATTCTGAGAATCCCGAAGAGAGAGTCTCAAACACAACCTAAGAGGCAAATTATATTATGGTCATTTTGATTTTTTTGTCAGTTTTAAAGTTATCTACTTGCAACAATTGTATTCTTGATATAAGGTACTAAAAATTGTCCTGATGCAGTGTATTAGTCTGTTCTCACGCTGCTCATAAAGACATACCCGAAACTGGGTAATTAGTAAAGGAAAGAGGTTTAACTGACTCACAGTTCCACATAGCTAGGGAGGCCCCACAATCATGGTGGAAGAGCAAGGGACGTCTTACATGGTAGCAGGCAAGAGAGGGCTTGTGCAGGGGAACTCCCCTTTATAAAACCATCAGATCTCATGAGACTTATTCACTATCATGAGAACAGCATGGGAAAGACCCACCTCCACGATTCACTTACCTCCCACTGGGTTCCTCCCACAATACGTGGGAACTGTGGGAGCCACAGTTCAAGATGAGATTTGGGTGGGAACATAGCCAAACCATATCATGCAGATTTTCCTGAAATATCCTCAGCATAGTTAATGCATGAATGAAGCAAAGTTTCCATTTTACAAATTTCTCATGCAATAACAATTGCAACATCTGAAAGCACTTAAAATAAGTTTTTCTCACTGTTTCTTACCAGCAGATTAAGTCAATACTGCTAAGCCAAATTAGAAAATGTGAACCAAACAAACAAGCAAAATACAAAAGAGAAAAAAAGGAAAGAAAATCAAGAAGTATATATTTTCTTGGCACAAGTTTACTCAGATGCAGTCTCACAAAGCATTTCTGCAATTATTTTAAAAACAAGTTCCACTGTTAAATCTGTGTTCAGATTAGTTTTGCACGTATTACTCTAAGAGTAGCAAAATCACAACTGTCTCCTCTTTGGCCTTTCCTTGGGTTGGGAGTCAATGGGACTGCCATAAGTAGAGCAGAGTGGTTAAAAACCCAAGCTCAGAAGTCAGATTCCTAAGTTTAAATTCAGGCCCTACCATGTCATCTTTTTGTCATCTTGGCTAAATCACTTTAATTCCCATTGCCTAGGGCTGAAATAGCATATATACTGCACCACCACCCCCATACACACACAATTTCATACAATGTGCTTTTATTTATGAAAAGAAACACGGAAATGATAAAGAAGAAGCCACCACAAATGGTTACCTACAGAGAGAATAAGTGTTCAGAGTGGAGATACCAGGGATAAAATATAAAACTACTCTTAAAACACCTTCTTGTATAGCTTTCCCCATTGGCCCAATTAGAATATTTTCAAAACCCTGCAATTCATTAGAACACATGAAAATAAAATGTTTAAACACGAGTTCATAGCAATATTAAAATATATGTAGCCCCTAAATAAAATAAAAGTAAAACTCATTAGTCACAATTGACAATAACTAGGGCACCAATGCCCACATATTCTGAAAACTGTCATTGAAAATTAAAGAATTAAGCATCATTTTGCTTTTCCAGAATGAACAGTATTTCAAAGGTACTAACAAGCCATGAGGAGAAGTGCTTTTTACATAAGAATTCCAGGAAATAAGTACAGAAGAAATAAGATAATTACAAAATTCATAATTTTTCAATGCATAAGAAAATAATATATTTGAAAACATTAGACAAAAAAATCAATGAGAAACATTCTAACGAAGACATTACGCTGCCACAACTTGAACCCACTAATCAATCTTAGCATCACGAAGAATGGGGCAGTCAGACTCTTGTGTAACTTTTGATGGAATGCAACATGAAGTACACAGCACCACCAAAGAAGCATCCTTGGGGAAAAACATTAACTTGATGATATTCAAGACCCTTTTGGTTAACCTCCAATTTATAAGAAATAAGGGAGTCAGTGGAACAAGTTAAAAGACAATACCAGTGAGCAAAAAAAAAAACAAATCCTGAATGTGAGACATTCTCAAGGACAACAGATACAGTTGTCACTGGCACTGTGAAAAATGAAAGGAAAAAATGATAGTGAAAAGAGTCAGATAAAACTAATGCACTCTAAATAAGTCTATTTTTATTTACAGTTCAAAAACAGGCAAAACTAACCTACAATCAAGCCTTAAGGAGGCTGTGATTGGGAGTATGAGAAGGACTTTTGAGGTGCTGAGAATACTCTATGTCCTGATCTGGGTGGCAGTTATACAGGTCTACACATACGTAAATGTTCATTACACAGTACACTTAAGATTATGGCAACTTGGCTGGGCGTGGTGGCTCATGCCTGTAATCCCAGCACTTTGGGAGGTCGAGGCGGGTGGATCACGAGGTCAGGAGATCGAAACCATCCTGGCTAACATGGTGAAACCCCGTCTCTACTAAAAATACAAAAAATTAGCCAGGCGTGGTGGCGGGCGCCTGTAGTCCCAGCTACTCAGGAGGCTGAGGCAGGAGGATGGCATGAACCCGGGAGGCAGAGCTTGCAGTGAGCTGAGATCACACCACTGCACTCCAGCCTGGGCGACAGAGCAATACTCCGTCTCAAAAAAAAAAAAAAAAAAACAAAAAGATTATGGCACCTTAAGGACTTTCCTAAATATGTGCAATTCCTCAATAAAACAATAAAAGAGACATAATTAGCCTATGGTGTTTGAAGTCAGGACAATGGTTACCTTTAAGGAAGAGTGTTACTGAGAAGATGCAAGAGCCATAAATTTATGATGATTTTACTTCTCTGCATGTATGCTATTCTCCAGCAAAAAAAAAAAAAAAAGGATGAGGGGAGAAGGTACTGCTCTACATTAAAGGTGACATAATAAATAAATTGTTAACTGGATTTTGCTTAAATCAATTATTTTTGAGAAACAGTGAAATTTTAATATTAGATAATTCTTGTGTATAATATTAAGCATAATAAAGACATTTTGCTTATTTAAGAAAATATCCCTATTAGAAGTTCATAGGGGTGAAGCAGTTGTCCTGTGTGGCTATTTAAGTCCCTGCTCAGTTCACTCAGTGGTTGGATAACAAATGCACAAAGATTTGCTTAAATGCACTCAATCAGTAAGTCCCCCAGCCTTTGCTGATGGGCTGTGTGTGTTTGATGGAACACTCCTTCAGTACTCTAAGCAGTTTATAGCTCTGCCTTAACTTTTACTTCCTGCTTGCACAGAGCCTGAAGGTCAGGCACAGAAGAAAATAAGGTCTCTCCTGGGTATGCACACAGCCCTTTGTATGCATTTGGCTTTCCCAATTCCCAGGAATATATTTGAGCTTTTCAAAGCCTGCTATGCACATCTCTTTCTCTATATTGTCCTTTTCCGTTTTTTTCTGTTAGTCCCTTATGTGCCCCAAGTGGTATTGCCACCTCAGGTAAGTGCAGTGTTAAACAACTGTCATTGGTTGTTTTTGAAAAGTGTTCTGGTGATAGGGTTGTTTGCACCAAAGAAGCTATGAGCCAGGTTAACGAAAGTCCTGCAAATGGGGCTTTTCCAGAGAGCTGCCAGACATGTCAGGTAGTGACAATTCTCTAACAGGGATGAGGTTTTTGGGGAAGCTCCAAACCCATTCTGCTGCCGTTAGTGGCTCGTAAGGTGTGTTTGTTTTCATGACTACCATGGTTGCAGAGCTTCTGGTTTTCAGTTATTGCAGAGCTGGGGAGACAGGAATGATAAAAGGCAAGTCATAATAAAATGTTACACAGCCAAAGCCTACTGTGCTGAGTTCAACCTGTTTCTTGAATAAATGCTCCTCATGTACTTGAAAGCTTTTGGCTGATTTCCAGAGTTCTAAAAAAGTTGACTTTTGCAATTTTCTCCAGTGTTTTCATTGCTTTTTTGGGGAGCAGAATGTGGTGGTGGGGGTTCTCACTCTACCATTCCCGAAGTGCTTCTCCTCACAATCATCCCTTGAAGATTAGATTGGGGTAAGAAAACCCCTGACCTAAGCCCCGTAGGAAAACCCTACCCGGCTTCTCAGCTGCCATTTACAATAAGCACAGTTGCTTAAAGCATGATGCTCTTTAGAAAGTCTAAAGTCCCTTAAGACACTGTTCTGTGACCATGAACCTCACCAATCACCCCACATGGTTCTCACGTCACTGAGTCTAAGGATCAGTTCAGCACAAAGTCATCCCTCCTACTAGAAAAATGATTAAATTCAGCATGTCCTACTAACCATGTGGACTATGATAGTAGCTTCTATGAAGGTTTTATCTTCATTTCATAATGCTTTGGTGCCTTAGCTGTTAATAAGTTGTAAATCAGTATAGAAAAATAAAGTAAAATCAATGTCCATATAAAATTCTACCCAAAATCAACCAACAGTGAAATTTTCAAGCAGGTCACTGGTTTCTCATAGCGTCAGGATTATAAAGAAGCAGGTTCCAGTCTATTAATAGCCAGAAAATGTTCCTTATATTATAATAAATAAAAGTAGACGAAAAGTTCTGGGAAGTCAGGAAGCAGACATTTGCCTCCTACCAGGAGGGCAAGAGTTTCCCAGAAATCAGACCCAGCTGAGGTTATAAGGGTCATTAGTAAGGCAACATCCCCATGATAAGGTTCTCTGTGGACCATGACTAGAAGTCTAGTGTGATATAAAGAAGACAGCTTTCCTAAACTGCCAGATTTCCTGCAGAAATCTACTGCAGGACACAGCTGACATTAGTCTTTAACTAGTTTAAACTGAAATAAAATTAAACGTAATATTAAGCAAGACAAAACACTAATGTGATTTAAATATATACATATATGTATGATTATTCATTACAGCACTATTTGTTTGTAATAGAGAAAACTGGAGACAATTTAAATGTCCACTACTTAACCCATCAAATATACCAGTTAATAAATTATGTTACATCTCAACAATAAAAGTGTGCACATATATAAGAATGGGACTCTTTCTATGTTCTGACCTGGAAAAATCTGAACAATATATAAGTGAAACAAAGTGTAGAATAGTGCATATATTTTGCTATTTTTTATATTAAAAGAGGTGAAAATTTCTACATAGTTGTATTTGCTTATTGATATACATGTATGTATATGTGTGTGTGTATATACATATAGTATGTGTGTGTGTGTGTATATATATATATATATACATGTGTGGAATATATATCCATCCATATATGTATAAAAACTTTGAAAGAATAAACCTGAAACTAATGAGCATTGTTACCTGTGAGAAAAAAAGGGAAAAATTTGGAAATGCATGAGAGGTTGAAAGGAAACCTGTCAAACTACTTCTTTGCATTTAGAAAGTTTTTTGGGCCAAATGACTATATTACTTAATCGAAAAAAGGCCTCTGGTTATTCACATAGGGCAAAAAAAAAACATGTAATAACATTATCTTACAGTTTTTTAAAAAATTAGAAACTAGAGATGTATTCAGATTTTGTAAATCTCTAGTTGATGAAGCCCTAAGTAAACCCCAGAAAGAATTTCTGAATAGGTATATAACATGAAAAAGGATAGAATGAGAGTCTGTACAATATAATAGCGGATTGTATTCTCTGTCTTGTAGCAATACGTGCCCTACTTTGTCTTCATTATTTATAAATAACCTGGCTTTAAAAAGCATCTACAGCAACTGCATTTCCAACGGAAATGGCACTTGCTTTACATGAATGTTCTAAACCAGGGTAGCTCCATGATAACCCTGACCTTTAGAAATGTAACCAGCCTCAATACTAGTAAAAATGATATTGCAAATGGTAGCAGGACCACAAGTAGCTTTCATTTTATTCTATTTTCTGTATTTTAAATGTTTTTCACTAAGCTTAACTTTCATGATCAGGGACAAAACTATATTTTTCATAAGACAGGTGGCTCTGGTGGCAGTATGGGGGATGAATTGCAGTAAGAGGAAATTGGTGGCAGAAGCATCAGTCAGAAGAGTGGTTCAAGGTAGGAGAAAGATAACAAAGATAGGAATAAAAGTTGAAGCAGTGGAGCCAGATATAGATAAGTTGAAGAGGTTAATTGACCAGGCCACCTGGATGGAAGTGATGAAGAAAAATGCAAGCATAAGTCTCAAATGTCTGATTTGCGTAACTGCTGCCAGCAACATTAAAGAGGCGTATGAAGGAGGATGAAGAATGTGGTCAAATTCTGTTTGGGCTACAATGAATTTGAGGGGTCTGAGGCCAATCCAGGTGGAGATGCCAAGTCCACAGCTAGAAATACAATAATGGCACTCAGAAAAAGAATGAAGATTGGGGATGTAAGTGTATAGGTATTGGCTGAATCCATGGAAACAGATGAGATTGCAGGGTGCCAAGAGCAAAATTAGGAGAAAAGAGCCTAGGAGAGAAAAGTCTGTGGAACACCAACTAAGGTGGAAGAAGAGAGAGCAAAGGACAAAACAGAAATAACTTCAGGCAGGTAACTAGAAAAGAAGGGTCTAGGAAAGATTAAAGAGTAGACCTTTTCAAGAAGGGAACAGTGACATCAACAGCATCAAATACTGTCAAGATTTAAGAGGACAAAGCCCCACTTCACCCAGTTGGCAATGACAAGGGCTCCAATGTCCTCAGTGGGGCAGTGACAGTCAAGGTTTGGAGTTGAAAGCTAGGCTGAGGTGGGCTGAGGAATAAAATGGAAGGTGAACATTTCAACTAAGAAAACTAAATCATTCAGTAGTGGCCCTTCACACATCACTCATTTAAAATCCCTAAGACGTGAACATGGAAATCATATTCTCATTTATTTCACGGCAAAAGGTTAAACAGTTCAGTATAGTGGTTAAATATATTCCCTGAGTTAAAATCCTGTTTCTATCACTTGTGTGACTGTGTCTCATATTACTCATCTGTAAAATGGCAATGGGAATTGTACAACCTCAACAGGTTACTGAGGGTTAGATGAGGTGAGCAACTAGCTTAGTGCCTGCTCAGTCATTCAGATGCTATTATATTTCTTCACTCTTCCATCTGTGTAAAACCAAAAAGAAATTAAATCTTGACCTCCCTGATTGAAGGTTGGATTGTTTAACAAGCTCATTCAGCACTGTTCATTAACCTTACTCATTCACTTGGCAATAAACATTTATTAAGCCCTTTCCATGGGCTTTAATTTACTGGAACCTGGGGACAAAAAAAATGATTAAGGCTTGATCCCAGCTCTCACAGGCTACATAAAAAATTCTTTTAGGCTGAGCACGGTGGCTCGTACCTGTAATTCCAACACTTTGGGAGGCCGAGGCAGGAGGATCGCTTGAGCCCAGGAGTTTGAGACCAGCCTGCATAATATAGAAAGACCCCATCTCTACAAAAAAATTTAAAAATTAACCAAGCATGGTGGCATCCGCCTGCAGTCCCAGATACTCATGAGGCTGAAGTGGGAGGATCACTTGAGCCCGGGAGGCAGATGCTGCAGTGAGCCGAGACAGCACTACTATACTCCAGCCTGGGCAACAGAGCAAGACCCTGTCTCCAAAAAAAAATTGTTTTAATCATAAGGTGGCAAATAAAATAGCAGAAGTCTGAAGAGTTATTCATAAGTATTTACACAATGAAATGATGAACAAAACACTTATTGCCCCTCCCTAGTATTTTTTACATTCATTCATTATGACATCCTGAATTAAGGTTACAAAAAACAGAAACACTAGGCTGCCAATTGATTAACTTCTTTAGCATGCTTTATAAAATGTTAATCACTTCTCCTAAATACTTTTATTTAATCTATCCTTCTCTGCAATTCTCAGTAACTTCATGAAACTAACAATAAATCTCCTCAGCCACCTGTTAGATGGTTTCTTTTTTTGTTTCTTTCACTTTTTTTTTTAGTCAGGGTCCTGTTCTTTCGCTCAGGCTGGAGGGCAGTGGCACAATCACAGCTCACTGCAGCCTCCAATTCCTGGGCTCAAGCAATCCTCCTGCCTCAGCTTTCCAAATATCTGAGACTGTAGGCACCAGTTACCATGTCCAGCTAATTTTTATTTGTAGAGACAGGGTCTTGCTATGTTGCCCAGGTTGGTCTTGAACTCCTGGGCTCAAGCAATCGTCCTGCCTTAGCCTCCCAAAGTGCTGGGATTACAAGCATGAGCCATTGTGCCTGGTCTGATGGTTTCTTTTCTGTATCTCATATGCAATAAATCATAATCTTATTTAATTAAGACAGTAAAAGCCTTCCCCATCTTACAAGCCCCGGCTCATTTATTTAATCAGAATATAAAAGCTCTAGTTACTTAATGAAAAGTATTCAACAAACCACTGAACATGGAGATATTAAAGCAAATTTTTAAAATATGATCTCACTAGAAGGTAATTAATTTTCCATCATGCAGAACTTCTTCCTAAAATCATGTATCATTGGCCATCCCTCTCCATTAAGCCCTATGCCCTGATACCAAAGCCTCTTATTAAACCTGATACCAAAAGCCTCTTATTAAAAAGAGCACTCTACTCACCTAAGGTAGGACGCTAGAAGACCTGGGTGGCAGGTCTTAGAGAATCACTTTTGTGATCTGAAGCTAGTCCTTTAACTTCTCTGGAACTGGAGCACATGGGGACTGAAAATACTTGTTCAGACCAGTCATGGTGGTTGAAAATCCAAGGAAATTTTGGTATAAGCTGCTCTTCAAACTGTAAAGTGCAATATAAATGCAAATATAACTTGTCTAGATTAAAATAACTACTGTAGTACATGGGTTTTGTTTTTTTTCCTAATTACTTAGGAATTTGGTCCAAATGAAACTAACTTGGTTGGAAGCCTATTTATTAAAACCTATTAGGTATGTTTCATTGAATGTAAAATGCCTCATTTAATGTGAAAAATGTCACAACAGTGTAGAGCTGTGTATCTAGAACTTCTTCCTATTAACATACACCAATGTGCCACCTCTACCCTCAACCCTGAAACTGTTTAGAAAGGAGAAACTTAGGCTATAACTTCATGAAGAATCGGACTAACGAGATGGTAGAAAGACTAATTAACTCAATAACTGTTTACTGAGTGCCTACTTTGTGCCAGGATCTTAGGATACATGAGTGAATTCAACAAAAAGAAAACCACCTGCCCTCATGGAGCTTACATTCTAGCGGGAGATGGAAAGGGGAGATGGACAGTAAACAAGGAACATATTAAGGTAAATCATATAGTGTATAGGATGGTTATAAGTGTTGGGGGAAAGAGAACAGAGAGGGAAAGCTGGGGCTTGAGAGTAGGGAAGCATAGTAGGCCTCATTCAGAAGGGGATGTTTGAGCAAAGAATTGAGTGAGGTCTTGGATTTGGCCTTACATTCCAGGCAAAAAGAACAATCAGTGCAAAGGCCCCCATGAGGGAGCTTGCTAACATGCTTGAGAAGCAGCAAAGAGATAAAAGGAGTGCAGATATTAACAGCAATGTAAAGAAGCAGACCACCTGTTTGAATTAGCTTTTCACTGCTGCCACTGTTTTTGACTTGTCTCTGTTGACAAGCTGGGCACTGCAAATTAGGAAAAGGTGAGAAAAATATCCTTGGCCTTCTTTGCTCTGGGTCTCTTTTTAAGCAAAATGAAGGCCTCAGGGACAAGACCATCTCCTTCCTAGGCAATGATTTTTGAATGTGACTAATTTCTGGCACAATCCCCAGTGTAGATACTGTTATCATAGTATCATTAAATGTACAAAAACATACAGTTAACTGCCAATAGTGCTAAACAAATTCATAAAACAAAAAATGATGCATTAAATACAAACAAAACTAGAAAAAGAATCAAGTTCTGATTAACAACACTCACTCACTGTGAATGATTGTAGTCGTTTGCTAGAACTAAATCACAAGGCTTGTTATAAGCCTTGTTATAGCTTATAACAAGGCTATAATACTAACTCCTAACAGCAAAGATTGTTTTGAGTCCATCATGAGAATAATGCATGGTGCTAGGTGATGACTCAATTTTTCTCATTTTTCTCTATTAGAAAAGTATTTTGTTTTGGCCCTTTCTTGGCACAAACACATAATTTACATATTAAACTTACTTCTTACCTTCTTTCATAAGCTCAGACAGTTAAAGCAGTATTACTTGGTGACAGCAATATTATAAGCAGGAAGACTATAAACTGATGATCTCCATTAGTTAGAATATGCTTAAGTACTTTGGGGTGCTATGGTCTGGATGTGTCTCTCAAAAAAACCATATGTTGACTTCAAATCCCCAATGCAATATTATTAAGAGGTAGGCCTTTAAGCAGTGATTAGGTCATGAGGATAAAGCCCTCATGAATGTAATTAGCATCCTTATAAAAGAGAGAGCTTGTTCATCCCATTTTGCCTTTCTGCTCTTCCACCATATGAGGACACAAAGGTAGCACCATCTGTGAGGAATAGGTCCTCACTGGACACCGAATCTGCTGGCACCTTGATCTTGCACTTCCCAGCCTCCAGAACGGAGAAAGAAATTTCTGTTGCTTATAAATTACCTAGCCTAAAGTCTTCTGTTATGGGAGCCTGAATGGACTAAGACAGGTGGATTATTTTGAACAAAAACACAAAACTTAAAATGTCTTATTAAAAACATACTCTTGAAAATATGCATAGATATATCTACATATCTATATATAGAGAGAGATATATATATCTCCAGGGATCAGAATCTTGTGGCTCTATTTCAGCATGAAGTCAACAGTAGAAAAGAGACCACTGGGGTCTGTGTGGTGAGTGATGTAGGTAAGAAAATAACATGCCAAATTACAGCATTTGTCTTCCATGCTGTGACTTTGGGAATATCATTTAGCAACCTCCGTATTTCATTGAAGAGTAGCAGCAGTAAATAAGTTTTATCAAATTCAAAGGCCCTAATTCACCTCAACTAAATTAAACAAGGCTTGTAAGCACTGAGTTATTAGTAAACACTCCTTAAAATACAATTTTGTGGCCAGAAACAGTGTCTCACACCTATAATCCCAGCACTTTGGGAGACCAATGTGGGAGGATTGCTTGAGCCCAGGAGTTCAAGACCAGACTGGGCAACGTAATAAGACCTCATCTCTACTAAAAAAAAAAAAATTTTTAATTATCCAGGCATGGTGGCATGCACCTGTAGTCTCAGCTGCCTGGGAGGCTGAAGCAAGAGGATCATGTAAGCCCAGGTCAAGGTTGCAATAGCTATGATTGGACTACTGTACTCCAGTATGGATGATACAGTGAGACACTGTCTCAAAAAAAATTACAATTTTCTTATTATAATTGTACAAAACGTCATTTCTAGAGATTTTTGTTTTTTCATGGCTTTCTTTAGGTCTATCGATTTAATAATTACATAGTGCTTACTGTCAGGCATGGTTTATAGTGCTTTACAAATGTAAATTTATTTAATCCTAACAACAACCTTATAAATTAGATGCTATTATCATTCCCATGTTACCTGTGGGGGAAACTGAGACACAGAAGGTACGTAATATATCCATGGGTACACAACTAGTCAGTCAGTAGTAGGGCCCGAATTCAATCCAGATATCTGGCTTCAGAGTATAGGTATGTAACTGCTATGCTATGCTACTCTATATTTACTTGTGGGACTTCAACATATATCTTTTTCCTTTTTCCTTAATGTATGGCTAGCATCTAATCATATGCATAATTTTCAATCTATAAGAATGGAAACCTAGAAAAACAAGATAAGAGGCAAATTTGTCTAGGTATCAAAAGCAAAATATTGTGGTAGTTTTTCAAAAGTGAAAATGTTAAGATTATTAGAGGTATATACTTCTCAGACACCAGAGTCACTGGTCCACAAAGCTGCTTTGCTGTTACATAAATTAACTTTTGCTGACGGGGAAGACTGGCATTTGGAAGCATGGTTACTGCCACTCTGAGGGGCACCCCAGTGAAAAACTGAACAGAAATATAAGTCTCTACAGGATAGCCTTTATAGGCAACAGAAAAGCTATATAGTTCCTAGAATCTGAAGCATAAATATATTGGCAAATACCAATTGTGACTGAAGTGCGATCTGTTG
The DNA here is from genome assembly GCF_000001405.40 of Homo sapiens. Lineage (NCBI taxonomy): Eukaryota > Metazoa > Chordata > Mammalia > Primates > Hominidae > Homo > Homo sapiens. The sequence goes on from NC_000002.12 coordinate 196,389,094, forward strand.
TGGAGTCACTTTATGGACCATTCAGGACAAACTTTTCACCCATATCTGGTTTTACAAATTTTTCACCCATATCTGATTTCTCTCTTTATAAGTCACAGCCACTTCACACCATTAATTAAAGAATATTTAGCACATGAAATTAACTGTCATGTTGCAAAACTGTCTGTGGCAGGCAAATGGGCAAATGGATGTGTTACCAAGAAGACCTACAGAGAGTTATTTCCTTAGTGCAGCATTTTCTAAAATGCATTTTGAGAAACCCTAGTGTTTTGAGGTGTTACTAGGAAAAATGGGCTCCTGGTCAAATACGACTAGGATGTGGTGGATACCATACTCCCCCTTTAGAAGTTCAAAACATGCATTAGTAAATAATACGAAAGCTCTGGAAGCCCTCTGCCTTCTACGGCGTCCTAAACTGATTTAACCCAGGAACACTTTATAACAGAACACCTACAAACAGCCTGGGGAATGTAACTTGATGAATCCCCCACTATTCCAGATCTGCCTCCTGCCTCTGCAAGAGTCTTGACCTTGTCAGGGTCTCAGAGGTGGTCAGTACCAGAAAGGCAGACTAAATTGACTAAGAAAGGTAACTTTGAAAGGGGCCTTATTCTTGGCATCTTCTGGCTTTCTAGGAAAACTACAGAGAAAGCCAATTTATCATCACAAGTTTTCTTGGTAGTAAGAAATCAGAAGTGGGGGAGTGAGTTCAGATGTTTAAAGGTTTCTAGCTAACAGTCTGATTCATGCACATGTGGCCCTGGGGACCACAGACCTCATCCTTGGATGAGTGTATCCTCTCCCTGAACAGCCACTGGATGGACACTACAAAGGACTACACCACTCATGCTAAGCTTCCACAGCCAGCCAAAACCCTTTCTGATGGTTCAGGACCTCTTTAGATACTTTGAAAGCTTAGGCTTGAAATAAAAATAGTTAACATTTATTTAGTACCTTCTCAATGTTAGATATGGCATGAAATACTGATATTATGCTCAGATACTATATTATATTATATTTATTATCTCATAATTTTCCTGACAACTCCATGAGGTAGACCCTATTATGATATCCATTTTATTCATGAATACCTGAGGCTCAAAGAAGTTATGTAGCTTGCCCAAAATTACAGAAAAAGAAAGGCCAACCAAAAATTTGCATCCAGGCCATTGGTCTTTGGAATCCACATTCTCTACCAGCTGCTTTACTGGTTTAAAGATCGGAGAACCTTCCAAGTTGTTGGAATGATCAATATGTCAACTTGATAGTTTAATTATCAGAAGGAACTGCTTTTACATTCTTGCCAGCACTCCTTGTACTCCCCCAAATGATCACTTATCGTGACTTTGCAGCAGACACTTGGTCACCTCTGAAACTAAACAGCAAAAGTCGCTGCATGGAAAACTAAACACACTAGGTGACCCTAGGTAGCTTACTAGCCTTTTCTGTGCCTGTCTTTGCTCACCTGAAAAACACAAATCACACTTGCACTAATTCATAATGTGGTAGAGAAAGTACTGTGACTGCATGTTTAGCCTCCTAAGGGAAAAAATGCCATCTATAACCTTGTTGTTTTTTATTAACACAACAGTTTCATACTTGATGCCTGTTGGGTCCAAGGCATTCATGGATCTAGACACAAATACATTCTTTGCAAAACATGTCACCATAAGAAATAAGATGCTTGGAGATAAGTAGATTAAGACATCACAACAGGCAGGAATGTTGTTTTTACTTGAATGGGCTACGTACTTAGACACAAGAGGACTTTCTGTTTTGAGCTTTGCATATTGTCTAGGAAATTCTACATTGTGCGAGCTCAATTTCCTTATTAATCTGCTGTCTTATACTCATTGGCATTGGCTGGTTATCTTCCATGTGCCTCCCTCCCTCCCCCATACACTCTGCTCTCTGCCCTGGGAAACCGACCTATAGGTACTGCATCACTGAGCTCCACTGACCTCAAATTTGCAAGTGGATTTAGTCAACAGGGAGCACCAGCAAGAGACAGGAGGCAGGGAGGAGAGTAAGACTGGAATATTTAAACTCCCAGTTCTAAATATATAGTCTCTCTGCAGGTTATTTATCTTCTACCAGGTGACCCCTCAACCTAGCTCTCTCCGTAACCCAGGTTCTAGTAACTGTTCCCTCTTCTTACATCTTCAGGCCTAGGAGTAGTAACAGTACCCTGCCCCACTGTTACTGGCTGTGTTGTAATGTATCACCCCTATGATCTCTCTATGCTTTTATAAACAGTCCCTGTATTAAAGGTCACACAAATGATCTAAGTTGAGATGGCCATCTGCATCTGGCAGGGACCCTGACTGACATAACAATCAATCAAGAACTTCCTTGCACTGTTTTTTGTACTGAATTGATACTGCTCTCATTATACTGTTTAACTCTCATGAATGTATGTTTTAGATGATAGGATCTCACATTTGGAACCCAAAGGCTTATCACATGTAACCCCATAGTTTTTCTACTTTTCAAAGTTTAGTTCTATATTTTTTCTCTCATGCTGTGCTTAACTCTTTGGAATTAGATTAAGGAGGTATGGGTTTTAGTCCCAGATACTGTATTAGTTTCTTAGAGTTTCTGTGACAAAGTACCACAAACTGAGTGACTTAAAACAACAGAAAGTTACTCTCTCATACTTCCAGAATCTAGAAGTCTAAAATCAAGGTGTTAGCAAGCCATCCTCCCTCCAAAGGCTCTAGGGAAGAATCCTGTCTTGCCCTTTCCTAGCTTCTGATGGTTGTTGGCAATCTTTCATACTCCTTGGTTTGTAGCTGAATCTGTCCAGTCTCTGCCTCTGTCTTCACATGGTCTTCTCTGTGTCTTTCTCTTATCCTGTCCTCTTCTTTTAAGGACAACATTCATTGGATTCATTGGCCCACTGTAATCCAGTATGACCTTATCTTCACTAATTATACCTGCAAAGACCCTACTTCCAAGCAAGGTCATATTCGGAGATTCAGGAAGACATGACTTATGGGGACACTATTCAAAGCACTACACATATGCTATGTAAATCTATGCAAACTTTTTTCCTTTTTAGATTCAATCCCTTTATCTGTAAAATAAATTATATTAAGATTGGTAATGAATAGAATAAAATTGAGTAATATTTTGCTTCATCTCTTGCCCATGCCCAACATCGCTAATTGATTATACAACTCCTTCCAGAATGAAGCCTCAGTCTTCCTAACATAGCACTCTATGCAGCTTCCACTATTCAACTCGGATAGGAATGTAAGATAAAACCTACTTTCGGTGCCAGGGCTGTGTAACCTATCAGGCTCCTTCTAGTTCTTTGCTTTTAAGTTTTATATTCCTTAATTAAAATGCTACATAGAGAAGTTTAAGGAAGTGTGGTACATTAAAAAATTTTTGTTAATTAATTTAAAGATTTGTTTGTGTTTTGTCAGCAATGCAACACAAGGTGTTCCATATTCTAACATCAAAATAATTATAAATGTTATAAGTAGGAGTAGGTAACAGAAAAGCATGAATCATTCTCCTTAACAAAATATAAAATACAAAAATGCCAAATGCCACCACCATGTTTCAGAAATATTTCTGGAAAACATTAAAGAAATGCAAAAGCAATACAAATCAACACTGAAACAACAGTAATAAATGGAGAAAAGGAAGACAAGAAACCACCACTATTTACATACAAAAGATTTTCGTATTGGAAAAAACTACTTTAAAGTTCATATGGAACCAAAAAAGAGCCCACATTGCCAAGACAATCCTAAGCCAAAAGAACAAAGCTGGAGGCATCACGCTACCTGACTTCAAACTACACTACAAGGCTACAGTAACCCAAACAGCATGGTACTGGTACCAAAACAGAGATACAGACCAATGGAACAGAACAGAGCCCTCAGAAATAATACCACACATCTACAACCATCTGATCTTTGACAAACCTGACAAAAACAAGAAATGGGGAAAGGATTCCCTATTTAATAAATGGTGCTAGGCTAGCCATATGTAGAAAGCTGAAACTGGATCCCTTCCTTACACCTTATACAAAAATTAATTCAAGATGGATTAAAGACTTAAACATTAGACCTAAAGCCATAAAATCCCTAGAAGAAAACCTAAGCAATACCATTCAGGACATAGGCATAGACAAGGACTTCATGACTGACTAAAACATCAAAAGCAATGGCAAAAAAAGCCAAAATTGACAAATGGGATCTAATTAAACTAAAGAGCTTCTGCACAGCAAAAGAAACTACCATCAGAGTGAACAGGCAACCTACAGAATGGGAGAAAATTTTTACAATCCACCCATATGACAAAGGGCTAATATTGAGAATCTACAAAGAACTTAAACAAATTTACAAGAAAAAAAATCAAACAACCCCATCAACAAGTGGGCAAAGGATATGAATAGACAATTCTCAAAAGAAGACATTTATGAAGCCAACAGACACACGAAAAAATGCTCATCATCACTGGCCATCAGAGAAATGCAAATCAAAACCACAATGAGATACCATCTCAGACCAGTTAGAATGGAGATCATTAAAAAGTCAGGAAACAACAGGTGCTGGAGAGGATGTGGAGAAATAGGTACACTTTTACACTGTTGGTGGGATTGTAAACTAGCTTAACCATTGTGGAAGACAGTGTGGCGATTCCTCAAGTATCTAGAACTAAAATACCATTTGACCCAGCTATCCCATTACTGGGTATATACCCAAAGGATGATAAATCATGCTGCTATAAAGACACATGGACACATATGTTTATTGCGGCACTATTCACAATAGCAAAGACTTGGAACCAACCCAAATGTCCATCAATGATAGACTGGATTAAGAAAATGTGGCACCTATACACCATGGAATACTATGCAGCCATAAAAAAGGATGAGTTCATGTCCTTTGTAGGGACATGGATGAAGCTGGAAACCATCATTCTGAGCAAACTATCACAAGGACAAAAACACCACATGTTCTCACTCATAGGTGGGAACTGAACAATGAGAACACTTGGACACAGGGTGGGGAACATCCCACACTGGGGCCTGTCCGGGGGTGAGGGGGGAGAGGGGGGAGGGATAGCATTAGGAGATATACCTAATGTAAATGACGAGTTAATGGGTGCAGCACACCAACATGGCACATGTATGCATACGTAACAAATGTGCACGTTGTGCACATGTACCCTAGAACTTAAAGTATAATTAAAAATAAAAAAGAAAAGAAAATGATCCCAGAAAAATAGTACAGGTGGTAAATGTAAAGATAGACCAGAATTTATTTTCTATTTTTCTTATAACCTAAGGTATAAGATAGACCAATTAGATAGAGAGAAACTAAAATCTCATGTTTTAAAATAAAATATTCCTTCCATCTTTTTGCCTGAAATTGGAGCTGGTGTAATTTTAGTGAGTCAATAAACATCCCCCCTTTAGAGAGTTCAGACCACCTAAAGGCAGACACGAGAGCCAGAAAGATGAACGATCTCTCCAATCCTGTCTCAGAAAGGTCAATTAATGTATCCCAGATCAGTTAATTAGTAGTGAAGTAAGATTTGTATGATTCTAAAGTTCAATATATCACAATACCTCTCTGAGAAAGAAAAATGGCTTTGAAAATATTACTTCTAAAAATGTCTGCCATTCATTGGGAAAAGGACAATCTTTTGAACAAATAGTGCTGGGAAAACTCATTTTCCAGATGTGAAAGAATGAAGTTGGACCATGTCTTAGTCCCTTTGTGTTGCTATCAGAAAATATCATAAACTGGGTAGCTTATAAACAATAAACCTTTATTTCTCATTTCCCTCTGAAGGCTGGGAAGTCTAAGATCAAGACATCAGCAGATTCAGTGTCTGGTGAGGGCCTGCTTCCTCATAAATAATGCCTTTTATGTGTGCCCACTTGGTAGAAGGGGCCAGATAGCTCTTTGGGGTCTTTTTCATAAGGGCACTAATCCCATTCATGAGAGGTCTGCCCTCATGACCTCATCACCTCTCAAAGGCCCCAACTCCTACTATCATCACCTTGGGGGTATCAATACATGAATTTTGGGAAGAAACAAAGATTCAGACCATAGCGGACTTCTACATTATAGAGTACACAAAAATTAATTCAAAAATGGGTCAAGGACTTAAACATAGAGCTAAAACTTAAAACTCTTAGAGGAAAACATACGGTAAAAGCTTTATGACATTGGATTTGGCAATGATTTCTTGAATATGACACCAAAAACACAGTTAACAGGAGAAAAAAATAGATAAATTGGACTTCATCAAAATTTAAAACTCTTGTACATCAAAAAACACTATCGACAGAATGGAAAAGCAATATACAGAATAGGAGAAAATATTTGCAAATCATGTATGTGATAAGAGATTGATATCCAGAATATATAAAGAACTCCTACAACTCAACAACGACAACAAAAACCAAACAACTTGGTTTAGAAATGCGCAAAGAACTTAATAGACATTTCTCCAAAGACATACAAATGACCACTAAGCACATTAAAAAGATGTTTAACATCACTAATGATGCATATCATCATTAGGAAAATGCAAGCCAAAATCACAATGATACCACTGTGCACCCATTAGGATGACTATGTTTTTTTTTTTTAAAAAAAGAAAATCATAAATGTTAGTGAGGATGTGGAGAAACTGGAATCCTTGTGCATTGCTGGTAGAATGTGAAATGGTGCAGCTGCTATGAAAAATTATACGGTAATTCTTCAAATAATTAAACATAGAATTACCATACGATCCAGCTATTCTACTTCTGGGTATACACGTAAAGGGATTAAAATGGGACTCAAACAGGTATCTGTATGCCCACGTTCATAGGAGCACTATTCACAATAGCCAAAAGGCGGAAGCAAACTGAGTGTCCATTGAATAAACAACATGTAGTATATACACACAATGGAACATGATCCAATCTTAAAAATGATGGAAATTCTGACATATGCTACAACATGGATGAACTCTGAAGATATTACGCTAAGTGATATAAGCCAGTCATAAAGGACAAATATTGTATGATTCCACATACATGAGGTACCTAGAGTAATCAAATTCATAGAGACAGAAAGTAGAATGATGGTTGCCAGGGGCTGGGGAGAGGAGAGAATGAATGAGAAAAAGTTTGCATATCTAAATGGAATAAAAAGTATACAAACAAGCAATAGCACAAAAGTAATTGAGAACTTTACTATTCAAACTATAGAAATAGTTTTTAGATAAACACATATAATCAATTCCCAGGATCTCTTTACAAAATGATGAATGCAAATATATGCAGAACCAAAAAGATAGTAAATTATCACATAGAGAAAAGTTCACAAGTGCCATTTTTACAGATTCCCTGAACACCTGGTAAAGAAAAATAAACAGATAAAAACAGGCATTATTACACATTTCTGGTTGCAACATATAAGACCATTTCAATCTTCTAAAGAATAATGTATAAATGTTCAACGCAAGCTATCAATGTATCTCTATTGTTTCCCCTTTTGGAGAAATATGCCCCAGACTAATGTTTTTGGGTACCTAGAGCCTTGCCTAGAGGCATTTCCTTAGAGGCTCTGAAATGTTAACAGAGATCAAGAAGGAAACAAGAATTAGTAAAGTGGCCTGGGTGGGATGTGGCAATGTCCCCTCCAGTTCCAGCAAACTATTGTCTTGCAAAAATATTACAGACCTAGGTTTGCATATATTCCAATTAAAAAAAAAATGGCCGGGTGTGGTGTCTCACACCTGTAATCCCAGCACTCTGGGAGGCCGAGGCGGACGGATCACGAGGTCAGGAGATTGAGACCATCCTGGCTAACATGGTGAAGCCCCATCTCTACTAAAAATACAAAAAAAAATAGCCAGGCGTGGTGGCGGGCACCTGTAGTCCCACCTACTCGGGAAGCTGAGGCAGGAGAAGGAGTGAACCCGGGAGGCGGAGCTTGCAGTGAGCCGAGATGGCGCCACTGCACTCCAGCCTGGGGGACAGAGCGAGACTCCGTCTCAACAAAACAAAACAAAACAAAACAAAAAAAAAAAAAACAAAAATAAAAAACCGTCTTTGGGAATTCTTCTACATATGGAAGAATCAGAGCTGTTTAGACAGATTGGTGTGACAGAGGAAAGACACTGCTGTGTGTCCCTGCTTTCTGTCCCAACTAAGGTAACATAAGGTAGCACCTAATATGATGCAGGTACCAGAGAAATGTCTCTTCTTCTGAAAAGCTTTACATTCATATCTGGAAGGGCTTACTGACATTCACTTCCTAGGGCCCATGTGAACCTACCACATTTTATATCATCTCAATGATCTACACACAAACCTCTTCTGGCCATCCTCTAGGGATGTAGCTTTGTGAAATCTTAAATTCTTTTTGGGGTGAAGGCAGCGGAGGGCAAGGATAAAAGTGAGTTTGGTTTGTTTTTTCTTTTTATTATTTTTAAAAAATGTATTCTATTTATGCTTAACAGCTTCGCTGGCTCTCTATACAACCTCCAGATAATAGTGACAGAATCCCCTTTAGTCCCCCACCAAATACCAGACAGCATCATTAGTTGAAAATGGCCAAGGCATGTTTTCCCGTTTAAATTAAGAAAGTAAATTGCAACAATCTGTTTTCCCTTGGAAGTTGTTAAATTCTTTAGGTTGGGATTTCCACCAACTGTTTAGATATCATTTCCTTCCATATATGCCAAGACATTGTTTCCCAAATGCTTCCAATGTAGTCTTTTAAGACTCAAAGCAGTCCCAATACCATTGCTTCATATACCCCATCCTCCTCACCTGCTCCCAAAGATATTCATGGAAGGGCTCAATAAAGCTGCACTGAGCCAAAGTATTTCCACAAAGTTCTAACAGCCCTGCAGAAAGCATACCCTTCCGAGATACCTCACCAGGAAGTGGAGTCTTTTATAATAAGAGGTAGGTGGTTTCAGGCAAGCAAAGGAGAAGGAAGGACACAATAGAAGGGGAAAAAAGTGAGTGTAGGGGAAAGGTGGCTGGATGGGTTTGTGGGTGGGTGGGGGAGTTAGGGGAAAATGGCCTGGGAAGTCAAAATGCATGCATGTGAGTAGGGAGGATACATTGGCCTGAAAATAATCTTAGCTAAATGGGAAAGACTCATAATTTGATCAGAAAGGTTAATGGTTAAGGGTTTTGAAGACAGAACAATATGGCCAAGTCAGTGGGAAAAAATACTGTTTGATTATGCATGCAGAGAAACACAGACATATAGTAAAATGTGACAGTTTTAAATAAACACATTTAACAAAAATGTTATACCATTACTACAGGTCTTTTCAAAAACAAGAGATATTGCCATAGGTTCAAATAAATTAGTGTTTCAGGAGCTGGTGGAAAACATAAGCAGTAAGATTTAGTAATAGCTATGAGAATGGAAAAGAAGAAATATCCCAAGATGCCTTGTTTTCCAACCAATCAAATCCCACCCATTCTCCAAACTCATCAAGTTATCTATGCACCTCGAAGAAACCACCTCTGGCTTTCGGTCCAAGGTGGCATCTTTCTCTATTAAACATGTTATTTATGATCCACACCACCATTTCTCACCTAATCATATGCCACTGCATGTAGCTATGAATCTTCTGATACCTTGTATCCCCATATCTGGTTTCCCCAGTGAGAGCAAAAGACTCACGTTATTCTGCAGATACAGAAGCTCAATAACTCTGAGGAGAAATAAAATTTTTAAAAATACTGAGCTAAGCATGGTGGTGCACGCCTGTAGTCCCAGCTACTTGCATTTGGGAGGGTGATGTGGGAGGATGGCTTGAGCCCAGGAGTTAGAGGCTGCAGTGAGCTGTGATTTCACCACTGCACTCCAGCCTGGGCAAGAGAGGGAGACCCTGTCTCTTTAAAAACAAAAAATAGAGACAAAAGTATGGCTTCTAAACCAACATATATTTACAATCCAATGTTATTATATGATTTTATTTCAATTCATGATGACATATTGGCCCCCAAAATCTATTCTTAATCTCCAGAGCTTCTCTTGGGTATGGTTCTCAGGTTGAGCATGTACACTCCGGAAGCACTACTAATGGGCTTCCCCAGACTCAGCCCCATTAGAAGTGTGGAGCATACTTTTGGAGGCTAATTTTTTCCCCAAGGATTTGAAGAAGGGGAAACATCAAGTTACATTAAGTTATTCAATTGGTAATTCTAACATCATTTCTGCATGAAAACATATGTATATTACAAAGAGGTTAAAGTAAAACAAGACTTCAAGTCATTTCCCCCTGGCAGCAGACTACTCTGGGCTAAACTGCCAGAGGCCAGAGGGCTTATGATCTTCTGCAGCAGGAATACCCTTGTGGAACACTCTGGGAAGCACTATTTTAAGGATTCCCCAAAACTGAGAAGGAAGTGCTAATGAAGAGAACAACGATTGCTGATCCAGCTCTTCCCCCAAGTTAAGTGTGGTGTTATGCATGTTACAAACATTTGCTCACTTCTTTCTCTAGTCCTACAGGAGTTATGATACCCATCTGACATAACCTGCCCAAGCTGAAGCCACTGTAGTAGGTAACAAAAACAAAAGTGGGATTCAAAACACAGGCCTATTTGAACACCAATGCTATTGTTCTTTCTAACCACACAGTCTCCTAAGTAGGACTGACAGATAGAACCGTAGGCCTAACTAGTTTTCAAAAGAATACTTCAAATTATAAGCAAGTATTAACGTATCTTTGAACAAACAGTTAAATAGCCTTTCACAGCTGTGTCTACTGACATTTCCTAGGTGAGGGAATAGTGCACCAGATACTGCCAAGCCCAGTATTAGTATAAGAAAGGGTCCTCAGGAATTAAGTAGACTCCTGGAGAAGGTCCTAAGGAGCACTCAACAATCTTATATTTAACTGAATTACTACAGTAATTAATAACTGGGTGCCTGCTAAAATAATAAAATATGCTGGAATCTGAAAGCATGGAGAAATTTGTCTTATAAAGAAATTAACTGGCTCCCTTTCTCAGGCCAGTTTCACAAGAGCTTCTTCATAGGTCTAAGAATCAAATCTCAAATTTTCAATAATTTTTCTAATCACACAGTGAATAAAAAAGCATGTGGTGCCTTTGCAGCCTTCACTATGGGATTCTTGAGGCCTTTCCAAAAGAGATAGCCTAATTATAACTGCCAACATTGCAAAGAAATTGCATCACTCCTGTTACATACATCAGTGAGGAAATGGGACAGACAGAGGAAGGATTTTCGTGTTGGCGGGGAAGGAGAGTAGAGTATATGACTAATGCCTGCATAACTCTGGAAAAGATATAGAATTTTTGCTCTTGAGTGAAAAGATAAGCTTAGGTATTGTATTAAAATCAAGCCCTTTGACTGAAACAGGATAGCCTAGAAATAGTTCAGAAGCACGGGATACTTGAAACTTAAAATGTGCTTTCAAAGAGGTTATTTTTATAAACCAAATATGCACAGGAAATTTTGTTGTTCTACTCCTATTCCATAGCCTAAAGATCTGTATTGTCCCAGCACAAAGACCTTCTTGGACTGAATCCCAGTCACAGCTGGTTTACTTGAAAATCATGAAAACCTTACTAAACATCATCTTGTTCCAGAAAGCATATTCTTATAAAGATGCTTTCACTCACCTACATTTCTCCATTTCCAAGACCAAATAGTGACTCTTTTGCCCTCTCCTCTCTCTGAGCCACTAACCCCCATTCCCACAAAATGCAAAAAAAAAAAAAGAGCTAAAATAATTTCCATGTCTTGTATTCAACTTGTGTCTACTTAAAATATAAATTTTAAATTTATACAAAACCAAAAAGAGTTATAAAACTTCATCTGTGATATATGCCCTAATCATTCAGCAGACTTGTAATTCCTATCATTTGAGAAACTTCTAATTTATTTCGTTTCATGATTAATAACAGACTTCCGGAAACTGAAACAACATTTCTGTAGGGATATTTATCAGTATGTCTCAAATTAAATGCGCACATTCTTTGCCTCAGCAGTTTCATGCCTAGAAATTGTTTTTTGAAATACTGACACAAATGCTCAAAAATGTAAGTGTAGGGATGTTTACTGCAGCACTATTTGTAATATCAAATATTAAGACCAACCCAAAGGACCATTAATAGGGTAATGGTTAAAGAAATTATAGTACAAGCATATTAAGGAGTACTATCAAGAAGTTATAAACAATGAATATTGAGATGGATTGATGTCTAAGGCATATTGCAAAGTAGAAGCAACTATTTACAGAAGAATGCATATAACATAATACATTTTTGTTTAAAAGTACACTTGTGCATATGTGTTTCTCTGTGTGTATTATTATATATAATCCACCATTAACACTTCTTTCCTTTGGTGAAGAAAGGGAAACAATTAGTATTATTTGAAATTTTATGAAAAATACAATACTCTTCTGGAATTTTTAAATAGAATTTTTCTTTAAAAACGCTACCTCAAAAAATATGGATCAGTTGTTCTTTTTGTCAAATATTTCAAAATATTAGGTTCAGGTGACATATACCTTTCACAGATGTTTTATATACACAGGAGTGAATACACAGTCAGGGTATATATTCATCCTGTATATCACACAGATGTGAATATTCAGGATGTTTTAAAATGAACATTTAAAGAGCTTTCATTTATAATCTTAGAGAAAAAATTTTTACTAATGAGAATATTTTCTTCACCAATATGATTTCCAATGGAAAACAAAATCCCTCAGATAAGTTAAGACATGGAATCAAGGACCTACTATGTTCTCAAATGGAGAGGGTACCAAAAATAACTAGGCGTCATAAGAAGGGAAACTTGCCAGGCGCGGTGGCTCACGCCTGTAATCCCAGCACTTTGGGAGGCTGAGGCGGGCGGATCACAAGGTCAGGAGATCGAGACCATCCTGGCTAACATGGTGAAACCGTGTCTCTACTAAAAATACAAAAAAATTAGCCGGACGTGGTGGCGGGCGCCTGTAGTCCCAGCTACTCGGGAGGCTGAGGCAGGAGAATGGCATGAATCTGGGAGGCGGAGCTTGCAGTGAGCCGAGATGGCACCACTGCACTCCTGCCTGGGCAACAGAGTGAGACTCTGTCTCAAAAAAAAAAAAAAAAAAAAAAAAAAGAGGGAAACTTGCCATAATAAGTTACTAAAGGAAAAAAGAAATGACAAGCTTTAGCTCAGAAATTTGATAATTGTGCAGCTATATACTGGCCCTTTAACAGACCTTGAGTTTCATTTCTGGGGGGATGGCTTGCAAGAGATTTACTTTTTATTCTTAGTCAAAGAAACTTTGAAATAGTTGTCTAACATGGGAATAAGAGTGAGAGACTCTGAGCCATTAATAGTGTGCATGGTGCACCTCCACATCATGGGTTACTTTGGCTACTTTTCCTTCACTGATTCAGTCCCCCTGACAGATATTATGTTCCATAATGTTTCTCTGTTATTTATTTAACAGCTTTTTGTCAGTGTGAGTGATACAGCATATTCAATGATATATTTTTCATGGTATCTAATACACATTGTCACAGTATACCTTTAACAATAGTCCTGAAACTCAAAAAACAAACTGTAAGAGAACGAACAAAATTTCTATAGCTAACAATTTAATTTGGGAGGTCAAATACATACTTGGAAATGTGAATATTGTAAATCAAATAAAGTAATCAATTAACAAACAGATTCCTTGCCTTGGGAATTTTTTTTTTTTTTTTTTTTTGAGACAGAGTCTCGCTCTGTCACCCAGGCTGGAGTGCAGTGGCACGATCTCAGCTCACTGCAACCTCCGCCTTCTGGGCTCAAGCAATTCTTGTGCCTCAGCCTCCCGAGTAGCTGGGATTACAGGCGCGCACTACCATGCTTGGCTAATTTTTGTATTTTTCGTAGAGACGGAGTTTCACTATGTTGGCCAGGCTCATATTGAACTCCTGACCTCAGGTGATCCGCCCACCTTGGCCTCCCAAGTGCTGGGATTATAGGCATGAGCCACCACACCTGTCCACCTTGGGATTCTTATTCTTCTGTCATTCTTTCCACTGATGACCAATTTTAACTGTGCTGGGTAGGACACAGACATAGGCATAGAAAGAGCAAATAAGTACTAAATAGCCACAGGCTACTAAAATGTCACTCAACTAAATGCTGTATTTTGATACTGCATTTGACAGCTGACGTAATGTACAAGAAAGTATTTAACAGATACATGTTCAGGAACATGATCACAGTAATAAAGCAACAGATGCTTAAGTGTTTCTGCTTTCCACATAGGGTATCCATAGAGACTATTAAAAAGACTTCCAGGGAAAGGTAGGATCTGTCATTAAAAATGCATCTCCTCATATGAGAGATACAGTAAACACAAACCTTCAAGATGCCCATAATTTTTAATGTACTTTTAAAAAGACATTTATACTATGCAGCTCATTTCTGCAAAATGTGACTTGATTACAAAGTACTCAGTGGCTTACATTATTTATTTAAGAAGACTGAGTCACTTTCCTAAAGTTTTACAGCTAACCTAGTCTGTGAAAAAATTCTAAAGCTTAAAAGCTCTCAAGGAAATGAACCAAAACATTCTGGAAAATTCATTCTCTGCAGGGAAGATAATCGTGGCTATAAGACCAGTCAGCCTAAGGAAGTACACAGGGAAGAAGAATGACCTCATGTAACAGATCCTCAGATCTTTTGAAGGAAATAATAATAACAAAAAAGAACATGTCTGTCTTCCTGCTTAAGATATGTAGCAGAAAGCCAGACACTTCTTCAAGTATTCCTTCAGGTTGTATTTCAGGCCTGTTACATATTTCAGCATCACACTGCCAACCTTCTCTATAGAACCCAGAATTTCTTGTGAAATTATGTCACTGTGAGTGTTTTAGGCCTCACATTCATCTGAGAAAAACACTCTAGTAATATATAATGGAACCATGCAATGGCTATGGTTGGCTAACCATGTTATACTACATTTTTACTAAATGCAATTGAGTGCCAGAAAAAAGTCTTCTGTTTGAATCCATACAATAAAGAGCTTAGCAACTTGTAGTATCCACATAGGATACTCTTGATTTTTGTAATAATTGAGGAGAAACATGGCACTTGAGTTGGAGACTGGGCGTAAGTCCCATTACATGAACTTTAATAGTTAAAAAGCATAATTCTCCCTATGATTTGCCCCATGAATATATACTTACTTGCCTAAGCATTAGTCATGCCTCTCTCTGTCATGTCTGCTAGGATTCTGTAATAAAGAGATTCTTCAAAGTCTCTTCCTAGACCTTCTAGGAGAAGAAAATGATGTTTTTATTTCCCAAAACCCAGTAAGCTTGTCCTGACCAGCCAGGAAGGTTCAGAGGGTCTTCTACTGCCTCCCCTAGTCAAAGATCTGTAACTTCAGAATTAGTGTCACTTTTTAATTGTGGTGAAAGCCTCAAAATACATTAAACCCCAAAGAGATTTTCACTACTGAGATTTTTATCATCTTGGAAAATGTTTCCTGTCTTTTGGCACATTTCTGCATTCAAACATTTCCTGATCTTCCAGGTCACCAGTTCCAGTGCTCCCACTACAGAAACCCTTCCATCTCAAGCTCTCCAATCCACTTTTTCTCCATTAATCACCCCCAGTTATCAATTTCCTCCTTATCCTGCCAGATTCCCTGATCCATTCTTATAATCATCCTGTTGGTAATATTTCTTTTTTTTTCTTTTTTCTTCTCTTTTTTTTTTTTTTTTTTTTTTTGAGACATAGTCTCGCTCTGTCACCCAGCCTGGAGTGCAGTGGTGCAATCTCGGCTCGCTGCAAGCTCTGCCTCCCAGGTTCACGCCATTCTCCTGCCTCAGCCTCCCAAGTAGCTGGGACTACAGGTGTCCGCCACCACTCCCGGCAAATTTTTTTTTTTTTGTATTTTTAGTAGAGATGGGGTTTCACCATGTTAGCCAGGATGGTCTCAATCTCCTGACCTCGTGATCCGCCCGCCTCGGCCTCCCAAAGTGCTGGGATTACAGGTGTGAGCCATCGCGCCCGGCCCCTCCTGTTGGTAATATTTCTAACTCCATCTTCCGTCTCCCCTTCCACTGTACTCCCCTGGAAAAACCCAACAGTGATTAAACTAGCTACTACTTAAACCACACCTGCAGTCCAGCTGGTAGAAGAATAAAACAAAACCAAACACAAGCATGCTCATGAGTCTTACTTTAGACTCAGGACCACAAATCTTGCAGGGGACTCAATACTGCCAGGCAACTTTGCCACAGTGCTCTACATACGTGTTTCCTCACTTCTCCAGGTGACGATATCACATGTCTACCTCTCTCCTCTAGCTCCCCACCACTTTCAAATGCATAAAGAACAGAAGCAAACAGATTCACCTTTTCAATGCCACATCTACCACTCATCTGCCATACTTCTCTGTGTTCCCTTTTGCTCTTCTGGATGAAATGTCTCTGCTCCTGTTGAAGTCCAACCCCCCATCTTATGCTCTAAATCCCATCTGCTCACACCTTCCCAAGGATTTATCTCCAATAATTATCCCTCCTTGTGCACATCAATGTCATGTGGACAATGTCTACTAGATCATATTCATTAATGTGCAAACATACCAGATATCTTTACTTTGTTCTGAATTCTCCAGTAGGCATTCCCCATTGCTTTGTCCCCCTTCACAGCAAACTTCTTAAGGGAATTCTCTACAGCTGAAATACCCACTTCCTCACCTCACATCTCTTTCTCAACTCATTTCATTTCAACTTCTACCCCCACCAATCCTGTCAAGACACCAGCCGACAGCTTCCCTTGACACATTGCCAAGCCCAGTGGTCGCTTCTCTGTTCTTACACTGCTTGACCTCCCTCCTACTTGATTATCCCCTACTTTCTTCTAGTAGCTTCCAGGACACCTCATTCTCATGGTTTTCCTCACTGACTATTCTTTTTCAGCCTTCTGTGCCTCCTCTCTGGGCTCAGCCTCCAAGCTAGAACCCCTTCCTTTCTCTGTGTACACTGTCCTTCAGGGTAACCTCCTCCAGCTCCATCTATGTGCCAGTGATTCCTACACTAGAGATTTGCAGACCCAGCTTCTTCCTTCTTGACATATTCACCAAGATGACTGATAGGCAAGTCAAATTTCACAGGGTCAAAACAATTCCTGACTCTCCTTTTCCTCCTCATTCCCCATAATTACTTTTCCTTCAGTAAATTGTCCTACTCTGGCCAACAATCAAGGAACCACACCTGATACTTCTGTTTCCCACACCAATCTAAGCCATGAGGAGTTTCTCTTTATACCATCTTCAGTGATACCCTACACATATTCTACTTTTATCAACTTTTCTATTATTAGCCCAGTATAAGCCCATATTCCCTCTCATCTGCACTGCTACAAGACTGACCTATAATCCATTCTCCTCCAAAAGCCAGAGTCATCTTCTAAAAGTCAAACCTTATTAATCTCCTGCTTAAAATCCTGGTCTCCACTGTACTTGGAATAAAACCCAAACTCCTTATGTTGGTTGACAAAGTTCTCTGTGATCTGACCCCAACCTTCTTCTCTGAACCCACTGTGTCCCATTTCCACCTGGCCCGCCATGCTCCAGCCACTCTGGCCCTCTCTCTGTTCCTGACACCTGCCAAGCTCGTTCCTGCTTAGGGCCTTAGGAACCATTCTCTGCCTAGAATGCTCCTACCTCTGATGTTGGCAATGCTTGTTCCTTCTTGTCACTCAGCCTAAACATCACCTTGCAGAAAGGTCTTTCCTGACTCCCAATCTAAAGTCTGCCCAATCATTCCTGTTGCATTACACTGTTTTTATTATCTGCATTGTACTTACTTGAAATACTATCTGACATTTTTCTTGTGTATTTATTTTCCATCTTTTCTCTTTAGAATGTAAGCTCCACAAGTTGGGAGACGCTCTGTTGTATTTATTGCCATATCCCAGGATCTAGAAGTATGTCTAGCGCCAAGTGGATGCTCAATAAATATTTGATAATAAGTGCTTTCTCAGTAGAGCTTAGTCAAAGAATACGAGCTTTCTGGTATAAAAAAGTTACCTATTTGCAAAATAAAAATAATATACTTAGGTTTATGTGGCAGATAATACTTTCAAAACTTTTTTTTTTTTTTTTAAGACAGGGTCTCTCCTGGCTCACTGCAACCTCTACCTCCTGGACTCAGGTGATCCTCCCACCTCAGCCTCCCAAGTAGCTGGGACTAGAAGTGCATGTTACTACACTCAGCTAATTTTCTTTATTCCATGGTATAAATACTTCCACCATGGAAGGGTGAAAGACAGGGTTTCACCATGTTGCCTAGGCTGGTCTCAAACTCCTGAACTTACACGATCTGCCCACCTCAGCCTCCCAACGGGCTGGGATTACAGGCATGAGCCAGCACACCTGGCTCAAAACACTTTCACAAACATTTGTTTAATTTTCCCAATTACCTTTTAGAAGGTCTTCATGATCCTTCCTTTCCCCAACACAGAGAGGAAGGTGCTAAATGATCTATACCAGGTCACACTGTCAGGCAGTGGCAGTGCTGGGACTAAAACCTAAATGGCTAGACTCCTTGCTCAGTGCTCTTCCCACTAAGTCTAAATTAACAAATGAAAACAATGTATTGAACTGTGTGTGTGCTGCACTTAGAAGACTATACTGAAGTTACTTGTTCATGTCTCTTTTCCCACAGGCTATGTGTTCCTATAAAATAAAGTTGATGTTTTATTCATCTGTGTATTCCTAGTGCTTAGCACAGTGCGTGGTACCTTGTAGGTGTTAAAATGCTTGTTGAATTTAACTGAATACTCATATCAGAGCCAAGTCTTCTTCTCCATGCAAAACAGATTGGTTATTCTATCTCAATACTAAAGACTTCACTCTGAATATATAAAACCCTTAATGATTCTTCTGAAAAGCCCTAAGTTTCACACCATCCAGCACCTTCTGAGTCTTTCACTGACAATGTATGTGCCACAAGATGCAGGAGGTTAGAAGAGCAGTAGGCAGTCCTCTAAATCAGTACTCCAATTCACTTCCCCCTTCCTGATATGATCAAAAGGCTGTGCTGAAAATCTAAGATTTATTCAATCTGAAGTCACAGGCTAGAGACATATGCTATATATTTTTTTCATGCTCTGAATGTGGGAGAAAAATGAGTTATAATGGTATAATGGAAAAACATTGAATGAGGTATCAAGAATCACAAGTTATGAACCCAGTGAAGACTCCAAACAACTGCGTGATTCTATGCAGATTTCTGTCAGTCTCTCAGCTTCCTTATCTACAGCATAGGGGTGATGATCATCTGTAGGGTCGTTCCCAGCTCTAAAATCTGTTACTCTCTAAGTGGTCATGATTTTTATGACACTGTATCCAGTATCTTATCCCCCTCAGTCTCTGAACTCAAAATAGCTAGAGGATTGCCATAATTAGGTTAGGGTACAGTGGTAATAGTCAAACATAAATGAATGAATGAACAAATGACTAGATAAATGGGAAATTCTAGAAATTCTACACCCCTCCATTGAACTTTCTTTCAAGATACAAAGTAGAAGTAGAAACTTTATGAACAGCAAATCCTAAGTCCCACAACACAAAAGTTTCAAAATGCTTTAGAAACAAAGGAAATATCTCCCTTTAGCTTCCATTATTTTTTATCACATGTTAAGTCAAGAGGACTACTGAGTGTTATGGAGAGATTAGGATCTGAGGAATGCTGGACTCGTTTGAAGTAAGCTAATCAATGAAACAAGTCCTTCTCTTAATTCCATTAATTTATCTCCCATCGCCATAAGGGGCCCACCTATCTCACAAAAGGTTGGTCACTGATATGCTACCAACAATGCCAAAAAGAACAAGCATACAGGAGAATACAATCAATGGTGTGCGGGAGTCTATTGTTAACTTTTTCAGGAAACTTGCAAGCTGGTTGTTAGATGTTGGTAGCTTGAAATTGGCCATGGTAGAAGTATTTATACCATGGAAATCTAAAAATACTACAGACCAGGGTTTTTTGTTTTTGTTTGAAAGAGAAATCCAGTTTGTCAACACACTACTGACCATGGCACTTGGCTAGAAAGGCTCTGGGCTCTGGGAAAAACAGATAATGCAACACCAACAGAGAACAAAGAGAAGATTCATAAATCAAGAAACCTGGGTTCTAGTTCTAATATTCCCATTAACTGACCATGAAAACTGGAGCAAGTTTCTAAATCTCTGTGCTGTTGACTAAAATGTTAAGAGAAGTTAAACAAATGAACTCAAATATCTCTTTAGGATCTAAAACTTGGGATTTTATGATTCTCTGTCCAGGTCATACCTACCCTGACTCCCGAGATCTTACAGGAAATTCTCCAGGAACCAAAAGCTGGGCAGCAGCAAGACATGGATCAATCTTCCCATCTTCTGCTAGACCACAGTCTAGTGCTGTTTCAGTCTGATGCATTTGGCCAACGCACCACACTCAAACTTAGTCATAGTTCTAAAGTTCTCAGGACTCTTAATTTTTTAGTTGCATGAAAGAAAGTTTCAGACAGCCTCCAGCTGACTCAAGCGTTACATTTAGACTTAGGCTAGAGGCTCTCAGAGCATTTCTGGCCATTATTTGTCAAGTGCATGCTACTTCTATCTTGTTGCAGTTGTGAGGTTCCATAAGAAGCCCTCTAGGTATGAGGGCAGGAATGAAAAGTGCCATGCTACCAGAAGATTTTTAAAAAGCACATATCCTAACACCAGAGTTCCAGTCTTGATCCTGAGCCACCATCCTGAATCCCTTATACAGTAAATCCCTTGAAGGGAGAGACTGCGTATTACCCACAAAACCTGGCACAAGAATCATAAAAAGATTTGCTAAAGTCAATTCCCTGGTTTGGTAGAGTTTGGGGGTTCATTGACC
Source organism: Homo sapiens (assembly GCF_000001405.40). Taxonomy (NCBI): domain Eukaryota; kingdom Metazoa; phylum Chordata; class Mammalia; order Primates; family Hominidae; genus Homo; species Homo sapiens. Next base: position 196,409,993 of record NC_000002.12, read on the forward strand.
TGAGATTGGTATATGGGCAATGAATAACATTTAGTTAAATGTTTCTCCCAGAGCAACAGAGGACTCCTCAAAATAAGTGCTCATGACAAGCCAGCACAGATTTATCCTATCATGTAGGATGGCAGTGTTATTGTGCAAGGTTTCATCCTGAAAAAAAATGGAAATGTTGCTTCTGCTCTGCCAAGTGTTCTCACTTAGGGATGCAAAGATTTGTAAATATGATCTTTGTTCCATGGTCATGCGCTTTGAAAGAAAAATGCATGTAACATATTTTGGGATCAAGTAAATAGCAATGGTACATTTTGACATAATCCTAAAAGTGATGACAAGAACAATATCTAGCAGGATCTATTTGTAAGTGTGTTGGAGCCAGATTTCTAAAAATTCAGTCAGAGAGAGCAGAACTTAAAAATAGACAAAGCAGTTTAAACTTAGAATGAATTCTAGAAAATGATCATATGTATCTAATCTAATTCATAAAAATAAATCTTTAGAGACTAAAACAAAAAGGGGGGAGTTTTTTAGGTCAGTCTGTTATGTCCGATCAGATCAGTACTTAAGCCATTGAAAACAATTCTTAAAGCTCCCTAGGAATATAGGATCCATGAAGTCTTGGAAATTCAGTCCAGGACTAACAGCTTTCCCCAAATCAACAAGATTTTAAATCTAAAGACTAAAGGGATACTTCCAGTGAACCATGTCACAAAATTCAATTGTATATCAAACAGAAATACAGCCAACAGGACACTGAACTTCAGTTCTCCTTTTAAAATGTTCATTATTCAACACATTTTTATTGAACTTGATCCAAATATGATTCAGACATGGTCAGTCTGTAAAGTCAAGAAGTCCACAGAGCACAGTAGAAGGCTAGCACATCCACAAACGTAACAACATAGCATACAGACAGCAGTGATAACAACAGCCCACCGAGAAGATACATGCAGATTCTGAGATCATAATGCCATTCCAGGCAATGCAATGGCTCAGCTAGAGACAGGAGCTTTTTGTTTTGTTTTGTTTTGAGGCAGGGTCTCACTCTGTTGCTGAGGCTGAAGTGCAATGGTGTGACCATAGTTCATTACAGCCTTGACCTCTCAGGCTCAAGTGATCCTCCTGCCTCAGTTTCCTGAGTAGCTGGGACTACAGGTACACACTACCATATATGGCTAATTTTTTTTATTTTTAGTTTTGTACAGACAAGGTCTCCCTATTTTGCACAGGCTGGTTTCGAACTCCTGGCCTAAAGCAATCCTCCCACCTCCATCTCCCAAAGTGTTGGGATTACAGGCATGAGCCACCATGCCTGGACTAGCAGCATCTTTTAATTAAGGGCCAGGTTCCAGGGTGCAGTGCTCTTCCTTTTTAGTGGGTGCTATCACTTCTAAAGGTAACAATTATTTTCTGCTCAGAGGAATTAAACAAACAAACAAAAAACTCGCAAGGCATTTAAGGTTTAAAAAAAGCAATCCTGTTTCAATACAAAGGTCTTGTGCAAAGGAGGATGGCTCTCCACATGAATCAAGTGGCAAAGTCCAGACATCTAGGGCACTGTACTTCTGTAAAAGGAGACACACCAGGAAATGCCCAAGCTCAGGAGATAGCAGTACTGGGGCAGTGGGAAGCATTGTTGAAATGCAAAGAGAGAGAAGAGCTGGCCAACAAGGCCTTAAAGCTCAAGAGGAGGCATTTTTAATTAGAAACTTGGAGTGACTTGGATCAAAATTACATGGGAAGCCTGGATGCGGTGGCTCACGCCTGTAATCCTAGCACTTTGGGAGGCCGAGGTGGGCAGATAACTTGAGGTCAAGAGTTTCAGACCAGCCTGGCCAACATGGGGAAACCCCATCTCTACAAAAACTACAAAAACTAGCTGGTGTAGTGGCGCACACCTGTAGTCCCAGCTACTTGGGAGGCTGAAGCAGGAGAATCAGTTGAGCCCAGGAGGCAGAGGTTGCAGTGAGCCAAAATTGCACCAGTGCACTGCAGCCTGGGTGACAGAGCAAGACTCTGTCTTAAAAAATAAAAATAAATAAATAAATGAATAAAAATTACACGGGAAGATCTTGTTATTCAGTTTAAGGTTCATTATTTATGTTCCCAGTATTTATGCACAAACCTATTGTATTAGTTTGCTAGGGCTGCCGTGATAAATTACCACAAACTGGTTAGCTTAAACAACAGAATGTTAAAGTTCTGGAGGCTAGAAGTCCAAAATCAAGATGTTGACCAGGTTGTTTTCTTTTGCGACCAGTGTAGGAAAATCTGTTCTAAGCCTCTTTCCTTGGTGTGCAGGTGACCGTCTTCATGTCACATGCTGCTTCCCCTTTCCATAGGGCAACAGTCATATTGAATTAAGGCCCACCCTAATGACATCATTTAACTTGCTTACCTCTGTAAAGACGCTGTCTCCAAATAAGACCACATTCTGAGGTACTGGGGTTACGACTTCAACATATGAATTTGGGGGGTGCCAGGACACAGCATCTGGATTATAGAAGGCACAGTCCTTATTCACAAAGAGTTTATCATCCCATTTTGAGGTCAGGATTTAGTCACAGGACACATTCAGAACACCCTTTAGGGAATGTAATCAAATGATAAACTCTTTGTTTTGGCCAGGAAGCCTTTAGAGCAGTGGCTTTGAAATTTCATGTTCACAGTCCCCTTCACAATTACTGCCACATCTTGATGCTACTATTTACTTGATGCTTTTTCATCTTTGCTCTTTTTACTTAAGTGAGTTTACCTCAGTCCATTAATGGAAAACCAGTATCCCTGCCAAAAATAGAAAGTAAATTTAAAACTAAACACATTACAATTAAATTTTAAAATACTGCCCATGAATCATATGAAATCCTTTTACCCCAGTTCAACATAGCCCTAAAGGCTGGAAGGAGCCCTCTGAATTAGGAAATTATTAGACAACTTTGGTCCAAATTCTGTCACCATCATCTGTCATGGGTAAGCAACTTAACCTGTTAACTTCCTCCTCTGGTTCCCACCATCAGGTGGCACAGTTAATCAGGTGGAGAGCTGCCCTAAGAATTATATGAAATATGAAATAACATGAAATAGAGCTGGGCATGATAGCTCTCTCCTGTACTCTCAGCAGTTTGGGAGGCCCAGGCTGGAGGATCACTTGAGGCCAGGAGTCCAAGACTAGCCTGGGCAACATAGAGAGACCCTGTCACTACAAAAAAATTAAAAAATTAGCCAGGCATGGTGGTGTACTGCCTGCAGTCCCAGCCACTCAGGAAGCTGGCGTGGGAGGATCGCTTGAGCACAGGAGCGTGAGGTAACAGTGAGCTATGATTGTGCCACTGCACTCCAGCCTGGGTGACAGAGCAAGACCCTGTCTTTTTTTTTTTGAGATTGAGTCTCACTCCATTGCTCAGGCTGGAGTGCTGTGGTTCAATCTTGGTTCACTGCAACCTCCGCCTCCCAGGTTCAAGCAATTCTCCCGCCTCAGCCTCCCAAGTAGCTGGGATTACAGGCACGCACCACCATGCCCGGCTAATTTTTGTATTTCTAGTACAGACAGGGTTTCAAATGTTGGCCAGGCTGGTCTCAAACTCCTGACCTCAGCTGATACACCCGCCTTGGCCTCCCAAAGTGCTGGGATTACAGGTGTAAGCCACTATGCCCAGCCGACCCTGTCTCAAAAAAAATTATATGAGATAATATTATTAGAAGAGCTCTCTCAATATAAAAGCACTATAAAAATATTATCATGGATAAAATGGACAGCAGATGAAAAACTTGAACCCTTACTTCTGCTCTTTTCCACTCTCTAATCTGGAGCTCTCCCTGTATTCTCTGAGGTTTCCTACAGTTACACTGCCCACCCACACCAGCCTGCACTTCTCTTAGCCTGTTGGCTGGTGCTGGTCTCTATAGGAACGCGGAAGCTGTTCTTAGTGACAGATGACCTCATTTCCATCACCCCGTGCTTCAAGCCTCAAGGACTGAGGCAGGTTCTGCCTTCGTTGTGTGTTGCTGGTGATCACTACTCTGCAGCTCACCTCTGCACTCAGCTGTACCCCACCAACACAGTCATCAAAAAGCACTGAGAAGACAGTCCCCTGATTTTCTCTTCTTTGCTGCTTTTGAGTGAAATGCTTTGCTTTTCCATAAATAGTTCAGAGCCTCACGCCACGTGAATATTTCTTCAAAAGTGGTTCTCTCCAGGGGACTTGAGCACAGCTGTCAGTTAGCTTGACTCAGAAGCAACAGACCAGAGAAAGGCAACATTTCCCCCAACAGCACTGTTTTGTATCCCACTTTACTCAGCCAGAGTCAGCTCAATTTCACCTCTGAATCTGAGACTGAAACCCTACCTGTCCTCCATTCCTGTAACATCTCCATTTCCAACTTGAAAAATAAAGCCAAACAAATCTCAGTATGTGTTAGGATCTTCTCCCCTTCTAACTTCAAAGATAAAATGTGCTTAGGAGGCAGGGAAGGGCTGATTGAGCTGGTATCGCCATGATCTGGTGCGAACATTCTGTGAGTGTGGAGTGTCTCTCTTTCCCTCAAAGGGGCCTTCCTGAGTCCTAGAGAGAGGACCCATTTCTGGAGACTTGCACTTGCAAATTCCCCTGAGGTGGTCACTAGCCCTAGACACTAGGCTTCAGGACCACACACTGCCTCTTTCTGCCAGGGTCTTCCATCTGGCCTCTGAGGCCCCTGGGTAACATCAGCCCCTGGGGACTCCTTTCCAGCAGGAGTAACAGTGCCCCAACACCAGCTTTGTTGTGGGCGGATCCCCCACACCTGGTCCACAAGAATCATGTGTTCTTGCCCCAACAACTCAAACCGTGCAGGTTATTGTCAGCACAGCCCCTCTCACTCTGAGTTCCAGCCACAGCCTCTCACCTTGGGAGTCTTCAGGTGTGGGTCGGATATCAGTCCACTGCAGACAGCACTCATGAAGCTCTTAGAGCAGTTCCCTTCATGCCTCTCTCATCTGACTTAAGGTAGAGGGAAGTACCCCTGCTGAGGCCCTGAAGTGAAAGGTGACAGCCATACCCAAAGTCCAAAGTGAGATGCCTCACTGTCCAAGCAGGACATGGGAAGAAGGTGGTCCAGAATCATTCTCATGACCCTTACCTGGCTACCAGGTGAGAGAGGAGTTGTTGATTTCATAGGGGATTTCTCTGGGGCCACTGTCTATGTTCTGGTGAACCTGTTATCTTTGTCAAAAACATATACATACACTGAAAAGAAGCAGGGTACTTATATTCCTCGGTAGGAGACTGGATGTGCATGTTAAAAGTGTAGTAGGAGTCAAAATCTTGTACAAGGTTTCCAAGCCTATGAGATTGAAAAAATGGCATTTCTACCAACAAAAACAGGGGAATCAAGAACTGGTTTTGCTTGTCAGTCTGTTCGTTTTGAACAAACTGAGTTTGAAAGTGAGTAGCATATTTGGAGAGAAATGATCCTGGGAGCTTTAGACAGAGGTTGGGATTCAATAGGGGTATGCTGGGACACTGGCTCTCTGAGGGTGGGAAAGCCCTGATGTGTAGTGTTTGCTGCTTCCTGTGGTGTAAATGCTCTCATCACAGCTGACTTCCTGCTACCAATGTGCACGCGCTGAATGCGGAGCTGAGCTTTCGTGCATGACATGCAGAATGGGCTCCCAGGAGCCAGTAAGAGATGGCTCCAGGCACCTTTGGTTGGAGATGAAGCTTTCTGCTTAAACTGGCCTCTTAAAAGGAAGGACATCCACAACAAAGCCTGAAGAATATTTAGAATAAGGAAAGAAACAAGTTTCTGTAAAAATGAAAGGATTGGCCAGAAAACTGGGAGATCCAGGACAGTGTCACAGCCAATGAAGAAAAAAGTCTCAAAAAGAAGGGGCAAAAAACAGTATCAAAGGGTGTTGGGAGTTGAAGATTAACAAAAGGTTTAGTAATATGACTTTTAAGAGTTATTGTTGATTTCCAAGTGCATGGTTTTACTACATAGTAGGGATAGAGGGGTTCTAGTTGTAATTTCTCATAAAAATAAGAATTTTCTATTTGAATTTTATTTCTTCGTATCTTTCTCTTAATAGAGATAGCTTTTCTTACTAGAGATATTAAAGAAATTATGCTGAAATATTTTAGCTTATAGACACTTGCATTGGTCACACTGACCTTTAGAAAACAATAAATTACATCAGTTACAGTTTAGAGAAAGATGAATAAGTTTTAAATTTTGTGGCAAAGAAATGTTTGTACTATATACAATCATGTTAGATCATCTCACTCTCTCCTATGCCTAGGGCTTATATAAGCAAGCACTCAGCCCTGTGGATTTAAAATCCCAAGGACAGTGTGCTGCACTAAAAAGGAAACATAAGAGATAACAGAAAAAAAAGTATTTCTATGTATTTGATCATAAAGATCACCTAAAAAACTGTGGCAGCTTTACAAAAACAGTATTGGTGAGATATTTTAAATGGTGCTATTAAAAAACTAGCAAAAAATTATAAATTAAACCTCTATGAGCCTCCATCTAAGAAACTGAATCATCATATTCTACTGAATCTTGGAGGATCAGATTCATGTTCAGTGGGAGGCCCAGTAAATGCCCATTTAACATATTTCAGTGTAACCACACAAGCCTACTGGGTGCAAGAGAGGAGACTGCCAAAGGGGACAATTGAAGCAGCATGGGAACAATTCCAAACCCTGCATGTGTGACCCAAGAGGGAACGTGAAATATACAATTCTTCCAAGTATCCCGCCAGGCTGCAGGGAATTTTAGTTTTTGATGACAAGGGCTTTGTTGTTATTATTTGTTTGTTTTCTTATAAAAACAGCCCATAAACACAAGCTAACTTCTTCTCTGGCACTCAGTCTGAGACAGCAGTCTGTTCTAAAGCTGGAAGAAAAACCTGCCATTGAATTTGGTGTTAAGTCATATTGCTTTCCTAAGGAGTTTTCAGGGGTAATTTTGGCTATACTAAAAAATCACCTTCAGGAAGTGGCTTTAGCAACTAATTCCTTTTAAGAAGCAACTCCACGATGAAGGAAATTCCTATTAGGCACTGTATTTTTCCCTGTTGTTTTACTGAGCAACCAGGTACACATTACTTAATCCATCTAAGCCTTCGGCTTCTAATTTGTAAAATGAGACCGATAGAGTCAATGATCATTAATTTTAATTCTAAATTTAAAACCTTTATGGCTCTATATTTTAAAATACACTTCAACAGATAAATAATATTTTAATGATTCCAAATGATGAAAAATATCATACTTCACTGCTAGCATTCAATTTCCTTAAATAAGTAATATAGTTTCCTTAGATTTGAGTGAAACTTATTTAAAACATAGAATTGTGGAGATTCCAAAGACAGCATCACATAATAAGATGTCACTAAGATGACAATGTTGCTGCTTGCCCTAGCAGTGTTGATGCAGTTAGAAAGAATTTTACAAGTAATAATCCTGATTATTTTTAATTAAAAAAATTTTTAGAGACAGGCTCTTGCTATGCTGCCCAAGCTGGACTCAAACTTCTGGGCTCAAGTGATCCTCCAGCCTCAGCCTCCCGAGTAACTGGTACTACTGGCAAACAATGCTGATTTTTCAAAAGAATTTTATTAGTTGCATAGCACTCCATTCAGGCAAATGAATCACATGATGGACCAGAAAACTCCAAGTTACCTTACATATGCTGACCAGTAACCTTGCTCAAATCAGCAGTTACATCGAGTCATGTGCATAGCACAGTTCACCTTGTTTATCTCCTTGAAATGTCTCAGAAATGACAGGTTTTGGCAGTTAAAGTGAAAAGAGAAAAAGTGGCTGTCATGGAGCCCCAAACTAAGAATTTAACCTCTAGATGTTCGCTGAATTCTTAAAGCTTTCCTTTTCATGGTGAATGCTTTACAATGTCAAAAATATGCCACAGACTTACACTTAAAGAAAAAAAACCCTACTATTTACTTGGATGCCTTAAAAAGATACATAGTAAATATTTAGATTCCTGTTAGTTAATTTAATGTAAATTCCCAGTTGGAAATTTCACATTTTTTAGGTTAGTCATTCATTAACATATTTGAGTCTAATAGTATAGCTTAGTGCTATAAATATAGTCCCCAAAAAAGCAGTACTTAATTTTGTAGAGGGAAAGGATGATCACTTCTTTTTTTTTTTTGAGATGGAGTCTCGCTCTGTTGCCCAGGCTGGAGTGCAGTGGCACCATCTCGGCTCACTGCAAGCTCTGCCTCCCGGGTTCACGCCATTCTCCTGCCTCAGCCTCCCGAGTAGCTGGGACTACAGGCGCCTGCCACCACACCCAGCTAATTTTTTGTATTTTTAGAAGAGACGGGGTTTCACTGTGTTAGCCAGGATGGTCTCGATTTCCTGACCTCGTGATCTGCCTGCCTCGGCCTCCCAAAGTGCTGTGATTACAGGCGTGAGCCACCGTGCCCGGCCAGATGATCACTTCTTGATCCATCAATAATCTCAAAACAGCACTTGCTTGTACTAGAGGTATAATAACTATATCGCAAATATACTGGTACATATTTCAGAGTGTCAAAAATATAATAGATATTCTTCATGTCAAACAAGTTATAACTTTCAGGAAAACATCTATGACTGCTTAGAGCAACAGATGCACATTTTCGGAAACAAGAGAATAAGAAAAGACCAAAAAATGAGAGTATAAAGCAGTAGACATACTGAATTCAGGAAAATGTTATTTCTATTTAAACATAAAATGCTTTCAATATTGAAGACAGATCCTATAGGTAAGGAAATGGGAAACAAAAGGCTGGTACACTGTAAAAAATTAGGAAAAACCTGCAATGATGACTTATTAACTATGATCCTGAATATAGAGGATATTTAAAAAATTTTTTCAGAAGCCTGGTACATTGTAAAGTTCTAACATTGTTAAACAAACAGATGAATGAATACCAAAGATATTCTGTTCAATAAAATCATTAGTTGAAAGCTACATAACATGGAATCATCCTCAATAAAAAAGTATTTACTCACACCATAATTACTCTAGCTTAAAACCAACTCTCGAATGAATTAATGAATCTGCACAGATAATGCAGCACAGAGAGCTGGGTAAGGTGCTCAGCCTACAACATGAACAAGATGCAGTTAAGGAGTTAAGAGTGCAATGGAAGGAAGAAGCATGGAGAAAGACAAATTATAAATAACACAGTGTAATCAGCACTGAGACAGCGATATTATAAAATACCTAAGGGAGTAGGAAAACAGACTGATTACCCAGAATAGTTAGGTAGATTACCCACAGAGTGGGCGATTTTTCTGAATCCTCACTTAAAAGATACACGGAATTCAGACAGAAAAAGGGAAAGGAACAGGAGGTGTTCTCTTCAAGTACATCTGCAAACCCTTCGGGACAAAAGACTGGCATGTGCACATACAATTTCCACCTCCTGGAATGACCTTTCTTGTGTGTGAATGCCAAAAAACATCTCAATTTCACATGAAGTCCAAATATCATCTTCTTGGTAAAGCCTTTCTATACCCTTCCCATCTCTGAACCCATCTCAGGCATTAAACTGCCCCTTCTCCATGCTCCTGTGGTCTTTGTAATATTGTTCTGAATACAGTGCATTACAATTATTTCCTTCCTACTTATATCTCACCTATTATGAGCTGATTCATTTTTTATCCTATTGCCTAGTGGCAGCCACACAGTAGGTTCTCAACAAATGTTTGTTGGGGATGTGTGTAGTGGGGTGGCTACCTGGCTACTCGCGTATCACAATTACAAATGTTATCTTGTTCCACCTTCAGTGCAATCTTATGAGGTTGGTATATTAAGAAATTGAAGCTCGGAATGGTTCAGCAACTCTTCCAAGTGCCAACTACTGTCCCGTACCCCCACTCCAAAACGATCCTCAGAGCCACTGTATTATTACCCAATGTTGAAGTTAATGGAGACTCTATCCAGTTCCAGCTTGTTTGTAGGTAAGGCATTACGATGGTTCTGGTAATGATTTTATGAACTACAGTAGCTAAGAAAATGTGATCATTTATACTATTTGACTGTTGTTTTACACATTTTGATGAAGGAAGAGAAATATCATGCTTTCTCAATGAACATACATTTGGAGTTTTGCAATTCATAATTTAAATAAAATAAGTACAAAAACTCAAACTATGAAAATGTGGAAGAATCCCTTAACGTCACCACTAAATCTGAGTTACAATACTCTGGTTTCTAAACTTAAAACAGGTTGAAAATCTGAGTTGCTCAATGCAGTTTCTCTGAAGTCCATATGAACTGCACACTACTGTGAGGCAAGTCTGTATTTATTCAACAATTCAACAATAATGTCAGCCAGATTGTGGGAAACAATTGACGGAAAAAAATATAATGACTTTGATAGTTATCACAGCTCCACTGTAACTCAAAGATTGCAAGCGTAAGATTGGTTTAAGGCCTTGACTTTACAAATAATGATAAAAATAGCTGGTGCAAAATGAAATAGAGAACACATGAGAGCCTGTTAAGGGGAAGACCCACTGGAGAAAATGAAGAGAAGATTTTGGATATATCTGACACCTTTCATCATAACCTACATTAATCAAGAAAAAAATATATTCTTTGGTTTGGTAAACCAACAAGGATTTGAAGTTAAATTGTAAACTTCACCTGTGTGCTTCCATTTATTTTATAATGCAACATTTTTTGTATGTATGTGTTCTATAAGAAAATCAAGCCCAGTTGTACTCTGGTGCTGCTGATTCAGATAAGTCAGTTCTTTTTTTTTCATCTTCAAATTGTTTATTTATCCAAAAGATTACTGTTTTCAGCCATTATGTTATGGAGGTTTGTTACATAGAATATGTCTATGAAAAAAACACAATAATAATAGTAATGACTAATGTGGAAGAAGGGGTTTAAAATAGGATGGAATTAAATGTCGTCAACAATAAAAGAGAAGATGGGAAAGAAAGTGATTGGAATGAAAAGATCCTAAGATTCTTGTACAGTTTGAGGCACTGAAAGATCCCAATTCATTATATGCTAACTCAATTACATATGTCAAAAATTGAAAGGATAAACTTTTAAGAGAATAGACTAGAATGTTTAAATTCCAAGCAAATATGCTCAGGAAGAATGTGAGATGTGGGAGTAAAAACAACTCATCATTTCCATTGAGGGTATAAAAATAGGGGGAAAAAACTAAGAAAAAGCATGATATGCAGAAAATAAATAAGATGTTGTAAAAAGTCCAAACATATCAAAAGTAAAAGCAGATGTAAAAAACTCTACATGTACCAATTTTAAAAGATGCTCACTTAAATTAGATTAAAAATCATAAAGCTTTACATGATTTACAGCAGATAAATCTAGAGCATGCCAAAGAATGGCTGAAAGTAAATTGATGGGAAAAGATACACTAAGCAAAAACTAACTGAAAGGAAGTTGATGTGACAACTGATAACAGACAAAACAGACTTTAAGAAATATAGCAGGATAAAATAATTGCATTATAAGTAACTTTATAGGTGTGTCCACTATTTAGTCCTTAAGAAAGTATAAAAAGCTAATTATAACAAACACGATAAAATCAGTATGTATAGTAAGGAATTATTTTGTGGGTTAGTAATGGTTGCAATCAGAACAAAGAATTTCTAAACCGCATGCAAAAGCTATCTTAATTCAATCACAAAATATTTACAATTATTTAACATTTACTAATTTTGGCTATATGAGTCTCCTTTAAGGAAAAGTGACACAAATAAGCATGGGGGGCAATAAAAATACAATAAGGGTAATGTTTCTAGAATCATCTCAATCTATGGAGAGAAGAATGCCTGTATCAAGTATCGCTTGCAGTCAATATGTTAAAGCATAAAATACACTAAAGCTTCTTTGGCTACACCAACCTATGCAATTTTCGAAAACCCATCTAATATCCAGGGGAGTCTTTCATAACCATTTTGAACATGTGGACTCCTCTGTGGACCAAATCTTCCACACGCATATTAAAAGGAAGATCCGTGATAGTCTGAGATACCAAGGTGATCCTGTGAATTCAGATTCCACTAAGCTATTTTTCATCTATAATGGTCATGCACTGTCCTTGGTACTGCCCTGGGTATGCCTGCTCATTCAGTCTCTGAACACCTTGCAAAGTGTATTCCAAAGTATGAGACTTTCTAACCCCTAGTATCTATTCTTGCAGTGACCATACAAGGATGCCTTAAGCTTTGAAACAGACTGGAGGACCAGACACATTGTTAGCAAGACATTCTACTATGGGAGAGACACTGATTGCTCACTGAATAGCCAAAGGCTTCTATGCATTTCCCAGTCCCCTTGCAGTTAGACAAAATTTTGCTACCAATGCTGAACAATGAGCTCTGAGCCGAAGTGAAATGTGTGGCTTTGGTGTCTAAGTATTTAAGAGCTAGCATAAGAGTTTCCAGCTCTCTCTTCCCCTGACACTTGCCCAAAGAGGTCATGTGTCCAGATGGCATAATGATAAAATGGTTGAGCCTTTAATAATCTAATATGGAAAAAATAAAGAAGGTGATGAGCCTGAGTCCCTAAGTGACAGTATGAATCAAGCCCCCTGCCAACCCACACGAGACATGCAGCATTAGCAATAAATAATCCTTTGTTCTGTTAAGCCCTGAGGATTTAGGGTTAGTAAATTATTGCAGCATAATCTGACTAGGTGAAAAGAATTTAGAGTTAAGTTGTTCCAAAAAACAATTACATGTTCAAAGCTCTTACTTTCTAAGAGCATTTTAAAATTTTAAAAATATGACCTAAAACAACTTTTCTTCACCAGGAATCATGATAAAATATCAAAAGAACTTAGGATCGGGCACTCTTAACTATATTTGATAGCTATTCTGAAGATGAAAAACCTAATGCATTATTTGTTCCATTTGATTGAATTTCAGATTAAATTGTGGATTTCCCATCACCTTGTAAAGCATGTTGATTTAGAACCTAAATAATACTCAAATTAAAATACTGTATTATTTAGCATTCACATTTTAAGTGCTTATATAATTTCTAGAGCTCTGCTTCAAATAAATGAATTTTGTTTTCCTTAGGTAGAAGTGGCCCATTGTGTCACTTTAAACTGGAAATCCCTTCTTGGGAATTCATTCAGTGGGTAAGTTTGAGCTGCAGCTTCAGGCTACCAGTAAAATGATTTTATTATTATTAATAATTACCAAAATATTAATGATAGTTTATAATAATAACCTTACAATCTGCCCAAGCACTGTGCCGAGCATTTTATATGCAATATCTCATTTAATTCTCATAATATTGGTGGTTTAAGTCATTTTTTTAAAAATGGAGAAATTCAGGTTTAAAAAGTTAAATTATCTGCCCATGGTCATTCAGCTAGTCATTCACTGAATTTACTAATGTGTCTAACTATAGCGCCTGTGATCTCAACAATTGATAACGTCAGAGCTTCTCAAAGTGTGCTGCTGTGACGGTCCTGGGTAGTTCATTGACAAAAGTTATTCCTTAACAGTTAATGCATGTCAGAAAGAAATATACCTAACAACGCAAACCTTTCTCTAACACTATTGCTTAGAACATTGTCAGGGTAGAGAGCATGTTTTGTTTTAATCAAATGAGTTATTTCACTTCACCTCCAGGTTCATCTATGTTGTCACAAATGAGAGGGTTTCCTTCTTTTTTAATGAATGTATAGTATTCCATTGTGTGTGTGTGTGTGTGTGTGTGTGTGTGTTTATCACATTTTTCTTATCCATTCATCCACTGATGGACACTTAGGTTGACTGCATATCTTGGCTATTATAAATAGTGCTGCAATAAACATGGGAATCCAGATATCTCTTCTGTATGCTGACTTCATTTCCTTTGGATATGTATACCCATAAGTGGGATTGCTGGGTCATATAGTATTTATATTTTTAATTTTTTGAGAAGCCTACATAGAAAACTCTTTTTATGATGCTTTGCTTTATTGCACTTCACAGATAATGTGTTTTTTTTACAAATAGAAGGTGTGTGGAAACCCCACATTGAGCAAGTCTGTTGGTGCCATTTCTTTTCCAACAGCATATGCTCACTTCATGTCTCTGTGTCACATTTTGCTATTTATTGCAATATTTCAAGCTTTTTCATTATTATTATGCCTGTCGTGATGATCTCTGATCAGTGGTCTTTTGATGATATTATTGTAATTGTTTTGAGGCACCATGAACTGTGCCCAAGACTATAAACTTAATCAATGAATATTGTGTGTGTTCTGACTGTTCCACTGACCCAACGATCCTCTTTCTCCCTCTCTTCAGCTGTCCTAACTCCTGAGACACAACAATATTGAAATTAGGCCAATTAATAACCCTACAATGGCCTCTAAGTATTTAAATGAAAGGAAAAGTCACACATCTCTCACTTTAAATCAAAAGTTAAAAGTGATTAAACTTAGAGAGGAAGGCATCTCAAAAATTGAGACAGGCCAAAAGCTAGGCCTCTTGCTTCGAACAGTTAGCCAAGTTGTAAAAGCAAAGGAAACGTTCTTGAAGGAAATTTAAAATGCTATTCCAAAGTACATACGAATGATAAGAAAGTGAAACAGCCTTATTATTGATATGGAGAAAATTATAGGAGTCTGGAGAGAAGATCAAAATAGTCAAAATATTCTCTTAAACCAAGCCTAATCCAGAGCAAGACCCTAACCCTATTCAATTCTATGAAGGCTGAGAGAGGTAAGGAAGCTGCAGAAGAAAAGCTGGAAGCTAGGAAAGGTTGATTCATAAGTTTAAGGAAAGAAGCCATCTCTATAGCATAAAAGTACAAAGTAAAACAGCAAGTGTTGATGTAGAAGTTGCAGTAAGTTATCCAGAAGATCTAGCTAAGATCATTGATTAAGGTGGCTACACTAAACAAATGATTTTCAATGTGGGCAAAACAGCCTTCTATTGGAAGAAGATGCCATCTAGGACTTCCATAGCTAGAGGAGATGTCAATGTCTGGCTTTAAAGCTTAAAGAACAGATTGACTCTCTTGTTAGGGGCTCATACAGCTGGTGACTTTAAGTTGAAGCCAATGCTCATTTACCATTCCAGAAATCCTAGAGCCCTTAAGAATTATACTAAAGCCACTCTGTTGGCACTCTAGAAATGGAACAACAAAGCCAAAATGACAGCACATCTGTCATTTAGATTTACTGAATATTTTTACGGAATATTTTGCTGAATATTTTAAGGCCACTATTGAGACATACTGCTTGGAAAAAAAAAAAAAAACTGCGACAAGTCACCTAAGAGGTCTGATGAAGATTTACAAGGAAATTAATGTTGTTTTCATGCCTGCTAACACAACACTCATTCTGTAGCCCATGGGCCAAGGAGTAATTTTGAATTTCAAGTCTTATTATTTAAGCAATACATTTCTTAAGGCTATAGCTGCCATAGATAGGAATTTCTCTGATGAATCTGGGCAAAGTAAATTAAAAACCTTCTGGAAGGGATTCACCATTCTAGATGCCATTCACAATTCATGGGGTAGACTAAAATATCACCATTGACAGGAGTCTGGAAGAAGTTGATTCCAACCCTCATGGATGACTTTGAAGGGTTCAAGACTTCAGTGATGGAAGTCACTGTAAATGTGGTAGAAATAGCAAGAGAACTAGAATTAGAAGTGGTGCCTGAAGATGTAACTGAGTTGCTCCAATCTTATGATAAAACTTGAATGGATAAGGAGTTCCTTCTTATGGGTGAGTAAAGAAAGTGGTTTCCTGAGATAAAATCTACTCCTGATAAAGAAGCTGTGAACATTGTTAAAATTACAACAACAAAAAAAATTAGAATATTCCATAAACTGAGTTGAAAAACTAGCAGCAGGGTTTGAAAAGATTGACTCCAATTTTGAAAAAAGTTCTACTGTGGGTAAAATGCTATCAAATAGCATTCATGCTACAGAGAAATCTTTCGTGAAAGGAAGAGTCTGTCAATGTAGCAAACTTCACTACTGTCTTATTTAAACACATTGTGCAGCTACCCGAACCTTCAGCAACCACCACCCTGATCAGTCAGCAGCTATCAACATGGAGGCAAGACACTCCACCAGCAAAAACATGATGACTTACTGAAGCTCAGATGATCATTAACATTTTTTTATGATAAAGTCTTTTTAAGTTAAGGTATGTACATCAGTTTTTTTTAGACATAGTGCTACTGCACACTTAATATTTAGATTACAGTATAGTGTACACACAACTTTTATATGCACTGAGAAACCAAAAAACTGTGACTGGCTTTAATTTGCTATTCACTTCATTATGGGGATCCAGAACCGAAACCACACTATCTCTAGTTATGCCTGTATTGTTTTCCATAATGGCTGTACTAATTTACATTCCCACCTACAGTGTGTAAGGGTTCCCTTTTCTCCAAATGTCACCAACACTTGTTATCTTTTGTCTTTTTGATAACAGCCATTCTAATAGGTGTGGGGTGATATCTCATTGTGGTTTGAATTTGCATTTCCATGATAATTAGTGATGTTGATTTTTTTTTTTAATATACCTGTTGGACATTTGCTTGTCTTCTTTTGAGAAGTGTCTATTCTGGTCCTTTGTCAATTAGATAGTTTAAAGGAAAATATTAACACTATAGCCAATCATCTAAAACTGCAAAAAATCAAGAAGGTGGTGAGCAAGTACTTAACAGTTGGGAAATACGAGACTACAATTCTCAGCACAGGAAAGAAAAATGAAGACTTGGAACATAGGACACTGAAGTTCCAGCCTTGACTCTTCCCCCAACAAGCTGTAGGGTATCATCATTCTAGACCTTAGTTATTTATTTATAAAACATAAGCTTAAACTTTGGGATCTTAAAGCTCTAAGATACATGATGATAATGCTTTGGTTTACTATTGCAATCTTACTTTATTTTATTCTCCAAATGTGAAGAAATATGAAAGATGTCAAAATATATTACCATGATACTTTTTTAAGACTGACAGTCAAAATACAGTTGTTCTGCCATTCACTTTTGAAGACATAATCAATCCATAGACACTGAGAGGTCTACTTAAAGTGTGGTCCAGAGAAATGCTGGTAAATTATTTGTTACCAGTCCATGACAATGTAAGAAGCTTGAGCCAGAATCTGAAATACTTACATCAAGAAACTTCAGATGATTTTTTTTCATAGCAACATTTTCTCATCGAAGAAATCAGTATATTGATTTACATTTTGGAGAGAGCACCTTATCTGTTCACAGATCAGTAACAGTTTGCAGACCAGTACTTTGAATAACTGCTGGTACATAGCATAGTATACACTTTTACATTTTCGTTATGCAAAATTAAAAAATAAATAATTGTCTTAATGTGCACTTTCGTAGTTCTGTTAAGTACCTGAAGTTGCCTACAAATGAGAAATGGCAAATGGAGCCTTTTGAAGTGTTTGTTTTTCTTTTGAACAGCCAGAAAAATGAGCATAGGTCCAAAGGTGAAGGGGAATTAGATAGTGAGCCTGAAACAAATTTACTATCATCTACATCCTCTTTAAACTGTTTCCATCTGATTCTTCATGGAAAGCTGTTTGTGTTGGATGACCTAAGTGTCTTTGTATAAGATAAGCATTTGGTTCTTTTTATTTGGTGCACTTAGGAGGAGGCAATAAATAGCACTGTTAAATTTGTGAGGAATCAATTCTAATTTTGGAGACCAACAATAAATTATAAGCCTAGTGATTTCCGCAAACCATCTGCAAGGGATTAATTGTTGTAATTTGGAGGTTTGGGCCTATAGCTCCATTGTGATCATCTCTAGAAATCTCAGGGTGTATATGAGGCTTTCTGGAAGGAGGAAATATAATTAGCATATGTTTTGAGAACTGTGTTCACACCCAAAGTCTTCTCAAATAATGCTTTGATATTTTCAACTTTTTTCTTTGTATTTCCAATAGGGCCTATTTACTGCCTAAAAATGCCTAAAGAAGGATTTACTTTTCTGATTCACATGCATATGTTTTCCCTCCAGATTAGAAGTGCTACAAGTCATCTGGAGTGAGTTGTACAGTTCAAAACATTCTGCACAATGAGCCAAACAAAAACAAAACTCACACTTCTAGAGGGGAAGAAAATGTAAGCCAAGAGAAACACAATCAAAATGCAGAGTGTGCCAACAAGCCACACCTCGTCAGCTTGATGTTCTACTAAATTCCTTCTCCTTTGGGACTTATTTCTATAGAGACCATCTCTCTGTTCCATAACTAAAACTAGAAGTTGCTAGGAAACAGGCTTCTCAGGACACAACTGAAGGGGAGAGGCTGCTTCCTACCAAAAGGTATAGAAATCTGAAGCTATTTCTGACATACATGCTATTGTTACGAAACCTGGATTCTCAGCACATCTATTTCACAGAGCCCAAGAGAGAATTTATTATGCATGTTCCTGTTTAGCCACACAGTATTAAATTTGTGACTTAACCTGAACCTCAAAAATCTTTTCCTGTTCTAGCATGGTGTTTCCTCTTTTCTTTCACTTCCTCTCCAAATGTATCATTTTACCTACTTTCATTTAATAGTATCCAAAAAATTGTTTTGCACATTTTCATGTTATTAATTACTCATTTGAAAGATTATTCCCAACACAGTATTGGTCCTATTAAAGCACTGAAAATTTCCACATGGCTTGGAGTTACTGTGTTCAGAATTTTTATATCAAAATTGTTGTTGCTTCTTTTAAAAACAACCTGGTGGCTTTCACAGATATTAAAATAGTCCTTAACACTCTCCACGAAGTAGTAACTACCAAAGCAGCCCACTCATTCTTTATCTTGCCTTTAAAAGCAGTTGTTACCCTTTTCCCTTTCTTGTATTTCTAGCTGTGTTAGTGGCTCTATTAGGAACAACTGCAGGTACAAGAAAGCCTGCTGCTGACTTAAACCAAGAGAAGAACATTTTTTCCCACATATAACATGAACTTCAGAGTGCCAGTCCAAGATCTATTTTCTGCTCTGCCATCCATAGCTTTTTATTCTCTTGATTGATGCCTCATGATTGCTACATGGATGCAACAGCTCAAGAAATCGTGTCTTTTCACCAGAGTTCCAAGTACAAGAGAAGAGGAAGTTTAAAAGACTCTTCATGAAACTCTGGCTTTTCATTGGAAAGCAAAGTTCCCCCAAAGGTTTCCCATTAGATCTCATGGGCAAGAACCGAGTCACATGTCTACTTCTAGACTACTCAATGTTTGGATTAGCATACAAGTTTAGACCTTTCCTGAGCCTGGGGGGGGCCTACCTGCCCTGAGATTAAGGACTTACTGCTCACAATGACCCTATCAGGGTTCTGACTACAGAGCGAAGGGGGCAGAAAATGGACCCTTGTGGGGTCTGGGATGCCAGGTCCTCATCCCTCTTTCCTGCTAGGGATAGAAATCTATTAGAAAATACAGTAAGAAGTGACAACATAGATGTAAGCAATCAATTTTATTCAGTTCTTTGGAAATGGCTAGAGGGGAAAATTGAGACCTCTTATCTCCCACCCTAAATCAAATTATAAAGGAACTTCCGCTTCAGGCCTTAATGAAGTAATTAGCACCAGACTAGCTTTCCCAATGTACATAACTGTAAAATTAGAAGTAGAAGTGGTTTTCAGACATTGGAAAACAGATGGTATTAGACTATAATCTCAGAGAAAAGAGAAACTTATGAGGTGACTCTATGATCACCCAGATCTCAGATGGAGGACAATTTCCTGAGTGTAGAGCAAGAAGCTAGAGTCCATAGCAGTTCTGCTGAGCTTGGATACAGAGATCTGAGTCTGAGTCAACCGGAGTACTAGAATCTCCAGGCCAGGGCCCTGGAAAGAAAAGAGCTCTAGAAGGATGAGGGCCAGAAGTCCACAAAGGGGATCCCCTACAAATCTTGGCCAAGGTCTGGGGTGCACATGCTCAGAAAGAAATGACCAAGGCTTTATAGAGAGCAGCTTTACAGGGCTGAGAGGAAAACAGAGTGACCAGAGGTTAAGCAGTGCTGGTGAATGCTGGAGCTACAGCCCAGCCAGAGTGAAGAGACCTGGCTAGCACTCCAGGTATCCAGCTAAGACATCAGAAATGCTGCTGCTCAGGAGTAAGCAGAATGTACTAATATAAGGCCTACCATACACTGATTTTACCACAGCCCAAAAGCAAGACCTAACAAAATTCACAGGGGAGACCAAATTCGGAGGATGAATTCCATCAAGTTAGAAATAGTAGAAAAATACACTGGCCTTTCCACAGATCCAGTCTAACAAAGTGTAAAAAATCAAACCTATACAAGCTCAAAGAAATAAACCTGCTTATTAGAAAAAAAATCAACACTGTTATTCCACAGAATTCAGAATTTCTACCACATAGAATCCTTAATATCCAGTGTAAAATCAAAAAGTGCTAGCTATGCAAAGAAACCAAAAAATAAGAACCATGGTCAATGAAAAAAAAAATAGTCAATAGGAACTGATCATGAGATGGCCTAGATGTTGAAATTAGAAGACAGAATCTTTAAAGTAGCTATATTCAATTCAGTTTGAAGAACTGAACAAAAATATGATCTGAATGAGTTAACACACAAGAAATCTCATAAGAGAAATGAAAACTAGAAAAAGAGAAATGCATATTCTAGAAATGAAAAGTCAAATAACTCAAAGTTTAAAAATCCATTGGGTGGGACTGACAACAGAATGAAGACAAAAAAAGGGCAAAGTTAGTGAACTTGAAGATAGATAAATAGAAATTATCAAATTTGAATATCAAAGAGGAAAGATGTTGAAGGAAAATGAACGAGAGCCTCGGGGCCTTGCAGAACAACATGAAATGATTCTAACATATGCATAACTGGCATCTCAGAAAAAGAAGAAAAAAATAAAAACAGAAAAAATATTTGAAGAAATAGTGGCCAACATTTGTCCAAATTTCATCAAAAACATTAACTTACGAAGCTCAGAGAATATCAACTGGAATAAATAAAAAGAAAATCACACCTAAGTATAGCATAGACAAACTGCTGGAAACCAAGATAAAGAGAAAAATCTTGAAAGTAGCCAAAGGAGGGGAAAAAAGACATGTAACATACAGGGGAACAAAGACACAATGATAACTTACATGAGAAAGACACAGAAGCTTCTTGAAATAAACTGATGAAGAGTTATCATTTTTCAAAAGGGATTTATTTCCTAATTCTGCTTTCCTAGTGACAACCTTGGATTAATTCCAGACTTAGGACTCTGACCTATACTTCTTCCTCTAGAAAGTAAAATATAACAACATCAAGATTTTGTGGGTTTGGTCACTTGGAGATAAGATTCATTGCGGTTGGAATTCCTTAGTTCCTTCCTGATTAAATTTAGACAGGGAAATAAAGCAAGTGTGTGTATGGGAATCAACTTTTTAAGTGATTCTAGCAGTTTAAAGATTAAGTTATTCGTACACAAAATAAATCATCTTATATGAGAAAGTAAAACTGATTATTTCCCAAATAAATATCATAAAAGGATTTTTTAAACTACAATTTGGTATTTGTAGTCTCATATTAAGTCTTCTATTAAGATTATAAAATAAAAGCTAAAATGGTAAAAAATGAGAAAGTCTAAAGAGAAGTTATATGAAGTGCAAAAGAGTGAAATTACATTCAAATCAAAAGGGTTACATCTAAAGTCCCAACAAAACTAAGACTTTTTGTGAACATAATGATACAAATGTAATTTTTAAATTATGTATCTTCCTCAATTTGATTATATTTTAAAACACACTTAGGGAAAATGCTGTGAAGACTTTTCCCCTTTTTTGTTTACCATAAGGAAAAAAAAGAGAGATAACAATTCATTAAAGCTTTGCCCAGTTTAGATTTTTTGCTTTCCAGCATGATTAACCATTAAGAGTTATATAAGTGAATACAAATCAAATGTTTTTATTTCAGTCAATATAAAATTCTTTATCCCAGAGAAAAATAAATTTCAGTGGCTTTAACAATCTAACAAAATTTCAGCAAGAGTGTTGTTTTGCCTCAAACAGGGCTTCTCAACAGTGGTGCTATTGGCATTTGGGGCTAGATCACTGTGGAGGGAGGCTGTCCTTTACATTGTTGGATGTTTTACAGCACCCTGGCTTCATATCCCCCTACCCAGTTGTGACAACCAAAAATGTCTCCAAACCTTGCCGAATGTCCTCTAGGGGGCAAAATCTTCCCTGGCTAAGAAGTACTGCCATAAACAGATGGGTCTTTTTTTCCTCTGATTTATTCGTTAAAAAAAAAAGGGCGGCGGGGTGATGGGGGGATGCTTGGCTTACAACTTACATTGAAAGCAACAATGTCTTCCTAATATCTGATGCTAAATTTTGGAGAGAATTTTCTTCATTCAATGAAAAAGTTCTCCAACTTTGGAAAATGTTAGATTTTATTATTGGGTTGGATTTCAATTTTCTTTTTGTTTAGTTGGTAGGTTAGATTTTTGCTTTCCAATGTGGCAGACATCGTACTTTTTGGGATGTTTCATTCATCGCTCACTCAGCAAATGTAAGTTCACTAAGAACAACAAGCGTAAATTAGCTAAACAGAGCTGAACTGTTTTTATTAAAGCAAATAGCAATTATTTATAAGTCATTTGTCAGGAAAACATGACACTTCCTTCCCCTAATTGATCTAGAACAGAGTCATGAAATTTAAAAATAAAAAGACATCTTAGGCTACAAGTAGTTCTTAACAAAACTCAAATTTTAGAAAATACAGAGCTTTTAAAATATGTCATCTAAATCTACACGTCTCTTTCATCAGTTTAAAAATGTTAGTAAATGTTAATAGATATCTCTTTCTAAAATGGGACTGCTGATCAAGAGAAAGGTGAAGTTTTATTGGTGCAATTACTTTTGCATCGACCTAAGAGAAAATACTGTAACACCTGCAGGTTCTGAAGGTTCTGACATTTAATGAGGTAGAGATGTAACCACAAACTTCATAATATAAGCAAATGTACTGTTGAATCTCCTCCTCCCAAAGAAGAAAAAAAATAAATTCCCAGAATCTGCTATGTGTATATGTGCATGTGAATTTTTTTCCAGAAGAAAATACAGAATGGTAAAAATGTCAAACTAAAAACTTGTATGCTCTGAGTCACATGCAAGTCCATTCCACTTGACTCACCTATATGATAAAGTCCAATCCAATCACTGGGGTCCACCTCCTCTTTAATGTCCCAGAAGATAATGAGGTTCTGGGCTTGCCCCAGCGTGTACTCGTACATGCTGGCAGTTAAGCTGGAGCGGCTCTCAGAAGTCACCAGGTCGGTGTCGCTGTTGGCCCGCTGCAGGGTCATGTTCTCTGGCATGGAGCTCTGGGCGGCAAGGCTCTGGAGGTTCTCTGGGCTCAATGTGTACCGCATCTGGGGATTTCGACGCCTCACAAAAAGCAGGTGCTCCCGGGCTGAACTAGCCATCCCGTCTGCTTCTCTGGGATTGGCTGCCTACAAAGCTGCAAGAGACAGATAAACATAAAACATTAGTGCTACAATACGAAGAATCAGATTTAAGCTTTCCAGACATAAAGCCTTAAAGGGTGTTTAATAAGCCTGATCATGCAATAATCTTCTGTTGTCAAAATAAAACCTATTATTCTACTGTTAAATGATGATGTCAGAAACAGCTTCTATAGAGTCAAGTCACATGATGGCAAAGGCTGTCACATGCCTGCGACCCTCGATTTCACTTGGCACAGCTTTCTCCTAGCAATCAAGGAGGAGAGGATTTCCTTGCCATCCCTTTTAGGTCTATCCTTTCCCAAACACCCCACGTTCAAACATGGCATCCTCTTCTCGTTTTCCATCCCACACACATATTTATTTGCTGCTGCAATGAAATTTTAAAATAGCGAGACACATGCTAAATACAGTTGAAGTACACCATTAAGTACAAGTTCACTTGCTCAGTTTCCTTAGCATAAGAATGTAACTCACTGAAATCTTTTCAGGAGCTTGCTCAAATGTTACCTCTTCTCCTAAATACAGTGGCCATCACATTTAAAACTGCAGCACCCCAGCATTCCCCATCCCTCCTTTCTTGATTTTTCTCTATAGCAATTTTTGTGATCTAACGTACCATACAATTTACTTATTTATTTGGTTATTGTCTACTTCCCCTGACAAGAATGTAAGTTTCACAAAGGCAGGGATTTTCATCTGTTTTGTTGGCTACTTTATCCCCAGTGTCTACAACAGTGCCTGCTACACGGTACATGTCGATAAATATTTGTTAAATAACAGATGCAGGAAGAGTAAGCATCTTTCTCCTAGATACTTCTTGAAATAACTTTTATCTCCAGTCCCTTTCCTGAGCCTGCCCCTTGCCATCCTGACTTTCTGGCTGGTCCACATTATTTGGGCCATCTGGATCATGATAAGCTATTTCCTTTGGCTCCCGATAAGCTATTTCCTTTGGTTCCAAAGGAACAAGGCCTTCCCTGTTGGAACTTAGACAGCCCCTTTTTGGCTCACTGAGTCTAGTTATAAAATACTTCCAGATACAGACAGAGACTCCAGTACCTCCTGTACTTTAACGCAGCACAACTAAGGTTCTATCTACCAGCGCCTTACCTGTTTGCCATGGGTTTACATTACCTCACTCGGATCTCACTAGCTTTACATAGAATTGATCTGATTTTCTTCTGTACCATCCCTTTCAGAACTACATAATCCACTCATGAATTTATGGATTTCACATTTATTCCGCAATCTTGGTACCTGCCACCATCTTCATTATGCCATGTTTCATCTCAGGGCAAACCCTATTGGGTCCTGGGAAGTCTATGAAAAAACTTTCTGCCACTCACACTACCACTTCTCATATGATATATTTCAACACCCACTGCATGAGTTTTCATTTAAAAAACAAACAAAGTAACCTTGGGTGCAATATTTACATGACAGCTAACGACCTTGGCTACTGAGTCTGAGAGGAGGGCAAGGGAAGATAGGGTTTTTTCTCCCATCCTCCCATTGAGTTCACAGACACTTTGGATGAAGAGGACATGCTCCTGTGCTAGGTTTATAGCACTTGCAAATGTATTTATTCAAATAGTTTCTGCCATAAAGTAGATCTCATACTTTGAGCACTATCTCTTGAATGAAAATAACTTGGACAAGATATCTTTTGTGAAAAGGATAGAAATAAAAATGAACAGATAAGCTGATTTACTCAGTTCAATGGTTTTAAATCCCATATCTCTCTTCATAAAGTTGGCACTTATTTTCTGTATGTGGTCTATGGTAACTCTGATACCATAAAAGAATCCATAATTATTAGAAAATCTCCAATCTATGAAGCTTAAAATACAGGTCAACTTCTAATCTGATAGTTTCAAGAAATTTCATTTTACTGACTTTCAACAGGCCATTATTTCTTTATAAACTCAGTGAGTCATGCAGCACATCAGCTTCAGCAAGAACTATAAATAATCAACTCCTAACACATTGTAGTTGAATAAAAAATGCAGGCTGTATATAACTAAACTACTTCCCTGAAAGAAAGAAATAGGCCACAACCCTTATAGCTTAAAATCACAACAGAAGAAATACTGACAATTATTCCTCTCTAGAAAAAAGTGAAATAACATGTATGTATGCCCACATTACTGTTTTTAAATTATCTGTATTTAAGCAGAGAGACAGGTTAGCACAGCAGCTAAGAGAAAAAGCTCTGAAGCCCAACTTCTGGATTTCGGTTATATCTTTACTTTCTATCACTCTATGATCTTAGACAATTTATTTTAACTCTCTGTCCCTCTGTTTCCCCACCTATCCAGGAAGAACATAACATCTGCCTCATAGGATTTTGGAGAGAACTAAATAAATCAGTACAGATAAAACATTTCAAACAGTGTCTGGCATATAGTAAGTGCTTGGTCAAGTTTAGTTATTAATACCATTATGTGACTACATTCTACTTTAATTATATCAAGAACTGGTTTTAATACTCCCATAATTCCCACCACCCCTTCTACTTAATCAGCATCTTCAGTATTTCAAAGCATAGCGCCTAACAGAAACAAAAGAGCCTTGTAGGCAGTGAGGACCTCAGATATCTCAGAGCCCAAGCTTTGGCCCCATAACACTGACAAGAGCCATTCCCTGGTCTTCGAGCCGGGCCTGGTGGCACGCGCCTGTAATCCCAGCACTTTGGGAGGCCGACGCAGGCGGATCATGAAGTCAGGAGATTGAGACCATCCTGGCTAACATGGTGAAACCCCATCTCTACTACAAAATAGAAAAAATTAGCCAGGCGTGGTGGCGGGTGCCTGTAGTCCCAGCTACTCGGGAGGCTGAGGCAGGAGAATGGCATGAACCCAGGAGGCGGAGCTTGCAGTGAGCAGAGATTGCACCACTGGACTCCAGTCTGGGCGACAGAGCGAGACTCCATCTCAAAAAAAAAAAAAAAAAAAAAGTTGAAACTCAACTTCATCACCAGTAGTGGGTTCATCGTTCATGCAAAAATAACTGTGCTCCTCCTAAGTGAAAAGCATTAAGGATACAACAGAGCAAAAGTCAAAGTCCCTAGTTCAAAAAAGCCTGCATTCTAACAAGAAAAGACACGCAACTAAGGGCCAAAAACCAAATACATAATACATATTTGTTTTCAGTGAAAGAACAAAAAGAGCTAGAAATGTGTGAATCTGCTAGCTTAATTGCACCTGCAAAAATGTATGGAGCATCTACTACTACATGTCTACCATAAAGCTGCAGTGTATGCTAAATAGTAAAAAGAGTAAGGTTTTTTTTTTTTTCAATTTCTTTCTTTTCTTTTCCTAACATAGCCCTTTCCCTGTGGGAACTTGAAATTTTGGGGAACAAAAGCAAATATTCATATATGAGATAATTCAAGCTGGTATCAATGGCACTTTATATACATGTATAATTAGTCTTAACAAATTTGTGGGGACAATAAATGTTGTAGGGCATCTGAAAGTGATAAAAACATATTTATAATGGGCTTAACCTTTTCCAAAGCACTTTCACATCAGGTATCTCGAGTAAGCCCTCAGAATATTGTAAATTAATTCCAAGAGATAACATCATTATCTCTCTTTTCAGATGAGGAAACTGAGAAAGATTTGTGAGGCAAAAGTTTGGCTGAAGAAGACAGAAAACACTTGGTGGCAGAGGTGATATCTGAGGTGAGCCTTAAAGAATTAGAAAAAAAAAGAAACGCATGAAGAGCATTCTAATTGGAAGCATGGATACAAAGAAACTACCAAGGAAGAGTACTGGGAGGCGGAGAAGAAAAAAACAAATGTAGAGTTTCCACAGAACCCGGTGAAGATGAAGAGAATCCTGCAAAAGAAACCATGCACCAGCCGGGCGCAGTGGCTCAGGCTTATAATCCCAGCACTTTGGGAGGCTGAGGCAGTCAGATCACCTGAGGTCAGGAGTTCAAGATCAACCTGGCCAACATGGTAAAACTCTGTCTCCACTAAAAATACAAAAATTAGCTGGGCATGGTGGAACATGCCTGTAATCCCAGCTACTCAGGAGGCTGAGGCACGAGAATCGCTTGAACCAGGGAGGTAAGGGTTGCAGTGAGCCAAGATCACACCACTGCACTCCAGCCTGGGCAACAGAGTGAGACTCTGTCTCAAAAAAAAAAAAAGCACCAGCCTTGGAGGGGGTGGGTCACCACAGTGCCCACTGACGAATGCAAGCCCCAATGTGACACAGAAGATACTGAGGCTCCATGAGGTTAGGCCCATCCAGCGTCACAAAGCTGATGAGTCAGTCACATGCTTAAAAACAAAGTTAAAGCGGGAGAGAGAAAAATGAAAGAGAGAGAGAGAACTTCGAAGTCAAGGAAGGAGAGACTCCAAGGACAGTGTCAAATGCTGCAGGGAAAGACTGAGGAGTGGGTAAAATTGGTGGCCAGAAGAGTTAGCATGGAGTGGTAAAAGTGGGGTAAAGAATCCAGGCTCTTCCTCAAAAGGCTGGATGGCGAAGAGGAGGCATGTGGGGAGGGCAACATGGATTGAGACAGAGTTGGGTTTGTTTGCTTTCACGTTTTGTTTTGTTTTTAGGATGGAAGAGATTCTGCATGTTCCTAATACCAGCATAGGAACTAAGAAAACAGGAAATATTTGCTGAATGAATAAAAACTGAGAGAAAAGGGCCAGTAAAGAGGAGAGAATGAAGATGTAGGAAAGAGAGGAGACATAGTACAGAGCATGGCTACTAGGACGAACAAAAGCTGGAAGACACAGGACAGGTGGAGAATTAGTCCAAACCAGCACTGTCCAATTGAAATATAACACAACCCATGGGTGTAATTTAAAATTTTCTAGTAATCACATTTTAAAAACATAAAACAGATGAAAATTTTAATAACATTTTATTTAACTCACTATAGCCAAACTTATTGTTTCAACATTAATATAAACAGTTACTAATTTTTTTCTTTCTTTTTTTAAATACTAAGGCTTTTAAATCCAGTGTGAATTTTACACTTAAAGCACATTTCAGTTCAAACTGACCACATTTCACGTCCTCCACAGCTACATACAGGACCGGGAAGTACAGATTTAAACCATGGAGGTGCCTCCACTTCCTTTTCAACTCCATTGATCAGAAAGACCCTGAAGGTAGCTCAGAAGAAGATGTCATTGAACTAGCTGACAATAATGTGCTAATAACCAAGAATTCCTTAATCTTTCCAAGAGTTCTTTCATTACACTTTAGCACAAAGATGCTTTTTGAGCCAAATCTCTAATAGGAATCATTGTTCAATCCTGTTATATGAAGACATCCAGTCCGGGGGTGGAGGGTTTTCTGGGGATAGACTTGAGGATGGGGAGGTTGACAAGTATCAGAAACTTTTTATAACTCTTTTTGCTTCTTTTCTTCTACCCTGAAGCTGTATAGTCTTCAAAAGCAGAACAGTGTCCCAGAGGTGCTTGTGTGTCAGGGGAGGAGATGAAGTGGGGAAGGGATGGAGGTTTTCTATATATTCCTTTAACAAACTCTCATATATGATACAAACTTTTCCTAAGTGATATTCAAATATATACCGGTTATTTGTAAGTCAGTACATAAATCAGTAGCTGTATATATTTAAACTTCACCCTGCCTCAATTTATTTACCTATTAAATGGAAGTAATTTTAATGTACCATGCAAGGTTGTTTTAAGGATTGAAATACTGTGGATGAAAGTGTTCAATAAAAAGTAGCCATGGTTATTTTAGTAGGCAAACATTATAGCTACTGAATTAATTAATGCATTATTTAGTCTAGGGTAACTATTTATGCCTAAGAGCCTGGGGAGAGGAACACCAGGATTTGGAAGACAGTGAACAGAAAGCAAATGCTGAAGACCAACTTTACATATTAAAAACCACTAGAAGTTCTGCCTAGTCTAGATGACCCTGTACTTAGAAAAGAAGAAGAAAACGTCCATCCTTCCCCTGTCTCCACCTATTCCACATGGCTCCTGGTTTCCAGGGCTCAGAAATTAGCCACATTAGGTCATACAGGCCTTGAGTTACAGCTTAAGAAACTCAACCGTAGCTTTTATAGAACTGTTTCTGTATTAAAAAGTAATGACAACCTCCAAACAACTCCCTTAGAAAAGAATTGCAGAGCCCACCGCCCACAAGCCAGCGACGGGACAGTGTAAGATGTAAGACAGAGGAGACAAGAATTTAAGAAACTTGGCCACAGAACTTGAAGTAGTCCTGTTGGAACCTGACCAACAGTAGGGAGTGGGGAGCCATTCCAGGGTCTTGAGAAGAGAGGCAAAAATAGGAAAGGGAAGTCTCAGGAAACGTAATCTGAGAGTTTATGCAGGGCTGATTATAACAGGAAGAAAACAGAGGTGGGGAAACCAGTGAGAAACTGATCAGTCAAGGAACCCAGCGCTGTTGGCAGAAGACGGATTTTAGTGACATGAAAAGAAAATATCAATCAGGAATGTTTCAAAGGAAGAACACATAGACATGATGACAGATTGAATATAGGGGATAAAAGTGAGGGTGAAATTAGGACTAAATTGTGGATTTTCAATCTAAGTGACAACAGAATCCCAGAAACATTGACAGGGCTGAGAAAATCAAAATTATTTCAGGTGAGATGGAAGTAAATGCAATATATCCAAGTAAATATAACTCTTATGAGGGTGGGTCCAAATTGTCGGTTATTATGAGGCCGGGGATAAAACAAATATTCAAATGCAAGTCTCTGCTCAATAACAGCCTTAGTATTAATTAAAATTGACTATGCCAATATATCCCTAAAAGTCTTATTTCAGGGTTTAAAAACCTCATTCAGATGTTTTACTTTACATAACTTAGGCCAACTGGAAAGGAAATAAATCAATGATTTTATTTAGATTACAACAAGGGACTATTATCTAATTGCTTTGGAAACCTTAACTTTTCCCTTATAGGAAATGTAATATAGTTTTTAGAGTTCATGTTTTGATAGTAAATAAGTACTGTGCAAAAATTAATTTGCAAAGTCACATAAAAATGAAAAAAATCAAAGCACTCTAAATTTTATACCTAAAATTTGAGTTTTAGCTACCCTATTCAATGTAATATTCTCATATGGGAAAACCAGTGTTACTCAATAACAGAGAACAGCTGCTGCGCATTTTCTAATACTGAAACCTAAGAACTCTCAATTTGCTTCTTGATTTCACATTTCTTATTGCCTTCTGCAATAAGAAAGACACATTTTCTTCAGAAAATTATCCACGTTCTTTTGAAAAGCTTCAGAAAATAAAGGCGACGGCAAGGGAAGCAGGTTAATATTCACTATATGGCTTAAGTAGAAAGCTGGTCCTTTAAAGCTCCTTAGATAACTCATCCCTCCCAGGGTGAGTCTGTGCTGCAGCTATATGTCCCATTCCCAGTGGGCACAATTTAACATGATGTAGCACTCCTTAAAAAATTAAAAAAAACCCTCCTTCTAAATATGATTAGGTCTGCACCATGCTGCTCTCCCAGATAAAAGACATCTGTTTCAAACAACTGAAAACAAAATCATTTTTCTTCAAGAGGTCAAGAGAGATTTAATTACTAAGCAAATCACAAAATGCCATAGTATACAACTTCAATTCCAAAACCAGCAGATTTTGTTCAGAAGATATAGACAGTAGCAGATGACAAATACATTAAGCAAGTGTTTTTTATTGAAAATAGTTTTGCTAAAGAATCTGGAGGTGAATGTCAATTTACTAAACCTCACCTGAAGGGCAGGTACTGAAAAACATTGTCAGAGGATTTTTATAGAATTTAAGAAATGCATCCTAGGATCTAACTTCCTAGAGTTGGCATTGATAAATAAAACCAATAATAATAAAAGACAAACTTGTTTAACCCTTCAAATTCCAAAAGACACAACATACAACACACACACACAAACACACACACACACACTTGTTCAACTATACTATGCTTCAAACTCCAAGTGATTTTTTATTTTTATTTTTTACTATCTAAATGAGGAAAACAAAGGGTGAAAAACTACATTTATAGTCAAGATATAATTAGCCTGCAGTAAGTAGAGATGTGAGAACTATAGGAAAAGAAAGCAGTAACCCATCCCCAGCAAGGCCAATTGGCATCTGAGATGAACAAAGACGTCACCAAATCTTCCACCAAAGCTCCCCCTCCAGTGGATTTCCCCTGTGTGTAGCAAGAGAGAGCATTTTCAGTCATTCAGTATAAATGAACATTCAGATAAACTCCGTGTTTATCATAGATAATCATAACTTGATGCTTAGCTTACTCAGCAAGAGTATGCTAATAAAATGATTAGGAAAACCAGAAAATGTCCTTCTACACAACCTGCTAGGAAATGAGAACTGAATAGAGAACCTGGGGTAACTGGAGCTGCCCCTCACTTCCTCTTTCCAGGTGGAAAAGTCTCAGAAAATGCAATTTATCCTCCAGCCTGCTGCCCTTTAGGAAAAGCGTGTTTTCCCCAAAATTTTACTAAAGAATATGTTATAATCCACAACATAAAAATTACCCAAATGTAAATTTGGAAAAGGGATGTACACAAATAGAAATAATTTTAAGTTCCAAAAAATTGTTAATTTTAAAGACAGTTCAAGAATGCTTTCAAGATGTTGGTTTAGCTTTAAATCATTAAATATGCAACTAGATTAAAAAGAGAAAATCATTAATATTTAACTCATTTAGTTATTTAAACGCAGTGAGATTTTTAATTCAATTATTTAATTAAAACCTTCTTTGAAGGTATGAGTAGATATTTTACCAAAAAATTGAATCAATAAGTATATATCAAAACACATTTTTAAAAAAGATATAATTGTTGTCCACTAAAACATCAACATTGAAAAGCAGTAGTACTCAAGTGAAAATGCAGTGAGAAACAACACTCATATGTTGCTGAGAGGATAGTTCTACAAAGCTTTCTGGAGCTTTAGGTATGCTCACACCCTTAGGCCCAGTGATTCATTTCCAGGGCTCTACCCTAAGGAAAGAAGCAGAGATGCCAGCAAAGAGTTATAAAAAGATGATCACCACAACATTATTCAAAATAGAGAACAAATTAACAACAAAACAAATGTCCAACAATGGAAAAGTGTTTACATTATAGCATATCTACCTTATAGACTATTATGAAGCCATTAAAAACATATTTTTAAGATTTGACATGGGAATTTGTTCATGCTATAAGGTTAAGTATTATCAAATACTGTTACATATACAATATAATTAAATTGTGTTAATAACACACATAGAAAAAAGAGTATACTTTTTCAAGTTATAGACAGTGGGATTACAATTGTTTTTACCTCTTGATACTCAATTTTTGAATTTTTCTACAAATAAGATATATAATAATGTTATTTAAAATAGACCTCTGATATGAAAGGATGGTTCCTACTATTATTTATTTATTACAATAAATGGTTATCTTCGAGGGCTCCTTAGTTGCAAGGAACAGAAGCCCCCTCTGATAAACCGAAACAGAAAGGAAATTTACTAGAAAGATACTAGGTAGCCCACAGAATCAAAATAAAGGAAAATAATGAACCAAAGATGCTCTTGGGTAACAGTAGCCACCAGGATCAATCCACCTAAACATCCGTCCTTTCTCCATGATGTTGCTCAGGACTGACTGGTAGGAGACAGGATCCTATGGACCTACAGAGAAGAGGAGATGGCATATGGATGGGCAATTCTACCAAAACTGAAGGCAGTTGGGGAGAAGTGATTCCTCAAAAAGAATTAAATTAGTGAAAACGAAGGTTTGCTGTTACTAGATGAATAAAAAATGAATGCTGGACAAAGATAAAAGAAAAAAGCCACTAACAAAATACCAGTGCCAATATCATAGACCCTTAAATGTGTAACGAGAAGCATATAGACTAGCAAATATGGGAAGAACAAGGGCAACATCTCTTACTCATTTATCTAAATACAGGATAGATTGTGATGAGCCCCCACTGTAACAATATTTATTGGCAGAGGTATCAGTTTTTTACATTAACCTATACTTTTAAAATGTTAGTCAATTAAGAAGAGCAAAACTTCATTTTAAGAATCATTTTTAAATGTCATGCCAGATTAGGAAAATGAAAGCCAAAACTTCACATATTTTCACTACCTTTTAAAAATTCCAACCTATTTTTCAGTAAACATACATGAAGTCATAGTCTATTCAAGTGTCAAAAAAGAAGAAACGAAAACAAGAAAAACTCTTTGCTTTTATATCAACCACTTTTGGTGGTTTGCTCGTTTATTAACAAATACTAACCAGGCACTGTGGCTCACACCTGTAATCCCAGCACTTTGGGAGGCCGAGGTGGGCAGACTGCCTGAGTTCAGGAGTTGGAGACCAGCCTGGCCTGGGCAACATGGCAAAACCCCATCTCTACAAAAAATACAAAAATTAGCTGGGCATGGTGGCGTGCGCCTATAGTCCCAGCTACTTGGGAGGCTGAAGTGGGAGGATCGCTTGAGCCTGAGAGGTGGTAGTGGCAGTGAGCCGAGATCAGGCCACTACACTCCAGCCTGGGCAACAGAGTGAGACCCTGTGGCAAAAATAAAAACAAAAACAATTATTAATGGTTTATATGAGAGAAGTGGAATCATTTCCTCTTACATTCATTCCTTTTGAAAGATACGAAACTTTTACTCCTTTGTAACCTTAAGCGGAAGATATCTTTTCTCTTTTGTGTGGAATACATCTCAAAACATTACCTGTAGTTAAGTTGGTAAACTATTGGTAAGTGAAATTCAAATATTTAAGAATTCCACATTACTTTGTGGTGGCTGAAGCGCATTAGGTGGGAAAGTCTTCTTTGCAAAGCAAATCACAAAACTTAAGCTCCTAGTTACTGATTGGCAAAAGCTTCCAGAAAAGACCAACTGTATTTCAATATAATTGTTTATTCCATAAAACACCAGAGGTCATAACTACAAATTCTAGCAATTCTATCATGCAGTCTATACTCCATAGAGTACATTTTTAACCCTTAATGCTTCTCTCTTTCATTTCCACTGCCACAACAGCACTAAGCCAAGTTCACATCATTTCATACCTAGACCACCACTTCTTAAAAGACCTCTCTGGTCCTTACATTGTCCCCAGCCAATCTATCTACTCTCTCCCTACAGCACTTTTTCAATGCCAACCCTTCCAATCAAGTAAATGACGTAATTAAAAAGCCATGATGGAAGTGAACAAAGGAGCAGGGAAGGAACCAAGTTGGACAAGGGTGAACAGGGAAGGCCTCTCACAAGTAGTGACATTAAAGCTCATTAGGCTGAGATCTGAAGTTAGCAAATGGTTGCATAGTCCAGGTGAGTAGCAAGGAAGGCACAGATTTCAGTGGTGGCTCTGGGGGTCAGGGAGGAGAGCAGAGGGTGGATTTTTTTTCCCTGGATTTCTTTATAATTCCCTGAATAAACCAAAAGTTTCATGCAAACTTTCTCCCTGCAAATTTATCTATTCTGTTACCCTTGCAAATGCTTAGCAAGTCCAGCAGTGTCCATGCAATTCTTACCACCTGCTCCATCTTCAAGACCTAAAGAACACTCTCTTTTTGAAGAGCACCCAGCCAGAAGGCAACATTCCTATATGTCAATTCCAGTTGTCTTTTTTATATTATTCTTATCACTTATACTTCACAGTGCCTCATATTCTAATTATGAAGATTCATGTCTTCTCCTGCCAGACTATAAGCTTTTTGAGGACAAATTACTGTTTCTCTTACACAAATAGTGTTTATTTTTCAAATGCTACCAGTGAGAAAATAACAATGCAAAAGAACAAAGTCAACAGTATGAATAAATCTTGACTTTTCTTTTTTTCCCCCAAACTTGGAGTTTATTTTTGAGTTACAAAGGTAGATCCATTACAGAAAAATGACACAGTGTTAACAGCATCTCCATTCACTTGTTTAATTAGCATTATTGGCTTTTTTTTAAACTTTTACTTTAGGTTCAGGGGTACATGTGCAGGCTTCTTATATAGGTAAATTGTGTGTCACTAGAATTAGCCACATTAGCCAACTAAAAAGGATTTTTTGAGTAAAGTGCCTACTGTGTGCTAAAAAGTATAAAATAAGGCTCTTGCTACAGCATACAAAAAATAAAAGTCAAGCTACATGAAAGAAATAGAAAGCAACTGCCTTCTGTACTGTAATGTATAAGTGCAAAAGGCAGTAAGAGAGCTCATTATGGGGCATGATCAGCAGGGGCTGAAGTAAAGAAAAGTCTAATGAGAAAATCTGAGGTGGACCTTGAAAGATATGAAGGCCATGAAACATGGCATGCATTTTAGGCCATACTAGAGTACGACTAAAAAATATGGCGTGCATTCTAGGCCATACAATACAACTAAAAAGTAAAGATAGATAGGAATTAGCTTTCACTACCTTCACTCTATCCAGCCACCATCATCTCTCCTCTGAATGAACAGCCTCCTTCCCCTCTTCCATTCTTGATTTTTGTATATTCTCAATATGACAGCCAGAGTGACCCTGTTCAGATGTTAGATCATTTTGTTCTCTACCAAAAATCCTCCAATAACCCCTATCTCATGCAGAGAAAAAGCCAAAACCCTTACAGTGGTCTAGAAAGCCCCACATGATCTGGCTGTTGGTCCTCTCTGACCTCATCTTTTGCTACTACCTTCCATGTTCACACCGCTCCAGTCCCACTGCTGCTCCTAGAATGTTCCAGCCACTCTCTACCACAGGGCCTTTGCATATGCTATTCCCTCTGCTCTTCTCTTCAGTATGCACATGGCTCACTTTGTTACTTCTTTCATGGTTTTACCAAATGGCAGCCTCTCAGAGGGACCTTCCCTGACCACCCATGATAAATTTCAACTGCTCCAACACTACCTACCCCCTTTTCCTGCTTTATTTTTCTCCTGCAGCACTTTTCATATTGTAATATACAGTATGACTTATTCACCTGTTTATTGCATCTCCTCCCCCTAGAATGTATGCTTCATGAGGAGTCAGAAATGACAGACAGACATCACCTCTAAGTTGGCAGCTGGACCTACATGGTTTTCTTGGTAGAGCACCTGGAATAATGTTTCACTTAATTAATCAATTATTGTTTTTAATTTTACAAACTATTTGGCACCACAGTAAGATCTTTAATTTAAGTGATTTCATGGGCAGAATGCAATGGTTGTAAGCAGATGTTGCAAACACACAGGTTAAATTTTAAAGTCTGAGGTTACCAACTGATGCTTACCATTACTACAGAAATCAACAAAAGGTGCATCAAAGCAGAAAAAAGCAAGAAGGGATGGAATCCAACAAGAAGGAATAACCACATTAGGAAGAAAGGGCACATGTAAGTCACAAACAAGAGTGTCAAACCTGCCTGGTTTTTCATACAAATAAGAGTTATCCAATGCCTACTAAGTATGAGGTACTGTTCTTGCACTAGAACAAACAAATGGAACAAATTCCATTCTGAAGGAACTTACAGTCATAAGACTAGAAAAAGAATGAATTCAAAATAATAATAAACTACTCAATTTATGAGATCCCCAATGAGGGCAAAGACTCATCTGGAAGAACCAAAAAACTAAATGAATATGCAACATGTGAATAAGGAAACAGTTCTCTTCAGTGTCATGATCCAGCTTGTTGATACCAAGTTTAATTTTACTTCAAATACTGGGATAAAAAAAAATGCTTGGAATCTTTTCCAAAAGGACTACCTACAAAGCACTGTATTTTCCAATTGTTTTTTTTTAACAAAGAAGAGATTCTTTTGACCTAAGTGTTCATGGCCCAGCTCCACTCTATTAACGGGCTGACAATGAAAGCAAAAAGTATCACACAACGATGAACTGAAGACGTAAAATTAGTCCCCATTCAACCATTTCTCCCATACAATGAGAGAGTCAACCCCTGTCAACCCCTTTCAACCCCATTTCTGCTAGTCTCTCACTGAATGTTAGATGTTCCAACAATAAACTGATGGCAAAGAGAAATTACATGAACTGGTAAAAGATTCAGGAATTCATAAAAGTCAAAGTGATTTTAAAGTCACATGCAAAACCACTGAGTAATAAGGATCTGGCAAAGTTAGAACAATTGGTAACTTAAAGAGAAAAAAATTAAGGATAATTTGACTCTCTTAGGATTAGACAGAAGCCATGGGAAAGTTAACAGAGGCTTGAAATAGTTTTTGCAATATGACTTTCTTTATGACTGTAGTGAGAAAATCAAATATCGTATTGTGCTATCACACAGTTTTCTTGAAAAAAATGAATTATCCCAACCCTCTAAAAGTTTCAACACTTTGGGCCAGGGGCATTGGCTCACACCTGTAATCCCAGCACTTTGGGAGGCCGAGGCAGGCAGATCACGAGGTCAGGAGTTCGAGCCAAGCCTGGCCAATATGGTGAAACCCCATCTCTACTAAAAATACAAAAAAAGCTAGCCATGCGTGGTGGCGCACACCTGTAGTCCCAGCTACTCAGGAGGCTGAGACAGGAGAATCACTTGAACCAAGGAGGCACAGGTTGCAGTGAGCAGAGATTGTGCCACTGCACTCCATCCTCGGCAATAGAGGGAGACTTCATCTCAAAAACAAACAAAAAGTTTCAACACTTCATTTGTTATTTGTTCCTTCTAATGATCAGGCCATATTTGTGATTATAACCTAAATGTTGGTGTAAGATAAAATAAACTGATTCCCATCATTTGAACTTTTGTCAGGATCAAGCCCTTTGTCTCCCTATTTACTCTGCAATTTGGCTTCCCAATCAATGTAAATAGATTTACTTTAAGAGGCCTGCTTTCCTGGTAACTCCTGTCTATCCTCCGCTCCCATCCCTCACTCCCATGTTATCATGCAGCTCTTAATCCTAGATTTGACTTCCAGACAGGCACCAAGCTAGTGGATGACACAGCTGAGACCTACTCTGAGGTCTTTTAAGTCTGATTTTATTCCAATATGCTACGCCTCCTGTGGCTTCTGGGTTACAACTGGGTTATGAAAGCTATATCATATGGAACCCAGGTTTATCCACAAAATTTGGGGAGAAAGACGTAATCAACTGTTTACAGGTTTTAAAATCAGTGCCATAAACAGGAGCCAAGCAGCCTCCCCCGCCAAAGCAGAACTGCCTGATTGGCTCTGCTGTGTCTCCTCACTTTCTCACTCTCATTTGTGGTTCACCTACTGTTATCTTTGCAGATATAGAAAGCAATTATTTATTTATTTGTTGTGAGCCACAGATTTAAATCAACTTTAGAAGCCCATCACCTTGTTGAGAAGTAGCAATTTCCCACTCTCAAGACAGTCTCCATGGACCCTGACAACTCGTTGATAAGCAGGCATAATTAAAGAGGCCTGAAGGAGTAGCTCTGCTGCTAGGAACCCTTCCAGAGTAGCAGCTCAATACAAATCACATCCTTTTTGCCCTTCCTCTCTCACTATCCATTTTTTGGGGGAAAAAATAATAAGTATTTGGATGTCTCCTTGAGTCAAAGTAAATCAAGCATGTGAACACTTGTACTCAGGAATCCTACAGTAAGTTGAGATGTGAAGTTCTGCCTCCCACTTCAATGTTGGGGTGAGTGTCCGTGGCACCTGGTTATGTGTTAAAAAGGAAGATGGTGATGGTCTCTTAGCCTAAAGATATGGGGAAAAAGGAAGAAACTGTGGTGCCAAGTCTGGGAATTTCGCTGGGCTACAGTACCAGCTTCCTCCCACCCCAGTACATTATGCACAGAACTAATCCTTTGGACCTACTATAGCTCTCCAGCTGACCTTGAAACTATGAGTTGTATGGTCTGTGGTCTTCCCCACCTCTGTCTCATCTCACTAGTTTAGCAATGTATCTAGTGCAGGGGCAGAAACACTGTGGTAACTATCCACTAAAAATGGAACACATGAGAAGGTATAAATGAAGCAAGGTTTGAAGTCTGATGGAATGATTTCTGCAGAATAGATAATTAGATAATCCTTACAAAATGATAGTACTATATGACCATAAGTAAAATTGCCGATTTCTTTCTATGGATGCTGAAAGATTTCATTTGTTTTAGTGAGTCAAATTATTTTAACTCATTATATTTATAGAAATTGGATTCCTGCTCCCAAATTCAATAAACTAAAAGAAGCTGCATTTTCATTAATAGATTAAAATCTATTCAAAGAAATAAATCCATTCAGTTTATAAATAAATTATTTTTGCTAAGAATGCTGCACTACTAAAATGTAAAAATACCATGGCCTTAAATAATAATTTCAAATGAATTAAAATATCATTAAAATGCAAAAGTTTTAACTGGTTGTAATTAGGAAAAATCTTTTCAAACACTACACACTTATCCATTACCTCATTAATCCATTTTTTTTTAAATTTATAGAAAGATAAGACAAGAACCCACCCTTTGCAATGGTGTGATTCCTTCAGTCATAATGCATGGGAAACAGGAATAAAGAAGAGACTTGGAATCATAAATATTAGCACTCCTTGTCTCCTCTTCTTATATGCATTTTCTCTGCCTACAGTTGTCCCTCCCCTGGCTTTCTGCAAGTATGGGGGCCTTGGTGGTGTGCCAGGCTGAGAACCAGAAAGAAAGCTGTGGGCCATTCCTCCAGACTTAACCCAGTATGCCTAAGGCAAAGTCCATCCCTATGCATCCAAAACTTTGCCCTTTTTGCGTTGCAGAGTTTAGGTTGGGTTTCTGTCATAGATGTAAAGAACTTCAGTAATACAATGGATATGTCCCACTGTTTAGTACACAAAACCTAGATAATAGGTGAAGCAGAAGGGAAAGAATCTGAGTTGACCGATAAAAACACGGTGCTTAGCCAGAGAGTGGCAGGGAAAGAAAGAAAAGGATTGTGGGGTTACAGCATTTTTTCTGGAGATGAGAGGAAGAAGAAAGCTGGAAGAGGCAGCTACCAGGAATATAACAGCAGACAGCATGTTCAACCACCATTGTCTAGTCTCCAAATCTACTGATCATAAGCCACCTGTTAGATGCTGCCCAAATATCAGATTTTTTTTTTTTTTTTT
This sequence comes from Homo sapiens, assembly GCF_000001405.40. NCBI lineage: Eukaryota > Metazoa > Chordata > Mammalia > Primates > Hominidae > Homo > Homo sapiens. Next base: position 196,450,507 of record NC_000002.12, read on the forward strand.
TTGAGATGGAGTTTCTCTCTTGTTTCCCAGGCTGGAGTACAATGGCATAATCTTGGCTCACTGCAACCTCTGCCTCCCGGGTTCAAGAGATTCTCCTGCCAAGTAGCTAGGATTACAGGCATGTGCCACCACGCCTGGGTAATTTTTTGCATTTAGTAGAGACAGGGTTTCACCATGTTAGTCAGGCTGGTCTCCAACTCCTGACCTCAGGTGATCCACCCGCCTCAGCCTCCCAAACTGCTGGGATTACAGATGTGAGCCACCACGCCCAGCCCAAATATCAGGTTTTTAACATGTTCCCCATTTGATGCTGATAAATGCTGAAATTTGAGAACTGCTGACATAAGAAATCACCAGGTATTATCTATATGTAGTCCCAAGTTAGACCAAATAACTGACACTATCTCTCCAAGTATATCCAAATTTGTTAAACAAATTTAAAATGAACCAAAAGTCAACCGAGAGATTTGCCTAAGAATTTTTAAATTCTATTTCCCATAAAATTTAGACAGATATAATTATTGAAACATTGTGAAAATTGAAATAAAATATTTTTATTAATTAAAAGGAATTGAAACACTGCAGTATTACATTCAACAAGCTGAAAGTTGTCAAAAAAGGAAAGCAAGCTTAAGAAATATGGGGTAGGCTGGGCACAGTGGTTCATGTCTGTAATCCCAGCACTTTGGGAGGCCGAGGCGGGTGGATCACGAGGTCAAGAGATCAAGACCAGCCTGACCAACATGGTGAAACCCCGTCTCTACTAAAAATACAAAAATTAGCTGGGCGTGGTGGCACGCACCTGTAATCCCAGCTACTCAGGAGGCTGAGGCAGGAGAATTGCTTGAACTGGGAAGCGGAGGTTGCAGTGAGCTGAGATCGCGCCACTGCACTCCAGCCTGGTGATGGAGCGAGACTCCGTCTCAAAAAAAAAAAAAAAAAAGAAAAGAAATGTGGGGTAAAGTTTATACCCAGAACTCATGCTTTTCTCCTCTGTTCAGACACTAGAAACAGGCCATTAATTTATCTCTGATCTTTCTAACATCCAAAGAGTTACAAGAATCACAGACCCATTCCCCATCCATAAGATAAACAGAAATGATTTCCTGATGGTTGGGCGCAGTGGCTCATGCCTGTAATCCAACCACTTTGGGAGGCCAAGGCAAGAGGATCACTGAGGTCAAGAGTTTGAGAGCAGCCTGGCCAACATGGTGAAACCCCGTCTCTACTAAAAATACAAAAATTAGCCAGGCGTGGTGGCACATACTTCTAATCCCAGCTACTTGGGAGGCTGAGGTGGGAGGATCCCTTGAACCCAGGAGGCGGAAGTTGCAGTGAACCGAGATCACACCGCTGCACTCCAGCTTGGGTGACAGAGCAAGACATCGTCTCAATAAGTAAATAAATAAGAAATGATTTATTTCTTATTTGGAGAACTTTCTCCAATTGGTCTTCATGGTGTAGGAAGTATTAGTCTCCATTCTTCTAACTACATCAAATACTATAGTGTTGTATTACCATTTTTATGTCATCTCATTGGCCTAACACCAATAGGCCCAATTCAGGAACAAGCATACATAGCTCAGTAATGGTACAACACTGTGTTGTCCATTACAGGAGCTCCTAGCTACATGTGGCTATTGATCATTTGAAATGTGGCTAGCCTAAAATGAGATATGCTGCAAGTATAAAATGCACACCAGATTTTAAAGAATTAGCACAAAAAAATTAAAATATCTCATCAATAAGACATATTGATCATAAGTTTTTACAAGATTATAAATGGTAGTGTTTTAGATATACTGAGTTAAATAATACATACTATTAAAATTAATTTCATCTGTTTTGAATTTGGCTATTTTTAAAAATTAACATGTGTGGCTCACTAGAATGGTGCTGGATAAACAACTATACTCCCAACTCAGTCCAAGGGTAAATTTAGACTTAAATTTTAACTCTTAAAGCCATGTCTGGGCTTCCTATTTTCCAAGTAATTCTTTATAATGAATTTCTTGTAAGAACTGGCAACAGAAAGTTCAAGGTAATATCCACTAATATAAATCTGACCTTGAACATCTGACATGTGATCCAGTGCAAAGCCACTTTGGAAGGGTTTCATCCTTTTATGAAGATGAAGAAAGCTAACCAACATGAGCACCTGCACAAAAGACCACTCCTCTCCTGCATGGAGGGTGGTGGAGGGATCATTTCTGGGCAAAATCTTCCTCAGAAAACAATTCTGGGATTTTTCTATGCATGATCAAATGAGTGACTGACCCCAAAGCACTAAAAAAAAAAAAAAAAACATGGGCCCAATAAATGTAGCCTGGTATATTTCCAGAGCAGGGCTTATCAATGGGAGACTGCCCAATAAGATAATCTTCTAATTTGAGCAAATCAATGCCAGGGCTGGGAATACAAAAAATGAGACTAAACCCCATCTGTAAGAACCAGTGAGACTCCATGATGAAATTGTGGCCTCTGACAAAATTTTTTTTAAAGCTTATTTTCTGTAAAATTTGCTTTTTATAGCAGTTCTGTTCTAAGGAATATGTTTAGGCAACTCAGCAAGACCTTTGTATTTGTTCTGCCTACAGAGACCATGTAAGCAAATTAATCCACTCACATAAGAAAGAAGGGGTAGGCTTCATTCCTCTTTAAGGACACAGAATTTCAAGATCTCTAACACCAAGAGTTTGGGTTCTCTGCAATAAATCAGTAGTGACTCTTTCTTCTTTTACATCATATCAGTTTAGGGTCTTGGACTGGGGTGATGCTAAAATGCATCAGACAATTACTTCTAAAGAAGACTTTGAAAGAACGCAGCCAACTACATTAGTTTTAAGCATGTGAACTAAAAGTTTGAGTAGAAAATGAACTGCCTCAAAGCACTTCAATATCGGCTAAGACTGAACCCAGGATGGGGTGTGCTGTGGAGTACAAGCTTTAGGAAGCTCTTCCTAACACTTAGGAAGGAGAGTATTGTAATTAGGAAGAGTATTGTAATTAGGATCCATACAGAGCATCTCAGAGAAAAATTCTGACTGTCTGACAAAAGATTCCTGATTAATAATGACATCTGTTGATTTTAAATGCAGCTTAAAATATCATCTGCTTTAACAGTCAGTGATAGCTTATATTTAGTTACTTTAACAGAGTTCTATTTTCTTATAAATTATATTACCTAAAAGTCATGTTTTCATCAGGAAGCTCAGGCAAACGAGGGTGGGACCTGCAGTTTAGAACATCCAAAGCTCACTAGCCCCACCTAATGACAGCACACCTAGATTTCTGGAGCAGTTCGGGGATAGAGAATCAATATAACCTTGAAAGTTGAAACTTCAAAAACAAAATTGTGACGTGGAGCTTCATGAAAAGCTCCATGTAAGACTGCCTCACATTCAGAAGGCAAAAAACCAAACTGGAAATTGTCGGCCTAATTTTACCACAAAATAATAAGAGTTGGGGGAACAGAAAAAAGAAATACTTCTATGGGTTTTGTTTGTTTGTTTGTTTGTTTTTGAGACAGAGACTCACTCTGTTGCCCAGGCTGGAGTGCAGTTGCACGGTCTCAGCTCACTGCAACTTCTGCCTCCCAGGTTCAAGCAATTTATGGCTAATTTTTGTATTTTTAGTAGAAACAGGGTTCCACCATATTGGCCAAGCTGGTCTCAAACTCCTGACCTCAAGCGATCCGCCCGCCTCGCCAGATTTATACATGCATAATACATGTATAGTTACTTTAATGTATAGCCACTTTGATGTATAAATAAGGTGAAATGATACTATAGAGCAAAACTATTTTGTAGCTTGCTTTGTTTTCACACAAAATGTAAAGTGGGCATTCATATTAATAAACATGAAACTATATCAGCCTTTTTAATAGCTATTTAACATTCCACTGTATGATGTATATACCATAATTTAGTTACACAATTCCCTCAAGATGGTCATTTAGATTACTGTTGTAAACTATGCTGTAAACACACCCTCACATTCATTATTGCACACTTGCCTGATTATTTCCTTAGGATTATTTCTTAGAAGCAAAATAGCTGTATCCTAAGCTGTTGATGAGTGTTACCGAATGCCTTTTGAAAAGGAGGCATGATAAGCATTCCCATATCTGCAGTGCAGAGAAGGTAGCTATTTTCTTCCAAATACCTTCACCAACACTGAATGTTATCCATCTTTGGAGGCAGCTTAGTGGATAAAAGTATAGGTTCTAGAACTAGAATTTTATAGCTGAGTTCAAATCTCAGCTCTGCCATGCTCTATGACCTCTGGAAGGCTACTCAACATTTCTGCAGATTTCTGTTAAATGGGGATTGTATCATTGTACCTACCTGAAAGGGTTATTATTAGAATTAAATGAGTTAATATGATATTTGATGTACAATAAACACTTAATAAGTGTGTACTTATTATATGAGATATTGTCCACCTGAAAGGTAAAAGCAAATCTCATGTTTCGGTTTAATCTGTATTCATTTGATTATTTCTGGGATTGACCACAGACCCTTTTACTTAATTTTTTTTTTTTTTTGAGACGGAGTCTCACTCTGTCACCAGGCTGGAGTACAGTGGCACAATCTCGGCTCACTGCGACCTCCACCTCCTGGGTTCAAGAGATTCTCCTGCCTCAGCCTCCCAAGTAGTTGGGATTACAGGTGTGTGCCACCACGTCCAGCTAATTTTTGCATTTTTAGTTGAGATGGGGTTTCACCATGTTGGCCAGGATGGTCTCGATCTCCTGACCTCATGATCTGCCCACCTCAGCCTCCCAGAGTGCTGGGATTACAGGCGTAGGCCACAATGCCCGGCCCCTTTTACTTAATTTTTATTAACTTTTTCTAAAGTAGTCAATCATATCATTTATAAATAATAGTGATTTCTATATCTTCCTGATTTATTTTTCTGAGATAACTACATTGGTTAGAACTTCTAAAACAAAGGTGAGTGATAATAGTGGTCATAAATATCCTTATCTCATTTATGACTTTATGATAAAAGAATTTTAAAAATATTTCAAACATCAAAATAATAAAATGTTGTAATTCAGACAACTTTTTCCATATAGTTTTCTTATAAACAGTCCTTTAAATACAAACTCTGGATTGCTTCTAAATTGTGACATTCTCTTTTGGGAAAAAAGTACTAAACATTTTACATTAAAACAATCTTTTTTAACTAAATTGAACACATACTTTTAATAAAGACCACAGTAATTTTTAACACTGGAAATACAAAGGATAAAATAGAAAATTATTTTATTCTTGCAAATTAATTTGCAAGACAAAAGAAATTCAGACAATAATGCAGTTTGTACAATAACCCAAAATCAATTATTTTGTTAAATAATATATATGATATAAATAACAGAAAAAATTAGAACACCATTTGCAATAAAAAATATTGAGCCCTTTAACTTTAAGGATAACATTTTCATCTAGTATTCTTGACTTCTTGTGTTTTCGACCTAAAACAGCATATACATTTGGAAAGGAGACTCAATTTTTCACAATTCATACCCCTATACTCCCACACCCTGAGAAGGCATATAAATTATTTCTAGATATGAAGGTCTTTAATATAAATCATGCCCCTAAATTGCTAAGCCCCAAAATGAGGAATACTGAAGTCACAAAACATTTAAGCTCTTCTTTAAGTTAAACAACAGAAGAAAGGACACTATATCAAAACTCTACACTAAGTCAAATATTCTAGAAGATTTCCCAAGCCTTAACAAAATACATGATTGCTTGAGGGTTGTAAGTCCAAAGGCAAAATTGTAAAGCAGAATAAGAACATATTTACTGAACATTTATAAATGAGCCAGACTCTAAGCTATGAGCCTTATATACATTATCTCCTATCACTGATTTACCTTATCCCAGCAAGGAAAGTATTGCCACACTACTGGCTTCACATTGCCCTTGCTACACAATCTTCCATAAGCACTTTCTGTATATGGATTGTAAATGGCTCCTTGGGACTGACCATATGTCTTCTGGAGAAAGGTTGGGGAAGCTTCACTGCAAACATGGTCTGAGCTTAGGCTGGTCACAGATTGATTACTTGGAGACCACTGCAATCAGCAAATAAGAGTAACCATATACTAGCATCAGTGATAGGGGACAAGGTACAATGACACTGAAGTGGGTCCAGATGGTCTTCTTTTTTACTGCTCTTATGGGACACTTTCCTTGAATTAGAGTAAGGCTGGCTAAGAAACTCCGGATTTACTTTTTTACAGATTTTCCAGAATATCAAATAAGGGAAATTGATCAAGCAAAACATACCAATTCAACAAAACTAGCCCACAGAGCAGTTATAGTACCTTACAGTAAAAGATGCTACAAATTTAAGCAACCTCGGGTTTTCTTCATTCTTTAATACACCAACACATCTAACACATGTGTGAACTATTCATTTGGAAGAGCCAAAAGACTATCAAATAAGTTTATTGCTTCATATATATCTATTCCTGGTATTCATATTCCTGTACCAAGCTTCAAGCAAAGAAGGAGCATCCAAATTAAGCCTAAGAAATAGAAAGTATCTGGAAAGAATCAACAGTGCCTAATGAGTAGGTACGGCATGGAATCAAGATATGAAATTCTATATGTTGAGCTGCTGATACGTTTTGGAGAGATACTACACATATGTCTCTGCTCTGATGTCATAAAGCTTTGATCACATCAAGTTTCAATGGCTTACAACTGCTTCACTTTTACACAGAATTTTTGAACTAAAAGGGCCCTCAGAGAGAATCTCGCCTGATCCATTCATTTTGAATAATACAAACTGACTTTCTTCATTCTGGACGACTTTTTCCAAGGTTGTAAGTACCAGAGCTGGAATTAGGATGTAGATTTCTTAACTACCTGCCCACTACATGGTACTGTCACCTCTTAACTATACTCCAAGCATGTTGTTCAATATTTTAGCATATGAAAGATCTTTTGAAAAGCTGTTTAAAAAATTACTTTTTAAGAATGTGTGAGTTTCTCAAATACACAATACTTTCCTCAAACTGGGTCAGAAAATCCAGAAATAATATAAATTGATTATCTCAGCCTATTCACAGTACTGTGCTATTCCTTACTACTACTGTGACCTTATGTAAGTCAACCACACTGGTCCTTTATATTCCCGACCCTAAAAATGAAGGAGCGGGACTATATGATTTCCAAGATACCTCTTAGCTCTACAAATTTTGTAAGTCTGTGATTCATTTAAAAATAAGTATAACCAGGTCTTTCACTTCTATTCTTCTTTTTCTCAGAGCATACTCATACCCGCTACTACACAAAACCTGAAAAGCATTATATACACAAGCACGCTATACTTAGGAAGTATGTCCAAATATGCCAAAGTATTTATCAATAAAGCATTATGGTATTTGATCTAAACAAATAATCAAAAGGGATAATAGCCACAATTCTTAAAAGTCACCATACTCTACAATACTGGGAACTGGCTGGACACAGTGGCTCACATCTGTAATCCCAACACTTTGGGAGGCTGAGGTGGGAGAACTGCTTGAGCCCAGGAGTTCGAGACCAGCCTGGGTAACATAGTGAGACCCCATCTCTACAAAAAATTAAAAAATTAGCTGGGTGTGGCAGCACATGCCTATTGTCTCAGCTACTTAGGAGGCTGAGGCAGGAGGATCACTTGAGCCCAGGAGGTCAAGGCTGCAGTGAGCCATGATTGTGCCACTGCACTCCATCCCTAAGTGACAGAGCAAAACCCTGTCTCTAAGAATTATTAAAAAAGTAAAATATTGGGAACTATCTCTTTCCTGTGCACTCTACCAATTCTATTAAATTCTACACCTGAAATATCCAGGCTCTGAAAAGGAAAGGTCTCATAATGCTGGGAGTCTCTGGATCTTAACTGTTTCTCTCTCTCCCTCTCACTCACTCACACACACACACACACACACACATACACACACCCCAAGGGGATGAAAATATGTGACTTCGCATTACTAGTACTGAGGCAAATCATACAAGACTCTAAAAAGCTCCAGATGGAAAACTGTGAAACCAGATGATAAAGATGACAAGTGTAGGCTGGGCGTGGTGGCTCACACCTGTAATCCCAGCACTTTGGGAGCCCGAGGCGGGTGGATCACGAGGTCAAGAGATCGAGACCATCATGGCCAACATGGTGAAACCCCGTCTCTACTAAAAATACAAAAATTAGCTGGGCGTGGTGGTGTGCACCTGTAGTTCCAGCTACTCAGCAGGCTGAGGCAGGAGAATGACTTGAACCCAGGAGGAGGAGGTTGCAGTGAGCCGAGATTGCACTACTACACTCCAGCCTGGCAAGAGAGTAAGACTCTGTCTCAACAACAACAACAACAAAAAAGATAAGTGTAAACACACTGGCTAAAACTCATATGTTCACATGACTAATTAACTACTAGTTGTTTATTAAGGATTTATTATATGTCCAGTTCCATGTTAGGTACTGCAGGATTTACAGAATAAGGAATGATTTGGTCCATGTTCTCTAGTAGTTCTCTGAGTAGTCCAGCTGGGAGAGATAATGCTAAAAAAACAAACAAACAAATCAGCACAAGAAACACCACAAGACTATACGTATAATTAAATGTTAAATTCTGCACATAAGTGATGGAGAAATTTCCAGAAAAGGAGTACCACTTCGGATCAGATTAGACAGGGAAGGCATCTTTGAGGCAGTAACACTGAGCTGAGTCTTAAAGCTTGAGAAGACTTAGCTGAAGAGAGATGGGAGATGTAGACTATGAGAAATACAGAAGTGGGCTTAGAAACTCCAATGAGCCTTAGCATGAGGAGAAGAAAACAGTTAAAGGGGGGAAAAGTACAGGTTAGAGTATTTGAGTATAAAGGAGAGTACTGGAGAGTGGTTTAAAAATTAGGTTGTATAGATACAGTAAAAAATAAAGATGAAATCCTAAGCCCCCCCAACCTACTGAACAGACCCCCTGTTAGCCAAGGGGACCCCAGAAATCCTTGAAAACTCAGTTCCCAACCATGACCAGACAGGAGGTCAGACGTGCCTCATGATGTCCCCTCCCTCCATAACCAACATTAGGATTTCCTCCGTAAGGATTAAACAGAAACCAGCCCTTTGGAAAGCCCCACTCCACCCCTGATGTCAATCAACCTCCTGAAACCGCCCCTCCTTTTTGTGGTTTTCAACAAAATAACCAACCAGCATTCCTTCTTGATAAGAGACCACAGACCACAGAGTGGTTCTGGCCAGTCCACGGAGGATGTGCAGGGAGGGGTTTTGCATCCTCTGCTTCATCTTTTGAAGTCAGAGATCCGAAAATTCCACCCTGGATCATGCTAATGCCGCCATAGTTAAAAACCATGGGTCCCCTGGTGAAGGATGAGGCTCAGCTGTGCATGCGCATGTTTCTCCCTTCCTAAATACACATGACTCCTCCTATTGCTTACAGAACACGAATATTCCTCCACCTCCTTCAGTGTGAATCCCTGTCTTATTCTTCTCACCCTCCAATTGTTTGTTTCTGGTCTCCAATGGAAGGCTATGCTTCCCAGTCTGTCAGAATGGCTACCCTGCAGGCTGCAACCCTTTATGAAAAATAAAGCTCTCCTTTCCAAATTTATGAACCTCATCATTCTTCAGCTGACAATGAGGCTGGAATTAAAAAATCTAGAAAACCAAGGAGTCAGACTTGATGCATTAGAGCCACTAACAGTTTATGGGGATGGGCATAATTAAAAGACTCTAAGAAATATCAAGTAAGACTTTTGATTGAAGTTAACAGAAGAGAGGCATTTTTATTCGACTTTCCTCCTAAAGACAACCAAAATAAAAAGAACTCAAAAAAGAACAGACTCAATATTCACCCTAATTAGAAGGCCATCTCATCTACAAGCCATGAGGAATAATTTCCAATGAAGTAAAAATTGAACCAAATTGAATGAGGATACAAAAACAAAACCGATTAAACCTTTTTTTTTTTTTTTGCATGTATTCATTTAGCTTTTTCTTTTAAAGAGCAGAGAACATATAATTTCTGTCTAATTTTTTGCTTTTCTCCCAGGGCAGGGAAAAATCTCAATTGTTTTTTGTCTTGTTTTGTTTTTGTTTGTGAGACAGGGTCTTGGTCTGTCACCCAGGCTGGAGTACAGTGGTGCCATAACTGGCTCACTGCAGCCTTAACCTCCTGGGCTCAAATGATCCTCCCACCTCAGCCTCCCAAGTAACTGGGACTACAAGCATGCATCACCACACCTGGCAATTTTTTTTTTTTTTTTTTTTTTTTTTTTTGGAGAGATAGGCTCTCACTATGTTGCCCAGGCTGGTATCAAACTTCTGGCCTCAAGTGATCCTCCTACCTCGGACTCCCAAAGTACTAGGATTACAGGTGTGAGCCACCATCTCCAGCCTAATAAAGAGACTCCTAAATGGAGACACAGCACAGCACAGGATCAAATTAATTACGTGAGAAAATATTCTGAGATAAAATGCCTGAATTAATGATGATGTTGGCCCAACTCACTCTCTGTCTCCTCCCCATTCAATTCTTGAGTAAACAGTTGTAATAGATAAAATGGCCTTCAGTTGAAGATGGGTAATAACAAAAAGAAAGCATACATGGATAAGTGCACAGCCTGATAGGAAGGAAGAAAGGGAGGGAGGGAGAAAGAAAGGCAGGCAGGCAGGCAAGAAGCAACAGAGATTAAAAACATGTCAGAAGAATTACATTACAAACCAAAGTCTGGCATGAAGACAATGAACAAGGAACTACTGAAAAACCACAATAAGATACTATACTACTACACACCCATTACTAGGATGACCAAAATTTAAGACAGCCAATACTGAATGCTCACAAGGGTAGAGAACAACTGTAAATGTCATACATTGCTGATCAGAGTACAAAATGGCACAAACACTTTGGAAAACCATTTTCATACACACACCATGCCATTCGGCTTTTCCACTCCTAATTATTTACTCCAGAGAAATGAAAACATATCCACACAAAGACTTATTGTATTAGTCCATTTTTACACTGCTATCAAGAACTGCCCAAGACTGGGTAATTTATAAAGGAAAGAGGTTTAATTGACTCACAGTTCAGTATGGCGGGGGAGGCCTCAGGAAACTTACATTCATGGCAGAAGGTTAAAGGGAAGCAAGGCACCTTCTTCACAAGGTGGCAGGAGGGAAAATGAATGCAGGAGGAACCACCAGACACCCACAAAACCATCAGATCTCGTGAGAACCCACTCAACGTCATGAGAACAGCATGGGGGAACCATCCCCATGATTCAACCACCTCCACCTGGTCTCTCGCCTGACACACGGGGATTATGGGGACCACAGGAACCATGCGGATTACAATTCAGGATGAGATTTTGGGTGGGGACACAGCCAAACCATATCACTTATGTACAAATGTTCACTAGCAGCTTTATTTGTAATAACTCATAACTGGAAAAAACCCAAATGTCCATCAATATGTGAGCATCCTGTCAGACCTTTTCTGTACTCATATATATATGTGTGTGTGCGTATACATATATGTATACATATATGTACACATTTAGAAACAGGTTTTTTCCTCTTCATAACATAATTTGAATCATATTAAAGAAAGGCAAAAATTTTATAAAGGCAAAAAGTTATAATAATAAAACCTGGATTGTTATTTTTTATGTAATCATTCAATTTATATTTCAAAATGTATTGAAAAGCAGTCTATCATAATGTAAATTTTGATGGGGGAAAATGGGAAAGGGGAAAAATAGTAATTAAAAATGATATGTGCAATAAATTGACCTAAAGAAAGAATAAAATTAAGGAACTCTGAGTTTTTCATAGACTTTGAATTCTACTCAGCCCACCATATTTTTCTTCAATGCAAATTCTATTATATGATCAAGATGACAATGACATTTCTGGATCCATTAATAGTGCTTTCCAGACGGCCAATTTCTGGTGATGCTTTAATCAGATCTTAGGTGAACAGAATCTTAAAACCTAATATAATCATTCCTTCTCAGAAACATAACCAAAACAGGTATCTTTTTTATTAACAGGTCTTCCTTTAAGCCCACTTATTTACAAAGCAGACGGTTTTGAAATTTTTAGTAAATTATAAACTTGTAAATCTCTGAAGCAGCTCCCAAGCACCCACCCCTCCCCCCGAAAAAAGATGTTGAACAAAATGAAATGATCTTTCAAGGCACTTAACAATTCTGAGTAATCTTGGACACAAGTCAGGTCAAAACAACTGTACTTTTTCATCTCAACAACAAAGACTAGAAAATAAAACGCAAGGGAAAGCCTTAAGAGAGTGGCCTAAGGAGATGAAACAAATGTGTACAAATGCCTGATGAAAGAAACAAACTCTCACTTATTCATTATCCCCTGGTCCGGGGAGACTCCAATACAAGAGAGAAGTGCCCTCCACTCACACCAGCAGTGAAAGAAACTGCAAACTCCCCCATTCCCCAGTGGTAGTATGCCAGGGCTTCTGAGTCTTGGTAGAAATTTAACTTGTAAGTTCTGTAGTCACTAAGTGGCAATTAGTCATAGGGACATCCAATAACCCAGTGCTTTCTTCTCTAATGGTCACTAGTGATAGCATCAAAAACCCTGTTGGGTGTATAACAGAAGGGGTGTCTCAACCTCTTTCACATGAGATTAGGAGAGAAGCAGCAGTAATTATTGTAACAGGTGATTGCATTATCAATTGTAACTGTTAGCATGGGTTACTACTGAGTGAGAGATGAGTTCTCTAAAAATACCACAGAGCTGCCTCAGTGCCTAGAATGTTTGGGAATGGACTGAAACAGATCCAATGTAGATTCGTCACGCAAGTCAGGCTGCACACCACCCACCACCACCCTCTACCCTGCAAAAAAAAAAAAAAAGAAAGAAAGAAAAAGGAAAAAGAAAAAGAAAAGAAAAATTCCAACTGCAAAGGGGAAATTTTAATAGAAATGAAATTTCAAAACTACAAGGCTGGGCTTTTTGAGAATACTAATGCAGAGTGGCATTCGTTTGCATTATGACTATAACAGTAGTAATTGCAGAGAAAGTGCTAATTTTTTCATCATTGTTTTAAACTTGCTTATATAATATTGTATTTTATATTACAAAGTGAAACTATTTCCAAGGTGATTAACTGAACTACCTGATCTCTTTGTTCTTTGAATTCTATTAGATAACACTGTTTTTTGTTATAATCTGCCTCACTCTGAAACCTTCTACCCTTTATACTGCTACAACCAGGTGGCAGCCTGTACAGTGATCTTCCTTTCCCTGAAAATCCACAGGGGCAACGAGCCCAACTAGCAACATTCAATATCTGGGCTTCACCTTGACCCAGAAAATGCAAATCAAACTATGCTGAAAGCTTCATACAAAGGAACTGAAAGTAAGTACTATTTTGATCTACTTTCCCATTCTCCTTCCTCCACCTATGAAAACTCAGGTCCTTTTATTTTACTTTCAAATCCATCTTTCCATCTTCCAGCTTTTCCTTTTTTTTTTTTTCTGGAAATGGTTTAACCAATACTTCTGAATAGGAATACATTAAAATTGCTACCCACTTTTGCGGCCATTATCATCTCAACTGCTTCCAATTTCATTTTGGATCTCTCAACATAAAACATTAGGAAAATGGCACCTAAGAAAGCATATGCTGCCACTTTATCACCAGCTGTTATTGCCTCATCTTAACTCTCATTTTAGGGCCTTTAAACATACCCCAGAATTCCCATCTGAAAAACTACATAGGTTACATAGGAGGGGAAAAAATTTCAGGTAGAACTAGGGTTCAATAGTAACGCTGGGAGTTAGAATGATAACTTAAGTATCATCAATATTTTTGTTTTGTTCTGTTTTACTAATCATGAAGATGCCACCAAAACTAAAGCAGATCCTGTTTCCTTTCAAGATATCAAATTACAGGTTTTTGGTGACTAAGCTGAGACATTCAATCCTCTTTCTACTATATACCAAATAAGCAAGAAAGGGGAAAAGCCAAAGGAAAACCTAAAGTATAACTCCCAGGATTTTACAAACAAGAGGCAAAAATTCAGTCTATAATTATCCCATTGGCCATGCTCAAACCCGTAAGAATTCAGAGGAGGCAAAAGGTTAGTGTAATGATAGTATTTTTAAGCTCATGTTAGGAAAAAGGATGATAAACCTCCAAATAGGATAAGACTGTGCTTGTAAAAATCTTCGCTTAAAGAAGGGGACAGTGGCCAGGCACGGTGGCTCACGCCTGTAATCCCAGCACTTTGGGAGGCCGAGGTGGGCGGATCACGAGGTCAGGAGTTCGAGACCAGCCTGGCCTAACACAGTGAAACCCTGTCTCTACTAAAAATACAAAAAATTAGTCAGGAATGGTGGCGCACACCTATAATCCCAGCTACTCAGGAGGCTGAGGTAGGAGAATCGCTTGAACCCAGGAGGTGGAGGTGAGCCGAAATCGCGCCACTGCACTCCAGCCCGGGTGACAGTACAAGACTCTGTTTCAAAAAAAGAAGGGGATAGCAATACCCTTACTTGCCTGTAATCCTAATATGCTCTCCTGGAGAGGTAGGGTTCTACATGCACCTCAATGGAGAATGAACAACTCAAAGCATAGCTTTAAGAGTAAAGTATTTTATTTCTAACAAATTAAAGTATTTGGCAGTAATTTTTTTAAGCAGATGGATTGGAATATTTTGGGAAATGCTAAGGGGCTGATTTGCTATTGCTTTTTAGAACTTCAAGTTATAAAATAAGATTTTGGCTAATCTAGTCTCCTTCCAGATTCAGAGGTGTTTATTAAAGGCAACAGAATTGCTTTAACTTTCTTATCTAGATTAATCTGTGAAGCAGTAGTTAGCTTTAATTAGGAATCCAAATTCAAATAATTAAAATAATGCTGGATTCAGTGTTCTTAGTCCTCCGAAGTAGGAATCATGGATTTAAAAATAACCATGTGCCTAGGACAATTTGGGCCCAGCTTACATCATGATTTTTAGGGTGCTCTTGAGGTAAAGTCACCATTTTTTCTACTGCTTGTAAGCCTAATCTTACTTTAGGGAACCTGCCTTAACTTTTGCTTTTCCATGATAAAGATTAGTAAACTTTCTCTACAAATTCCTGTGCTTATATTAAGTTTAAATAAACTCATGTTTCCTAACTGTGCCATGCAAATACGTGGCCGTTCTGGACACGTATTTGCATGGCACAGTTAGGAAACTGATCTGGACCACTGATCCAAAAGGACAGAAAATGAAAATGAAGCCCCACCATTTCTTGTTTTCTATTCCTTTAGCCTCATGCAATTCCACTGGATGTACAATGCAATCATTCCCCTTTCTTTAGCCCTTTTCTTCTATCAGTCATCTGGCCAATATTTATTGAACATTTGCTATTCACAGTCCTTCAAAGAAATTGCTTTCACAGGCTGTCCAAATATGTAGCTACAAAGTTATGTTCACATCCAATCCCATAACCTTTTAATTGTTTCTCTAACAGACTGGCTGTTAAGAATATTTTTTAGAAACGACCATATTTACCTAATGGCTAAGAATTTTCTTTGTCACACCTATATACCAGCAGAATCCAGTGATCAAGTATAAATGACTCTCCCTACTCCATCCATGAGGTTGACAGTGAGGAAAACAGTGTTACCCAAATCTATTAATATTTGGCTCCAGAGATTTGAATAAAGAGTTGGAAAGTGGAGGATCCCTTTCAGCAGTGTGCTAGAGCTGGCTTCCCCATCCTGAGACCTCAGGTTGTTGGCTTGAATTAAGCCACAATGAAAATATTTACACTTCAATGACTTTCCTCCAAATATTTCCCTCTCCAAAATGTTATCCAAATCCATTCTGTCCCTGGGTTTAGATAATCCAGGGATAAAAGTTTAGCTAGCAAGGGTTACCTTTTACATTAAGAAATTACTACTTGTAAGTATGAACTTATAAAAACATCAAATTATAGCTTTCCCAGCCCTCAGGGCACTTCCAAAATATTCACAGGGAAGAGACATAGGAAATGCATAGAGAAGCAGGTGCAAAAATAATACTGAAGCTGGTGAGAGGGTTGGCCAGCAGGAATTCAGATTGTTTGAAATTCTCCAGAAGAGTTTAGAGAGGAAAGGGAAGTGAGATTTGAAGCAGATCTTAATTGATGATTATGATTTTAGACAGCTGGAAAAAGTAGAAAGTGTCATCTCCAGGGGAATTACTGAATAGGCAGAAAAATGGGTAAAAGCATAAGGTGAGCTAGAAATGGGCTTTGGGCCAGTCTGGCAATACCTTGAAAAATCAGCCAGGCAGAAGGAGCTACTGAAGTTCTATGATGAGAGTGATAAAGAAGTGTTTTAAGAATATTCTTTCAAATTTTGTTGACTCCTCGATTTTCTGATCTTTAACTTCTTTTCTGATCTCTGATAACTCCAACCGTCTTAGTTTTCAGACTTGCTAGACTAGAATGCATACTAGTACCAAGCCTGCTGCCATGTCACTTGGTAACCCTGAACCTCCTGCTAGGGATTACCACAAGTACCAGTTGATGTCAGCTTTAACTCCTAAAGCTGTTGTTAGGGGTTCCCAAAGAAATGGTTTAGGATAAATTTCAGCCTAGCTTGTCTTCAGTAAATTGTAAATTATTATAATTTAAATGAAGACAATTCTCAAAACTCTGCATATGCATTCTTAAAGCTATTCCCTTGGAACCCCAAATATCTCTTCCAATACAAAATTACTTCCTCCTTATCTTTGCACCTTATAAATATTTCTACCACTACTGCTATTCTTAGTATTATTAGCCTCTACAGAATCTGGAATCAAACTGCTTGGTATAGGATGAGGGGGAGGGAGAGGAAGGAGGGAGGGAAGGGGAGGAGGAGCTGCTATTTATTGAGAGCTTTCTGGGCTTTCTTGCAGATTCCATTTAATCCTCCTTGTAATCCTGTGAAAAAGGAAGACACGGAGGCTCAAGTCAATACTTCTATGATGCGCTTACAGTCATTCATTCTAATGTTGGTTTCAGCGTCTGACTCTTCTTAGGGAACCCTACATGCAGGAAATGGCTGCTATGTATTTGTAAACAGAAACAATATTGGAAGTGGCAATTAACTTTCCAGGTTAAACTTGAAAAGTCAGATTAAAAGAATAATACTGGATATTGAGCATACAAATTATCACAACATAAAAGCAGGAAAAGGGAAGATTTTCTCATTTCTGAGCAAAACCCCCATGCTACCTTTATCTCACCCTCTAATTCCTCTTCTTACTAAATAAATGTCATGTTTCCCTGACAGCCCCCTCCAATCCAGGCCTAGCCTATTCCCTAAGTGTCCATGTTACAAAATTACTTTCTCTTCTCTTGCTAAACGTGTCCTTATAGAATATAGCAACAGAGTCTAATAATCATCAGCATCAACAGTGTCTAATAATCATACTGGCAATACAAATAGCCAGTAGCCGGTAACAACCCTTCATTCTCCCAGTTGTTTCTTTTTTTCTTTTTTTGAGATGGAGTCTCACTCCGTTGCCCAGGCTAGAGTGCACTGCAACCTCCACCTCCCAGGTCCAAGCAATTCTCCTGCCTCAGCCTCCCGAGTAGCTGGTATTACAGGCACATGCCACCAAGCCCAGCTAATTTCTGTATTTTTAGTAGAGATAGGGTTTTGCCATGTTGGCAAGGCTGGTCTCGAACTCCTGACCTCAAGTGATCCGCCCGCCTTGGCCTCCCAAAGTGTTATGATTACAGGCATCAGCTACCGTGCCCAGCTGGTTGTTCTTTAAAGACGAATGTTTCAATTAATTACATTAACTCAAATTAATCTCTCACTGGTAAAGCCTCAAATTGCATGGAGTATGTACAATATTGTCAACACCCACCCACCCCTACGCTTCAGTTACTTTTTAAAGATTAGAGGAGGAGTGGACACTTCTGAGGCAGGTCAACCTTGCCTAGGATTCTGATTTTTAAAGCAAAACTTCTCAAGCGTGACTTGTTAAAATGCAGCCTCTGAGTCAGTAGGATTGGAGTGGAGCCTGAGAATCTGCATTTCTAACAAACTTCTAAGTGATGGTGACACTGCCACCTGCAGACCACACTTTAAGTGGCAATTCTCTAAACTATTCCATTTTTTTTCCCTGCTTGTTAATATTTCCACTTCCAAAGCTACAGATTTTCCACATGAATGAAGGTCTGAGGTGTGTTTTCAAAATAACTCAGGTCAGCAAGATCTGTAAGAAGGGACTTGGACTGTGGGAGCGGGGAAGCAAAGGGAAGGATGATATACATATATGGGTTACCTAAGCCAAGCCTACAGGTGTTCAAGCAAGAATTACAGAAAGCCAGTGTTGTTGAGATTTTTCCTACATTTATCTGCCTCGTCCTCCTAGACAGCATTTAAGTTGCAAAATGTTTTTTAGCAGGCTAATGACAGGTTACATCCACTACACTATATCGTGATGGAAGAAGCAACAATTCTTTTTCAAGGAGAGGAGGTGATATGGTACTTCCCATCAGAGCCAGATGTGAAGAAGGAAGACAAAGAATGGTTTTATTTTCTATCGCAGGTCACTGAACCTGTGTGTGTGTGTGTGTGCGTGTGTGTGTGTGTGTGTGTGTGTGTGTGTAAATAAGTGAAACTAGCCAAGAAAATTGTAAAAAGGAAGAATAATATAAGAGGAGCTGCCCCGCCTTAAATAAAAGAACATGTTACGGGTGCCAAAATGTAGAGACAACTAAACAGAACAAACTAGAGGGACCAGAAACAGAACCAAGTTTCTGTAAGAAGTTAGACTTTAATAAGAGTGTTATATATTTTAAAAATGGGGACAACTGTCTCACCACTTTGGCAGAGGGGCTACCTCTGCGGCAAAAGGAGGGAAATGCAACTGGGGAGGAACACCCACGAAGTTTAGGAGGATAGATTATAGTTTATTCCTGAATCACCTGGTGGGTTCACAGGTGCTAAATATCTCATTCTTTATATATCTAGAATATTCATAATATATTTAAAAAATAAAAAATGTAATAAAAAGTATAGGGGTACTGAAACAAAATTAAGTATGTTTTATGATCTTGAGATAGAGGTTATTTACATATGTCATTAAATAGTCATAACAAAAATTTTAAATGTAGGTGGTAAGAAAGTTCATAAACAGAGGTAAAAGACAAATGAAAAGTTGAGGAAATATTATAACATGATGAAAGGTTAACATCCTGAATATATAAATAATCCATATGAGAGAACAAGTAGTTAACCAAGAAGTATATATAGTATGAAGAAAAAAAAATAAGGCTGTTACCTCTGGGGCGGGG
Source organism: Homo sapiens (assembly GCF_000001405.40). NCBI lineage: Eukaryota > Metazoa > Chordata > Mammalia > Primates > Hominidae > Homo > Homo sapiens. The sequence continues at coordinate 196,469,839 of NC_000002.12, forward strand.
GACTAATTGGAGGTCATAAAAGTAAAAAATATATGGATGACTTTTTATAAGGGAAATTGACTTTTTTTTACAATGAATCCAAAAAAAATTCAAGTTCACCTTACAAGAATTTCTAGAATAAAACTTAATTATCAGAAAAATTCTAGTTAAAACTTTCTTTAAAAAAATTTCCCATTCTATCTATAAAAATAATATACATATTCACTATAAAAGAATGATCAGAAAAGACAAGGATCACAGAAAAAAATTCGCATAAGCAAAATAAAAATTTATATTCTGTTTTATAACACAGCCAAGTAACAGAGATACCAGGCAAATAAACAACAACAATAATGACAACAAAACCTTACTATACTTCTAGTATGCTACTTATTCATCTGGACAAGCATCAATTGCAGTGAGCCAGTTTCTGACCACTATACTCCAACCTGGGTGATGGAGCAAGACCTTGTCTCCAAAAAAAAAAAGGATACAATTTTGAGTTTCCCAATAAAATATATTAAGTAAATAAATGGGTCATAGTAAGGCTGATTTGTTAACACTGCTAAATTTAGGGATATTTTGCAAATGAGTAAGGATTAGTCCTAAATAATATTGCTTTATGCATATTAGTACTTTGTGGATGCTAAACTTTATTTTTTCTGTTTATCTTCGTCTCTTGCTTTCATATTGAAGTTGTGTTTTGGAGTTTTGTTTTGTTTTCAGAAAATGTCCAATGATTCTTGGTTGCCCATTCAATTTTTTAAATGAGGCATAAAAAACTAAGCAAGATTGAAGAAAATAATTTTACATTAGATGAGTAAGATAGGGAAGCACTTATTCTGCCATAACTAATACTTATTATCCAGTCAAAGCAATTTAGATTATTAGTACATGACCAAAAAATAGAGTGTGGAGAAATAGACCCATTGATATATGGAAGCTTTATATATGAAAGTTCTGTTCATTAAAAGACAACATTTTTTAAAAGTGAAGACAGGTCGCAGGCATCTATAATAGATAACTGGTTAGTATCCTGAATATATATAGAATGTATAAAACTCAGAAAGAAAAAAAGAAAACAGCAAAATATATGAATAAGCAAGTTACAGAAAATAAAATCAAAAAAGCCAATAAACAGTTTACAAAAAAATAAAGCCACAATGCGATATTATTTCACATCCACCAAATTGGCAAAAAAAAAAAAAAGTCTGACAATACCAAGTGTAAACAAGGACAAGGAGCAAGGGAGATTCATATGGACAATGGTGGGAGTATCTCATGAATGCAATAAAGTACACATCTTACAATTTAGCAATTCTACTCCTAAGTATATTCTAAGAAAACATCAACAAATTTTTATTTTTAAAATCCCTAGCAGGATTATTTGGAATAGAAAAAACAACATCACTAATCAATAGATAAATGCAAATCAAAACTACAGTGAGATACCATCTCATACCAGTCAGAATGGCTATTATTAAGAAATCAAAATTAACCGATGCTGGCAAGGTTGCAGAGAAAATGGAACACTTATACACTGCTGGTGGGAGTGTAAGTTAATTCATCCTTTGTGGAAAGCAGTGTGGTGATTCCTCAAAGAACTTAAAACAGAATTATCATTTGACCCAGCAATCCTATTATTGGATATATACATAAAGGAATATAAATTGTTCTGTCATAAAGACACATGCACATATATGTTCACTGCAGCACTACCCACAAAAGCAAAGACATAGAATTAACCTAAATGCCCATCAACAGTAGACTGGATGAAGAAAATGTTATACATATACACCATGGAATACTAGGCAGCCATATAAAAGAATGAGATTATGTTCTTTGCAGCAACATTGATGGACCTGGAGGCCATTATCCTAAGTGAATTGATGCAGGAACAGAAAACCAAATACTACATGTTCTCACTTACAAGTAGGGGCTAAACAATGAGAACACATGGACACTAAGAGGGGAACAAGGGACACTGGGACCTACTTGACAGTGGAAGAAAGGAGGAGGGAGAGGATCAGAAAAAACAACTACCGGGTACTAAGTATAATATCTGGGTGATGAAATAATCTGTACACCAAACCCCCATGGCACACAGCTTACCTATAAAACAAACCTGCATGTGTAGCCCTGAACCTAAAACAAAAGTTTAAAAAAAAAAAAAAAAGAAAAGCAAGAGAGAACCTAAAAGTCACTTATAGACGAATGGATATACTGTGGCATTCTCAAACTTTAGAGAATGCAGCTGTGGGAATGAATGAACTAGATTTACCCATAATCAACCACATTTAGAGGGCGAAAAAAAAATAGTTGTAGTCAAATGTATGCTATATATTGTATGTAGGTACTGCATAAAGTTTAAAACGTTCAAAACAGGCTGGGTGTGGTGGCTCATGCCTGTAATCCCAGCACTTTGGGAGGCCAAGACAGGAGGATCACTTGAGGTCAGGAGTTCAATACCAGCCTGGCCAACATGGAGAAACCCTGTCTCTACTAAAAATACAAAAATTTGGGGGTGGTCAGGGGCGGGGGGCGCCTGTAATCCCAGCTACTCGAGAGGCTGAGGTGGGAGAACCACTTGAACCTGAGAGGTGGAGGCTGCAGTGGGCTGAGATTGCACCACTGCACTCCAGCCTGGGTGACAGAGACTCCGTCAAAAAAAAAAAAAAAAAAAAAAAGTGAAATAGTAACTCACTGTTTAGGACCCAAACATAGGTCTATAGTTACATGGAAATTTAAAAAGGCAGATCAGAATAGTGGATCTCTGTAGGAGGAAGATGACTTTTTTTTCTTTTTCTTTTTCTTTTTTTTTGAGATGGAGTTTCACTCTGGTTGCCCAGGCTGGAGTGCAATGGCGCGATTTCAGCTCACTGCAACTTCCACCTCCCGGGCTCAATCGATTCTCCTGCCTCACCCTCCCAAGTAGCTGAGATTACAGGCATGCATCACCACATCCAGCTAATTTTGTATTTTTAGTAGAGACGGGGTTTCGCCATGTTGGCCAGGCTGGTTCCGAACCCCTGATCTCAAGTGATCCACCCGCCTTGGCCTCCCAAAGTGCTGGGATTCCGGGCCGGAGCCACCGCACTCAGCTGGAAGGTAACTTTTTTAAGGTGGTGGATTAAAACATGCACATTTGTCATATTACATTTTATACTTTTGTATGTCTTAAATATTTCATAATGAAATTGTAGAATCTTGTCCTGGTTAATTGGTTACCACACTCCCATAATAGATAACTGAAACAGATAACTGATAGCAATTGATCGTGACCAGAAGTTGTACTCAAGACACATTTATTCTGAAGTTTACTAAAAACCACATTTTTCAAAAATCAAACTAGGATAAGTGTGATAGCTCCAAAAGAACCATTTGCATGTACTGAATAATGTTTTGTTTTCTAAATCAGTAGCTTCCAAAGTGGAGTGCATTGGGCCACAAGAAGAAAATATTGGAACTATGTGTTTTTCCATAAAATCCTTTCAATTTCTAGGTTTCATCTGTTATAGAAAATACATAACAGACACAAATCTAAATTAATTTATATAATATATTCCTGCACAGTGGTATGTCATGTCATTTATAAATCATTTTTTACTGATCAAAGTGCAAGGTCTAAAAAGTTTAAAAACCACTGTTAGGGATGACCATTAATGGACTTTCTAAACCACCTGTCCAAGTAACCTACATCCAGACCCTGAAAGTTAAAAATAGAGATTATACAGGAGGACTGGATTTTTTTTAGAGATAATTTATTAGTCAAAAAATATCTTGAACTAGATGACTAAAACTACAGTCTGAAAATAGCCTATGTCTGCCAACTTTCTACAGACCAAATTTCATATCAGGCTTCAAGACAAAGGTTGACATAACTGCCAACCAGTGCAGTAACAGGTCTGGCCTTATTCGTGTTGGATGCTTTGCTTGAAAAAGATAATAAATCACTTGAAAAGCCCACGTGGGAACAGGACACAATCTAGGAAACTGAATGCCACTCTGTAACACAAGTGCTAAATTAACATTCTCCAACTGCTTCCAGCTATTGATATTCATTTTGGAACAGGCAGGACATATTTAGAAAATGGCACATCACCAGAAAATGTGAGTGAGAGTGTGGGCTTTTGCCTGATACAATGCAGCGAGAATTTTTCTAGAACCAACTTCAGGAGGCAGAAAAGAAAACTCTGTTTCACAAACCTTTTAGATTAGAGTGTAATCTTCCAATAAAATAAGTTATACGAAATCAAGTAGTATCATCTTACTATAAATAACTATTCAAAGAAGCAGTATTTTAAAATAAACTCCTCCTCTTGGCCTTCAAGCTAGTGATCTTGGTTACTGCCAATAGCATTCATAATAAACAGGATATAGTTTTGTCAAATGTTTAGCAAAGTATTATAAATATGCTTTTGGTGAAAATAAGTATTCAATATCTTTTGGGGACAATGAGAGGACTATTCACATGTACCACTTATCAATTTAACAATGAGCAGATAATGTAAGAAAGTGCACATCAGCCAGCTACCATAATGGCTTGCATTTTGGCAGAAGTAGAAATGGAGGTGGGTGGATACCACAAATATCATTAGTCATAAATTGAGAGACATTAATATATTTATTAGGATAGTGTGCATTTTACCTTAATAATAATGATGTTCTCCCACCAGGCAGGCAAAAGAAAGCCTTCTCAAAGAATTCTTCACAAACATTCATTTGGACACCAGCTCAGAAAATCTCACTAAAGGTCACAGGCCTTTAGTAGACACAGACATCTATTTTGTACCTTGCTGTAAGGAAGCTACATAGCTCTATATGTGCAAAGCTTATATAGAAAGCTATCTGTCATTTCATATCTGACAATGGAAGCAATTCTCATTCTATCTCCATTGCCATCTTTTTTTAGGATTGATTCCTACAAGGTACAGCATGGAATGTTATAATTTCATACCAGGGTAGGTAAGTTTTTGATAAAAGCACTTGCTGAGATTTCTAATTTCTTCCCTCAAGGGCATGAAACTAAGCAAATTAATCACTCTAACATCTAGACTCTTAAGGCAGAGGCCCATTTATTAGAATATGTTCAATAGCAGAAGACATGCTATGTATCATCACACGCCCGCACCTGATCCTCAACTCTCTGGGCCCAGCGAGCAGCATCGTTACAGACGCTTAACACAGTTTAACGAATTTCTCTGATACACCAACAGTGGCTTGGTCCATGGTTCCACGGCTCTGCCTCCCAGGGACCATCAACAACCAAAGGCCCTTTCTCAGTGGTTTTCTTTGAGATGTTCAGAAGACACCCACACACACCTAACACTGCCCCCACCCACCTGGTTCTGTACCCTTATAGAGTTGAACAGTTCTCCCTTCCAGCCAAGGGCAGAAATGAGGAACCTGCCAGATCGGAGAGTTCCCAAATCTAATCACCATTTATGCTAGAATTCCTTCAGCTGCAAATAATGGTAGGGAAGGAGAAGGGAGTGGGGAGAATAAAGGAGATGGGGGGAGAGGGAGGGAGGGGATGCGCAAAGGGAAGAGGGGAGATAGGAAGATGAGGAGGGAGAAAGAGAGTGAAGGGAGGGGAGGGGAGAGAGACGAGGGGAGGGAAAAAAGGAGGGCGGCTCACATAACTGAAAAATTGAGGAGTGGGTCTCCTACCTTCAGACATAGCCAGATCCAGGGGATATTATCAGAACTTCACCTCTTTTTCCCGATTTCTAACCTCTGCTTTTCTCTGCATGATCCCCACTTACTAGCAGGGTCTCATCTTAGCAGTGACAAGATATCTGCCAGCAGCACCAGGCCTACATCTTCCCAGCTTTAAATTCAGTGAAAAGACAGGATCTCTTTCTAAAGCACTGCAATAAAATTTCCAGAATGAAAACTCATCAGCTTAATTGGCCTCTGTTGGTTATCTGCCCATTTGTGAACCAATCACTGTGGTCTGAGAGGTGCAAGGACTCCTCTGATTGGCCTGGCCTGGGCCATTTGCCCACTTCCGGCATCAGAAGGAAGGACAGTTTCAAAAGGCAAACTGGGTGTTGCTACAGGAGAGCATTCAGGCAAACCACAGCCAATCTCAGGACTCTCCTTGTTCTGCCTTGTCTTCAAATCCTCTTGCACATTTTTCCAGCCTCGGACCCGCTGTGCCTCACCATGTTCATCTAGCATAGGACCCTCAATACATTTCTCTGACACAGGGAAAACCCATTTGGTGTAGTGAATGACCCTAGAGTCAAACAGCCTGGGTTCTAATTCTGGCTCTATCATTTTAGCAAGCTGTATAATCTCTCCGTGCCTCAGTTTCCTCATCAAAAAAAAAAAGGCAGGTGGGCTGGGAGCAGTGGCTCATGCCTGTAATCCCAGCATTTTGGGAGGCCTAGGTGGGCAGATCACCTGAGGTCAGGAGTTTGAGACCAGCCTGGCCAACATGGCAAAACCCCATCTCTACTGAAAATACAAAACTTAGCCGGGTGTGGTGGCGCATGCCTGTGGTCCCAGCTATTAGGTCGCTGAGGCACTAGAATCACTTGAACCCAGGAGGCAAAGGTTGCAATAAACCGGGATTGTGCCACTGCACTCCAGCCTGGATGACAAAGCGAGACTCCATCTCAAAAAAAAAAAAAAAAGGCAGGCGACAATGGCACATCTATCAAGTTGTTGGGGCAAAAAATAAGATGACACAGGCAAAGTGCTTAAAACAGTGCCCAGCAGAAAGTTATCTCTCAATAAATGTTAGGAATTAAGTCTTCTAACAGAGTCATTTTGAAAAAGTTCAGTTAATAACTATCAAGTAGATTTTTTTTAATCCACAAGACATTAAACATCTAACAATCTAAAAAGATTATAGTTAATTTACATTTTGTCCAAAGCTCTCACTGGTTTTATATTGTGACAATTATCTAATTTGGTTACTGATAAATTCAGAAAAGAAGGGAGCTTAAAATTTGGGGTACACAGAACAGTGGAATTCTGAACTGTAAAAGATTGAGGTTTTTCAGCTGGGTGCAATGGCTCATGCCTGTAATTCCAGCAGTTTAGGAGGCCAAGGCAGGAGGATCACTTGAGGCCAGGAGTTCAAAACCAGACCTGGCAACATGACAAGACCCCATCTCCACAAAAAAAAAAAAAAAAAAAAAAAAAAAAGGAAAACAACTTTAAAAATTAGCCAGGCGTGGTGGCACACACCTGTAATCCTAGCTACTTGGGAGGCTGAGGTGAGAGGATCACTTGAGCCCAGGAGTTTGAGGTTAACAGGAGCTGTGATTACACCACTGCACTCCTGTGTAGGTGAGGTTTTTTCCCTGGAGGGAAAAGCGAAAAAAAAAAAAAAATTAGAAGTAATATCATGACCTCAACTTATTAAAAGAAAAAGCTAAATGAATACATGCAAATGAGAAATTGGCCATATTTAATATGTGGAAGAATGTTGTAATGAATATTTTTCCAGCAGTTGTCTAATAAAAATTTGGTCTATTCAATTCATCAAATTGCTGCCATTAAAAAACATCAAACTCAATCAAAATTCCTTTATTAAAGTTAGAAATTAATAGACCATTTGTATGAAATCTTACATGCTTTTTAAAATAAAGAAAACAGTTCTTCCAGGCAGTTCTCAGCTTTCAAGTGTTTCAGAAGGAAAAGTCTAAATGGGATACATAATGCATTTTTCCTCAAAATCCCTTCAACTGTCACAGGGGATTTCATTTTCAATAGAGCCATAATTTCACACAAAGTCTATGCTATTAATTTATCTCCCTTTAATCCTTTTCAAATAATCACAAAAATCTGAATGAGTGCTACATATTTCTTTTACATGAAATCTGAATAAAACTGACAGAAACATTCCAAGCTCCCACTGGCAGGCTTGGAAGGAGGCTTGGAAAGAAGCGGGTACAAGGACCACCCCTGTCTTCTAGGAGTTAAACACCTCACAGAGAGGCTGGGTGCAGTGACTCACACCTGTAATCCCAGCATTTTGGGAGGCTGAGGCGGGTGGATCACCTGAGGTCAGGAGTTCGAGACCAGTCTGGCCAACATGGCGAAACCCCGTCTCTACTGAAAATACAAAAATTAGCCGAACATGGTGGCACGTGCCTGTAATTCCAGCTACTAGGGGGGCTGAGGCAGAAGGATCACTTGAACCTGGGAGGCGGAGGTTGCAGTGAGCCGAGATCATGCCACTGCACTCCAGCCTGGGCAACAGAGTGAGATTCTGTCTCAAAAAACAAACAAACATCCAAAAAACAAAACAAAAACAAACAAAAAAAAACTCACAGAGTACACAAGTCCCACTCATGAACCGTGTCTCTAAAGAAACTTAGACACTTGGTTGTGAGGCACAGAAACAGCAGAAAATTCAAAAGGAGAAATCAGAGTGTCACCACATCAGGAGTGGCTTCAGGCCAAGAAGGGACCTGATCTAGGCTCTGAGGAGCTGTAGGATTTGGACAGGCAGAAAGGAGAAGGAAAAACATCCCACTGAAGTCCCTGCTCAACTAACTCACAATGGTTCTTGTGACATTTCCACAGATGAGTCTCCTGGCTGCTGGTCTGTGATGGTATTACTACTTTTACTGTCCAGTGATATAAAAAGCAGGTTTCACATTGCCCAGTAGCTTTGCAGTCACTGTTATCTATCTAGTTCTTTAAGTTTAAACATTCTGTTACTTATACCCAACAAACTGAGTGGATTAAAACGGTATCTTGAACGGGAATAATTATTATTATCACTATTCATTTTAACTTCACTCTCAACAGTTACTTTTTACCTAATCCCCACAAACATTTTCATGAAGAACTTATCATTAAAAAAAGTATGTCAAAAGAGTCAGAGGAGACCCCCAACTCAGCAGAAGAAGCAATCCAGCCCTACAATGGAGGACAGGGCAGTTTAAGGCCCTAGAAAGCTACCTTCCTCTCTATGTCATGGGAATTTCTGTGCTGATGTGCATCCCCAAATAGAAACTCACCCACAGCACCAGTTAGAACAAGCAGGAGCCAGGGCTACAGCCAAGACAACCTCTATTTGTGGTACATAGAAGAGGGGTCATCTTACGGCAAACTTGATGATTACTGGGTTTTATCCCAAGAGAAAGAAGAGGCCAAGCGGCACTCATTAGGACCCCACTTTGTGAAGAGCAACACAGCCAATGTGAGGGCCAACAAGAGGGGTACATAATTCAGAACAATACAGTAGAGCATCAGCTCACTCCACTGGGATGCAAAGTTTCCCTCTCCTTTTCCAATGTAATGGATAAAGAAGAAGTGGTGCAGAAAATTGATCACTGCGAGCACATACAAGTTGATGGCAAAATAAGAAAGTGAACCCAGGGCCTTTCACACCACTTCTAACTCTATCTCAGCCACACATCTTCTCCTTCTCTCCCAAAAGGAAATTTTTTATCTAAAACCCCCAAAGTACCTTTGGCACTTGGCATAATATTCATCATTCTGTTATAGACATAAAAACAACAAGGAGCAATAATTTATGTTTGGCAGCAAGATTGCATGCTCTTTCACTGCCAAGGTCCTGAGGCTTTCATCAGTAAGGAGTTTCCAATCTCCAGAACAAGAAGTGCTACTGGCATTTGGGTGGAACAGTTCTTCCTTGTGCAGGGATGTGTCCAGTATTGCAGAACAGTGTTCACTAAATTCCAGTAGCCATTCCCAGTCACAATCAAGATTGCCCCACCACATTTCCCAGGCTGCCTCTAATTGTGAATCACTGGATCACTGGACCACAGCTATGCATTCTGTCTCATTGGCTGAGTCTCCACTCAATGCTTAACCAAGCACATTACACTGTGTTAACACAGTACTCAATATTTCCAAGGACAAATTCAGGATCTCTCTCCTCTCCCTCCACCAGCAACCTCTCCAGATCTCCTTATTTCTATAATAGAACCCTGACCCAAGAGCTCTGAGTTATCTTTGACTCTTCCTACCAGCCCCAATTTTCTTTTCCATCTTGCCCTGATTTTCTACTCCTGTTACCATCCTCTTGCCTGAAGAACTCTTAGCTTGTCTCTTAAATGGTCTCCCTCCTTCAGAGCATCCTGAAACTACTTCTACTGTCTTCAACTCTATTTATGCATTATTCATGCTTAGAAATATTTAAAGGACTCTCTATTGCCTAGTAAATTAAATGCTTTGACCTAGAATTTGAGAATTTTTATAACATGACTCCATTGTCTTTCCTGGCACACCACTGCCACTCCCCCCAAAATACCTATTCTCCAATCTGTATATTCTTCCCCAACCAGGTTCCAATCTCAGCCATATGTTTTCCCCATCACTTCCAATTAAAAAACAAAAAAAAAGGTGTCTGTCTGAAATATCTTTCCACACTCCTACTCAAATCACATCAGTTTGGGGGGTCCCTCTCGTGTAGCTTTGCCAACTTCTTTAATATAAGATTTCTTTCTCCTTTTATCTGCCCTTCCACACACAGTTTATACTTGGTTATCCTAACATACTTCTCTTTGTGCTCATTTATCCGCTGTAGTGAAAAAACATCCTGAGGTTGTTTGCCACGTGGTGAGACAACCTGACTTCTATTTAGGGATCCCTTTCCCCCCAACTCTCAGTCCATTAAAATTGGGCGAGGCCTCCCTCAAGGCCCCAAGGGTAGAGAAGAGGATCCCAGCCTAGGACAGGTAGCATATTCCATCCCCCAGCCACAGTGATGGGTTCTTGGATGTGGACATTGTACAAGTCAACAAGACAGTGCTGGGACAGAACTCAGTCCGTGAGTTTTCTTCAAGAACTGGGAAGAGCACTGAATAGGGAGGATGGAGAGCTGGATCCACTGCAGGACACAGAGCTGAAAGGTGAGAGACCTTGTCTTGGCAACAATGCCACGCAAAACCTAGTCTTATACTTGAAATTTTCAGTGACGTGAGTAAAAAATATTCTCTTCTTGCTTAAGGTCCCTCACAATCACAGAGTCCTGCTACACCATCCTTTCTATTGTCTACTGGCTAGTTAAGCAGAATGTCTGATCCTGACTCATGTTTCCCTCTGTGCATAGCTCAACTGAGTTACTGTACATGAGACACATGTAGATAGACATACATGCATTGTACTTGTTAAGTACTGGTACTCAAGAAATATTTTTGACATGAATTAGAGAATAGATAGTTTAATTGTGAGGAAAAAGAGGAGTTAATTTTAGCCCTTTGCAGTCTCTTTAGTCATCACCTTATCACTTGTAGTCAGTAGACACTGAAAAGCTTTCATTAGCAAGTTTCAAGAAGGCTTTGGATTCACAATTAAACTCTTCTGTGAAAACCCATGCCTGCTTTCAGGACTGCTTAAGTACTAGTGGCATATGGTAAAGCAGGTGTTTGGCAGCCAATGTTTTTTAAAAGATCTTTTGAAGACCACAAACTTGTTTATCTTTCTAAAATTAGGTGGAATGTCACAATTTTAGCTTGGCCTCCCCAACCCTTTCAATTACATATTAATTTCATCCTTTTTAGGAGCCATAGGCTTATAGGTGCTGCCAAAAGAGATACAGTTATGCTTGTATTGTTCTAGGCGAAAGTAAGCTTCACAGTTGCTATTTGTGCCCTAGAGCATAAATGCTTTGGAAAAATAAGCACATATGTGCTCTGCCACATTGCAATATTGTGGACTCATTCACAGTGGAAACCACCGGCAGACCATCTCCCTAGAGATCTCACAGAGTATTGCTCATTCTGGGATTAACTGACCATGGTTCAAGCCCTCAGGCTTGCAAGCTCAAAAACATATTGTGGCATTCCTCCAAACTGAATATATCTTCAAAGACGGACTTTCATAAAACAAGCTTACAGACCAAAACAGAAATTCAAAATGTGAGTTTAATTTACAATAAAAAATAACTATCACAAGAATCAGAAAACTTAAAGTTCCCCTAATCACTACATTCTCTCCTGTAGCTAAGCTATATGGAAGACAAACCATGGTCATTAAGATTGCTTGGGTGAACACTGAAATCAGATAAAAAGGGACTTACATGCTCTTACCAAAGGTATTTCAGATGAGACACCTTAAGAGACTGTTCCCATAAAAATCCAAGAAAATTGACCACCACTCCCATCCCATGGAAAGAACTACCTGCACAATGTCCAAGTTCTCACTTTTTCTGTATGCCTTCTAACTACCTTCTCTTCAGGGTGGGATACATAATTTGCAGGGCTTAATCCAAAATAAAAATGTGAGTTTCCTTGCTGAAAAAAATAGGATGAAAGTGCCATTAAAGGCACCAAAGTATAAATTTTTTCCTTTCTTCTGTGTCTCTCTTTCAACCTCTCATGGTGCTTTTAAATTGCTATTAATATCAAACTCCCTTGAGCACAGGGATACTCACAGGGCCAATATGGACCCTCATAGGCATGCAAGGGCCTTGTCCCATGATCAAGGGCATAAGTGTGCAACCCATCAGCTATAGGGCTCCCCCTTCTGCAAGTTATTGGACTGACGGTGCCAACCCAGAGGTGGCGGGCCTGAGCCAGGCATCTCCCCTTGCAAAGGAGCATGCTGCCCTGCTCATGGTGGACAGGCAACTCCAAGGGATTACAACCTCTGTGCTGGGATGCACTCAGCACCTGAATCAGGAATGAGTGGGAGGCTTGCCACTGTTGCTTGCTGAAAGAATGATGGCACTGCCAGCTGGGAGTGGGGACAGCCAGCACCATGCCTACAAGATACCACAGGGTATTCATAGCAGACATTGACCCTCCTGCTCCCAGACTCCAACTAGGGACAGAGGGTAATAGTGGTTGCTTGATGGTGGTGTCAAAGGGAGGCCAGGAGAGACAAGGGTACCAGGGGGCAGGGGAGCTGGCTGCTGAGCATCTGTCCTGGGAGGCAAGGAGGTGACAGAAGGCAGAGCTCCATGCTGCTGACGCATGCTCCACTGTCCTATTGGACTTCACTTACAAAATCACAAATTCAAGAATAAAATCACTAAGAATTCAAGATAGCAACCACAGAGCACTGAGCCCCAAATGCAGAGCCTTTCTGAGTGGGATGCCCTATGTGACTCACTGGTTACACATCGCAACACCAGCTCCACTTCTCTGACTTTTTGTTTCCTTCTCAGTGTCCTTGGGTGTGACACAACTCTAACATGCAAATATAGTCCAGTTTTGCCAACAGCTACAACTCGTTGGCTTACCTCGAGAAAACTAAGGTGTCCCTTTAATGAACAAATTATTTTCAGACTAGTATTTTAAAAGCTAAGCAACATCCACAATGTGTGTTGATTTCATAGTTGTAAAAAAAAAAAAAAAAAAAAGCACCCTCATTTATCGTGTTTCCAACCCTGGTGGTAGCCTCCAAATACTGACAACATAGACAACTTGACAAGCATAACAATAATATGGGATTGAAACATGCCTTCATAATGCATTAATCTCTAATAATTTATTTACTCGATGGATATTTAATAAATCTTGTGTGTCTACATGCCAGGCATTATGCTAAGCTCCATGTTACAAAAATCAAGAATTATACAACTCCTTGAAGAATGAAGACTGCTCACTGAAATAGAGAAGACAGACACAAAAATTGACACTTTAGTTTGATAAGTGTGACAGAATCAATTGCCATGGAACACAAAGGGAAAACATCTAACCCTGCTGAGTGGGACAGGGAGGAGGTTTACCAGACCCTTCCCATTTAGTAGAAACATCTTTCTCAAGAAAACCGATAGTACCTTGGAGTTACAGTCCTTTTCCTACAAACTTTCAGAATCCAGTAAGTGAGAACACACCATCACCTCTAAAGTATAAGTCTTACCAAAAATATCAAACCCTAATTTGCTCATGCCTCCAGTTTCAACTACCAATTTACAAGAAATACAGGGGACAAGGAAACATATTAACCAAACCATAAGGGACACATTCAGCAAAATCCAAACTGTGGGAAATTATACTAGGAAAAATAACTCAATTTCTTTGAATCTTAAATTGCAATGTGGAGGAACACTTATTAAATAAAAAGAGACTTTAAAAATACATCAGCCACTTGCAAAGTGTGGACCTTCTGTGAAAGGTTTTTGAATCTTTTGAGGGGGAAAAAACATGACATTAATGAGACCAAGATATTTAATGAAATTAAGGAACCGTTCATTTTTAGATGTTATAACAGTGATGTATGTATGGTTAAAAAGGCAAGACAGAGTAATGGCTGAGGGTCCAGGCTTTGAAATCGTTTTCTGATTGGAAGTATCTCTTCTGAGACTGGGTAACAAAAATTTGGGTAAGTTTCCAGGTAAGTTTGGCTTTATGTCCTCTCTCTAAAATGGGAAATAATAATAGTTGTTGCTTCATTAAGTTGTTGGAGGTTTATAAGCTACAGCATGAAGAAGTGCTTAGTATAGTGCCTGGTTCACAGTGAGCACTCATTCCATGTATATTACTATTAAGATGTTTAGGAACTTTTTAAAACCTTGCTATTGATTCCACTCAGCTCAGTTACTCTAATATCTGAACTAGGTTACTCCTCTTGCAACTTCCATATACTGCACACTCATTAAGTGTTCAAAACTTAAGGTTTTTCTTTAGAATTTATGTTTAAAATGACTTTGCTCACAATCTCTCTCAGGTTGCTTACACAGCGTGATCCTGAAGGCTGCCCAGCACACCCTGAACCTGCAGGACTGCACTTAATGGGAGTTCACTATTCACTCTGCGGTCCCTCCTCACAGTCACCCTATTCTGCTCCTGCCCTCCCAGCAGCCAAATCCACAAATCCCTGTTCTTATCCTTCACTGCCCTATAGACTTAGATAATACCATCCCAGGAATCAAGGGGTCTCCAGAAAATGGCTCTTGTTCATCTCCTAAACTAAGTCTTTTTGGGTACAACCTATTTTGGTTCATACATTCACCCCCTAATACACCCCATGCCAGGCACCGCCCTCCCCAACCCCGGGGAGTGGCAAGTTCATACTTCATTCACTCCACATGCCAAATCACAGAGGACTCCGAATGTACAGGCAGGACTTTCAACTTCATCTTGAAAACTATGAAAGTGATGGAGGGATTCAAGCATGAAAGTTAAAGATTCAATGCGGTAAGCAACCCTCCGGCTGTACTTTGGGTAGGTAGCAAGATGAAACTGTTAGAGGTTCTGTTGCAGGATTCTAGGTCAAAAGTGAGGCAAGTCTGAATCAACCCAGTATGGTTGGAGAGCAGGGGAGAAGAGGACAGAGTTATCAGTCAGCAAGGAGGAAGGGCCAACAGGGCTGAGTGTGATTACTGAGAGGAGGAAAAGTCCAGAATAACTCCCCACTTTCTTAAGAGTGGGATCACAAGAGAAAGAGCCATTGGAGAAAAGAAAATATCAAAAAAAGAAGAGTTCTATTGGAGCACCGAGTGTGAGGTATCTGTGAAATACTGAAGTGGGGGTCTCCAGAAAGGTGTGGCTTAGAGAAGCTGAGTTGGGAGCATAGCACACAGCTGAAACCAGAAAAAGAAGAATATCAGGTCAAAGACAAAACATGGTAGAACATTGTCTTGGTCCGTTTTACTGCTATAACAAAATACCTAAGACTGGGTAATTTTAAAAGAACTGAAATTCATTTCTCACAGTTCTGGAGGCTGGACGACCAAGATCAAGGTCCCAGCAGGTTTGGTGTCTAGTGAGGGCAAGGTCTCTCTGCTTCCAAGATGGTGCCTTGTTGTGTCCTCACAGGTGGAGGTGGAAGGCAGGGGGATGAGACAGCAGAGACGGCTCTGCACCCTCATGACTTACCTCCTATAGGCCCCACCTCTTAACATTATCACATGGTGATTAAGTTTCAACACCAAATTTTGGGTGATATCCAGACCATAGTAAACATCAACACATAACAAGGGGACCGAGGAAGGCGTGTTTAGGAAAGCTACTGGGAAGGAACTGGCCAGAGACATGATCATAAGGAAAATAAGATGATGTATCACCATAAAAGCCAAGGCTTACAAAAGTAATTCGTAAAACAATAAAAATGAGGGTAAAGAAGAAAAATGTGATCAAAAGTGTGAGGGAGGAAGATATTTAGAAAAATAAAATGGAGACCCAGGCATGGTACCACGCATCTGTAGTCCCAGCAACTCAGGAGGTAGACACTTTCAAAACACAGGAAGCTATTCCCTGAATCAATTCAGAATTAGCTTGCATCATACATACCACACTATTCGTAACTCTTACCAATACCAAATATGGCACCTATAATTTCCCCACTATATCTCACAAAAATAGTGTGAGAAACATGGCAATTTTTGTGGGTTTTGTAAAGGGTCTGGTGATAGTCTAGATTGGGATACTGGCTACGTGGAACATGTCTGGTAGGAAAGTTATGAATAAGGAAGGAAGGAAGCTTAATAGAAGGGCAAAGAGCAATTCTAAACGTGAGAAAATGTTCTAGAAGTTCTAGCTGGAGCGTTTACATGGAGTCACAACATTTCTCTATGCAAACTAAATGGTATTTTCACAGCTCTCCAGAGCCTCCCTGCTGAGCTGCTTGCATGTTTCCTAACCTTGATGTCAGCCAGTGGGACTAGCAGTTACACAGAGCTTCTCATTATGTCAGTGAACAGGGAGGGTGGCCAAGCTTCACATGGTCACGCACTACAGATGCAACCCCCCTGGGCTCAGAGAAAAACTATGATTCTGGAAAACCCTCAAGCCCATGCATTATTCCAGCATTATACACAGGAGTGACCCTAACAGAAAAGACAAAGAAGTGGCAACACTGAGCCTCCTCTATGGGCCCGGGGTGTGGGTGGCAGCCCTCCCCTGGAAGAGACAGAAATGGGAAGAAGACACAGGGAATGAAGCTCCCTTAATTATTACTGCAAACTTGGACTATTTTTAGAGAGGTTTAATGAATAGAATGATATTTTAACCTAGTAACAAAGACTGGGACCCGGCATCCAAGGGAACTATTAAACAAGAATAGAAATCCTCAGTGTCCACCTCTTATCCATGTGATTCCAAATATAAGCTTAGATAATTTTAAGCAGCTTCACCTCTATTCACTAAAATTAGGAAAGCAGAGCTAATATTAAATCTTCAAACTAGGATTTAATGGAAAGCCGAGGCAGGAGGATCACTTGAGCCTAGGAGATTAAGACCAGCCTGGGCAACATAGTGAGACGCTGTCACTACAAAAAACTTTTTTAAAAATTAGCCAGGCATGAGCCAGGCATGGTGGCACACATCTGTAGTCCCAGCTACTTGGGAGGCTGCGGCAGGAGAATCGCTTGAACCCAGGAGACGGAGGTTGTGGTGAGCCAAGATCGCACCACTGCACTCCAGCCTGAGCAACAGATTGAGACTCTGCCTAAAAAAAAAAAAAAAAAATTAGCCAGGCATGGTGGCTTCCACCTGGAGTCCCAGCTACCAGGAGGCTGAGGTGGGAGGATCACTTGAGCCCAGGATGTTGAGGTGGCAGTCAGCCATGCTGTTGACACTGCACTTCAGCCTGTGTGACAGAGCAAGACCCTGTCTCAAAAACAAACAAGCAAAATAACAAGGACTTAAATAAACTTCTATTATTGCCCAAGTGGTGCCATGAGCTGTGGGTAATTATCGCTCCATCCCCAATCTCTGGATGATAATGCTCAAGTTAGATCATGAAGAAAGGCTCCCTGTTTATTTCTGGGAAAATGTAACCTTATCCAGACCTTGCTTACTAATGTTCCAATGTGCTGATGTTGAGACTTTACCCCTGCCATGGAACCACACCCCACTCTCCAGGGAAAGAAATTGGCCTATTTGGTCACAGCACCAGCAGAAGGGGTGCCTCGCATTACATCCCACACCGAGCAATGCTTTGTTAGATAATTTGACTCTGACACACACGGTCTTCTAAGAGAACAGCCAAAGACTGCATGGATTTAACCATCTCAAAACTGTAGTACTGACCCTAAATGCATGACTCAAACATTTTGATATAGTTGTTAAGATGAAATTTCCACATAAAAACAGCAATGCTATTAGATCAGCATATTTACTAGGCAGTATTCCCAAGGGTACAGTATCAATGACATCTGTCCAGAATGCAACATCTTTATAACAGGAGTCCTTAGGTCTTTCAGGACATTTCTATTTTTAAATTTGCTGGCTAATAAGAACAAACCTTAGTTAAAAATAACAAGAATAAAGCAAAGCTCTAGAACTACAAATTAACAGTTGAGATAGCTTCAAAGACTATGATGTTTTTGAAATTCCACTTACTGTGCTTCCTTTTTAAAATGAGAATCTGTATGTGTGTATTCCAAGATAGGGGATTATTCAGTAAGACTGTCATTACCACACTAAGCAATGGATCTACAAGCATAGAAGTCAGCTTGCTAATATTCTCCAAGGTGTCTATTATGATCCCATTTCTCAAAGGCGTATGGTAGGGAAGAGGACCATATCCTTCTTATATTCAAAACAACATAACATTTACTTCCCCTCTTACAATAAAAACCAGTAAGAGTTAAGATATATCACATTATATTTCTGACAAATATTTCCACCCACATGTAAATAGCTCTTTTAAAAGAGATCAAGACCAGAAAAAAGTCTCAAAGCATAGACACAAAACAGCAATTCTTTCTCTTTCTTCTTTATCTTTCTGAATTGACTAACTGAATGACAATGAGCTCTATTCCCTTTATGGTAAGCAGGGAAAATCATTAAAGTAATGTTACAGAAGGAGATGTAATGGCATGGAGAAATGTTTATTCCACTATACCACTATATCTTGTTAAAATAATAAAGAGCACATTTCAAAACAACATATACAATGAGATACTAATTTTATCATGAAGAATGAATACACACACACACACACACACACACACCCCACATAAAACATACCTGATTCCATAAAACTCTAAGGGGGAAAGGAATAAAATTTATCCAAAAAGTTATCTCTAAATGGCTGAATTCCTAATACAGTTTTTTTATTTTTACTTTTCCTACTTTTCTACAATGACCATGATTTTTAAGGTCAAAATAGGATCTAGCCTCACACAGGATATTGTAGAAACTAAATGAGATTATATCTGAGAAGAGCACAAAACTCAGTGCCTACACATAAGAAGCACTCTATAAACATTAACTTAAAAATTCCATGCATAAAATGCATACATAGAAGTAAGTTAAAAGCAAAGGGAAAAATATTACCTACACATACTATGCTATATTAAAATGTATATACTAACTAAAACAAAAAAGAGACTTGGGAGTAACACGAATAGAGTTAGTTACCTTTTGTTCTTGTAGTCTTATTTAAATTACAGAAAGAGGATCTCAAAAAACATGGAATTTACAGAGGTAATAAGTCCTTGGCATTGTTTTGCTTTGTTAATCAGAAGACAGCATGAGGTCATAAATTAGTAGGCTTATAGAAGCGTATACTGAACATATTTTTAAATAGTGCTTTGTTTTTATGCTAGACTAGAAACTGTGAGGAGGTTTTTCAAGGACTGAAAGAGAGAGAGATATATAACTCCCCTATTATAACAAAGCTATCATTTTCTGCAACAAAGTACTGTTTTTCTTCTAAGGTCCTCAAAGCTATTTATTCCCAAAGACACTATTATAATTCAGTGGTGTGCTGGAGGACACAGCTAAATTCAACAGGGACTAATGAGTGACCAGAAGAAAGACCAAAGAACCCACATCATGGTTCCACTCTATAATGAAAGTCCCACAGGGTTAACATACTCCAAATCCTTTCCTTCCAATCATTAAACTAAAAAATTCCAAAGAAAAACATCCCTGGCGTGTGAAGGAACAGACCACAAGCCTGTTTCAAATACTTACCCTTAACACACTCAAGTTTGCCATTTTAAGTCTGGGATGGCCCATCCACTTGGCCCCAGACTTGGGAAGTAGGTCTTTTACTAAGGAAATAACCCAAAGAGAAGTGGGAAGGCAGCAGCACAGCAAAAGGTAAAGAATGGGAATGCACTGTCCCCTACTTTCTTCTGTTCAGTGGATGACACTTTAGCCTCCATTATCATATCTGAGGTTACTCTGCAGAGAACACTACAGAGAGGGAAGTGCCAGGTGACCAAGAAGAATGTGGTCATTGAAGACTGGGGTGGCCAAGGGACCTAAACAGGTCTACAAAGTAAGAGGCAGAAACAAATTTCAAAGCCAAAGCTATCTGACTCCATATGGGAGCTCCTCCATACTGCATAATGTCCATGCCACTCTCCACTATGACCACTGCAAAGCAAGAGGAGATGTCAGAAGCCTTACCTTCCCACACTCAGCCACTGTGGGAGATGGCTAATGGACCCCCACCCCTCAAAAAACAACAGAGGTGCCCAATTGCCCGGCAAACTCCATTTGCCCTCTGGGCTTGGCCCTCCTTGGGAAGGATTTTATTTAACTACACTTGATAAGCTCTGAAAAACCAACAACTAAACCCAAATTAAACAAAACAACAACAAATTAAAAGAGGGGTTATTCAAAGGTTGTCCCTCTTTCCCTCCATTTTATTTTCTCTCCCTTTTTTGTTTCATCTTTCTCGTGAAATCAGCCACACTATCTGTCACCTGACAATGACAGGAGATATATCTGTGCACAAGCTAAACTCATTCACAAAGATGCTCTCATTTGATCCAAAATGAGACTTCAAAGACTCTAAAAAGTTATTCCAACAAGAAGAACCCTCACATACTGGTGAAAATGGTGGTGGAAATGCAAGACAGAAAAGTCACTCTGGAAAATAGGCAGTTTCTTAAGAAGTTAAACATACATTTACCATAAAGCCCAGCAATCCCACCCCTAGATATCTATCCAAGAGAAATAAAAACATATGTTCACCCACATAAAAACTTGTATATGAAAGTTCACAGCAGCATTATTTATAAGGCCAAAAAGTAAAAACCAACCCAAATGTCCATGAACTGGTGAATGATTAAACAAAATATGGTTTGTCCATAAAATGGAATACTATTCAGCCATATAAAGGAAGGAAGTAGTGATACATGCCACAACATGAATGAACCTCAAAAACATCATGCTAAGTGAAGAAAGCCAAAACCAAAATACCATATATTGTATGATTCTAGTTATAAGAAATATTTAGAAAAAGCAAATCTAGAAAGACAGAAAGTAGATTCGTAGTTGTTTGGGACTGGGGGTGGGAAAATAATTAACTGTAAAAGGTCATGAGCAATTTTACTGTGGTGATGAAAATGCTCTAAAACTGGATTTTAGTCATGCTTATACAACTCAGAGAATTTACTAAAAACTACCAAATCACGCACTCAAAATACATAAATTTTATGTTATATAAATCATACCACAATAAAGTTGTAAGAAAAGTGTGAGTACACAGACCATTTAAAAATAAGGTTTATTCCACTCCTACTATACTGAACAAACTTAAAATATAATGGAATGTTGGCGGGTGCAGTGGCTCACACCTGTAATCCTAGCACTTTGGGAGGCCAAGGTGGATGAATCAGATGGATCACTTGAGGCCAGGAGTTCAAGACCAGCCCTGCCAACACGGTGAAACCCCATGTCTAAAACAAATACAAAATCATATATATATACACACACACACACACACACACACACACACACACACACGTGTGTATGCATATATTGTGTGTATATACACACATATATACACACTTAGGTATATTAGGTGTGTGTATATATATATATACACATATATATATATACACACACACACACACACACACACATATACACACATATATATGTATATATGGATAAGCCTAAAATAATATATACACATAGATATGTGTGTATATATACATATATATTAGAATGTTAACATTTAAAATTAAAAAACAGAAAGTTTAAGCCTTCTGACTAATTTATTAACAAAGAGCTTTGTGTCTTTAAGGAAAGAAATCCAATCACACTTAATCAAAACTAGTTTTCAAGATGTTGTCAGATAGTTGATATAACTTAAAATAATAAAGATATCATTTGCAAATGGTCTCAAATCTAATCTCTTCCGTATTATAATTCTCTACATACTAGTACAATAATTAAAGAAAAAAAATTTATTTCCAAGTACATGATTGGCTTCTGAGATAAAGATAACAATTACAAAGCACTATAATTCCAGATCAGCTCTTCTAAGATTTCATTTAAAGTGAATATAATAGTGACAGAACAAAAAGAGAAACAATTTTGTAAAAATTTTTTTCAAATAAGTAAGTTATATCTCTGAATCTGAGTGAACACTTAAAATCTTGATTTAAACATAGTATACACCACCATTTAATGTTTAAAATAAAAATATACAATCTCTTACAAAACAATTTAACATAGTCAAAAATGTTGCAATGTAAATAGAGAAAAACAAAGGTTTATTTTTTAGAGTTACACTCCTCAGTACAAAACCTGCAGATTGTCACAGAATGCTCCAGGGACAAAGGGGACGCCACAGTGAGCAAACCAAGTGTCACTTTGTTACCCAACAGACATCAACATCTAGCCTGGACCGTCATCCAGACCATGGGTTCCCATGATGCCAGTCCACTAGACAGAGTTATGGTGACCTCCTGCCCCTCACTAAAAATCTCCAATGTAAGTTACTCCCACAAACCACAGGGAAAATGCCCAGTGCCATGTGGAATGCCCAAACCTGCAACAACTTATGGAAGAGTAAATAGGAAAAAAAATTCACATAGTCCATAAAGTGTCAGCCTGTTAAAGAACAGATTATCAAACTGAAGTTATTAAACTCTCCTGCAAATTCATCCTCAGTCAGAGGACAAAGGATTGTGGGGGAAAGGGGCGGGAGTGGAATCCTTATGAAATACTTGTTTCTTTCTGAGGTGTTAATTCAAAGATACCATTGTTATTACCAAAGTATTCTCTTTCCTGAATTTAAAAGAAAATTTGGGGGGAAAAAAACTGTACTCAAAAGAGTAATATCAGTAGTGGCAAGTAAGTGTTGTCACAGCTTTTACTGTCTTCATCAGCTTGAATTTTGCAAGACATACCTTTGAAGTAGTCAGAAAAACTGCTACTTTAACAAAAATTTCATAAACAAAATTCAACAGACTCATTTTTTTTGACAAAAACAACAAAGGCTTTTCAAGTTTGTGATGTTAGAGAACAGAGATGTTAACTTTAATAAACGTCTTGAGTCTTAAAAATAAATAGACAAAAACACTGCTGTAAAGTTATAGGGGGAATAGAATAGAGATGGCTGACTGAAATATGTACATTCAGGATATTTCAGAAGAATCTGCCTATTTCTAATAAGATCGAAATTGGATAACACAGGCTAGACATGGTGGCTCATGCCTGTAATCCGAGCACTTTGGGAGGCTGAGGTGGGAGAATCTCTTGAGGCCAGGAATTCAAGACCAGCCTGGATAACACAGCAAGACCTTATCTCTACAAAACATTTTAAAAATTAGCTGAGCATGGTAGCATCACCTGTAGTCCTAGCTATGAGGAAGGCTGAGGTGGAGAATCACTTGAGTCCAGGAGCTCAAGGCTGCAGTGAGATGTGACTGCACCATCGCACTCCAGATTGGGCAACAGGCTCAGAGACCCTGTACTGAGACCCTGTCAGAACAACAACAAAAAAGCACAGAAAAAAATTAGATGACATAAACAGAAACTCAGATATATCTTTGCCACTGATGAAAATACTTGTTTTTAACTATTGAGTCTGTCAGTGTATTAGATATTATCCATCTCTTTTTTTAAAGTATATTTTTTAAAGCAGTATGATGTAACTCTCACAGCAAACAAATTCAAAAATGAATAAGTAGACTGATTCACCACAAATTAAAAGTGATCAGTTTTTTAAAAAATTAGGTCTGTGTTTCTCTTCTTTGTCAAGGGCTTAATTGGTCATGATTTAAGCCAGAGACAGAAGAGAAATATTTCCCAGGTCCTCTGAATGCTTTTCAAAAAGCAAATTTGGGGCTGTAGGTGAGAGATTATAATCAGGTTTAAAGAATAGTCAACATTAGCTCCTAAATTTGGGGGAGGAGGGAGAAGCCTTTTATGCTATTGGAAACTGGCTTCCCAATATAAGCATCTACTGAGTGACTATTCAGTGGTTACCTGCACAGTGCTAGACTACAAAGATGAGGTGTTCAAAATCTAAGAGATAAAACAGTCATATAAGTAGATACACTACAATTCAACTTTAAGGATAAATTGCGCTAGAAACAAAAAGGGTGTGACTAACCTGCTCCAAGGATTCAGTAATGTCTCACAGACGTCATGGCTTTGAGTTCAGTATTGAAGAATTAGTAGGAATTCACCAGTAAGGAGAGGCATTCCAAGAGAAAGGAATCCCGAGCATAGGGGAATGAAAGTCTGAGAGCAGGACTTGTTCAGGAAAATGTTTCTGTGATGCCAAGAGTGTAGCAGTGGGAGCTGAAGCTGGACAGAGAGTTGGAATCTAAATCATAAAGCAACATGTATGTCAAGCTGATATGCTGGCGGGGGCTGGGAAGAGCCCTGAAAAGTAATTTCCAGCCACAAAGTGATATGACCAGACCATCATATTAAGAAGAGCATTCTAGTAGCATTGTGGAGGATGATACCGAAAGGAGAAAACCTGAAAACAATTACAATGGCCCCAGGTAACAGGGAAGATGATACAGATTCAAGAGATATTTTCAAGGGGTAGAATTTCCAGACTTTAGTATTTAATCAGATGGGGAGAAGGCAGGGAGAGGGACAGTTACAGAAGGGAGAAGTTTAGGAAGGTTCCCAGATTCCTCCAGCCAACTGGGTGGATGGTACTACCATTTACAAAAACAGAGCACATAGGGAAGGCATGACAATTGAGGGTGGATAGTTGTGTTCAAGATACTTGTAAAACTTAACATGCAGATAAAAAACTGAATATATGAAATCCAAGAGTCTAAGACTACTGAAACTTCCCAAGACATTTTCTTCATGTATAACTCTTTAGGTGACTATTATGCAGGTTCAGGCTTAATCACTTGACAGATCTTTATTGCCAGCTTCCCAGACGCAAGGTATTCCACTGAGCATTTGATGAGGCTGCTGTACATGGTGAAAAGAGCTCCAAACTTGAAGTCAAGATTCTCTTATTACAAATCCAGGCTGCACCTACTCTGTAGTCTCCAACAATCATTGACCTACTCTGTTCCTCTGCAAAATGCAGATTTCTTCTACCCAGCACTGCTGAGAGTGTTAAATAACTCTCAGGAATGGCGTGATACCAGGCACCTTGTATGTGATCCATAAAAGTTGGTAAAATGTAACATATATCATTCTTTTTTTTTTTTTTGAGATGGAGTCTCGCCTTGTCACCCAGGTGGAGTGCAATGGCGTGATCTTGGCTCACTGCAACCTCCACCTCCCAGGTTCAAACGATTCTCCTCACTCAGCCTCCCAAGTAACTGGGATTACAAGCGTACGCCACCACGCCCAGCTAATTTTTGTATTTTTAGTAGAGATGGGGTTTCACCATGTTCGCCAGGCTGGTCTCAATCTCCCGATCTCGTGATCTGTCCACCTCGGCCTCCCAAAGTGCTGGGATTACAGGCGTGAGCCACCACGCCCTGTCATCACTCTTTATACTAGAAACCCTGTGAGCTGGGGGAGAGGAGGAGGATGAGATATGTAACATAAAAATACCATAATATACTGTGAAAGATGATGGATAGCTCTAAAAAAGATATAGAGTGATGAGTGGTCAGAGAAAGAGAGACCACCAATAGGAAAGATCTAGGGAAGAACTTCTATATAAACAGCCTGCAGAATGAGTGGGATTTAGACATGCAGAGACAGAGACAAAAGGGCATTCCATGCGGTGGGAAAAGGCCAGACAGCATGTGCAAAGGCTTCTGCTCAGAGAGCCTGCCTTTATGTTAGGACTCTGACACTCACTAGCTGTATGACTTTGGACAAAATAATGAATCCAAATGAGAATAATTGCAACTACCTTTCGGTCACCATTAGGATTCTATGAGATAATATATGTAAGACTCTTAGCACAGGGCACAGGCAGCTGGCATCATATTTAGCAGATATACAGAGACAGAAAACTGGGGAAGGTGAATTTGCAGTGTATAGTTCATGATGGTGAGCAGTGGGCGGAAAGTATAAAATAGACTGTAGAGGTTAAAAAAAGCAAAGAAGACTTTGGACTTCATTCTACATGCAAGAGATGCCACTGAAGGTTTTAGAACAGGAAAGGAAGATGAGCATCTTTTATCTTTCCAAACATCAGACTTTTTATTTAAAATATAAGAAACTCTAATTATAAAATGATCTGCTTCCCATCCTATGCTTGACCACACGAGTTTTCAATAAGTACAGAGGTTGAAAATACTAATTCTAGATCTGCTTTAAAAAAATTGGCTGAAACTCTACAGCTTACATATATTTTTTAACTTTACCTTTGTATGTGTGTGTGTGTCTGTGTGTGTGTGCAGGTGTGTGCTGTATAAGTCCTTGGGCCATGGCGGCCTCAGAGACTAGTACTGTATGTGAAACCTAAGACTCAGCATATTTGTTGATGTTTCTGATAATATTTTCTTTTTACTAATCACAAATGCAGTATGCTGGGTTGATATGAGCAACACTGATAAGCTCTTTCCATATATGTATATATATATATAGTACATATATTTATACATGCATGCATACATATAAAGTAGTTCTCATATGTTTATATTCTATCAGGATGACTAATCTCAAACATTTTTTATAATTATCACACATAAAGCTCATATTCTTTTTACAGCATGTTTTCATCCAAATCTTAAGCCCTTTTTCACTCTTCATTTGCCATTGAACTCCCACTAGAATTAAAAATAACCAAATTTCCAATTCAGATATACAAGCGCTTTTCTTCCAAGCAGCTTATGTTGCTTTATAATTAGTCTAAAATTTGTTAAGTCCTTGTGAGATAGTAGGTATGAAATACTATATAACCTCACTGGCCTGTAAAAGAGAAGTAAATATTTTTTCTAAAAGTTCACTGCAAAAGAGTGACAACACTGTGGAGGCCATGTTACTCAAACGTTATGTCTCCATCCATCTATTCTATATCATGGCAGTTAACTATAACTATACCAGTAATTCATTTTTCCAAACATTAATGAGTACCTAGCATTTGCCAGACACTATGAAAAACTAGGGGGAAAAATGAGTAAAACGCACCTAAGTCTTGGTATCTGCCTTACAGGAATTCTCAGTTAAGTGGGGTAGACAGACCCATTCCCAGTTAATAATCTAGACCAAATCAAACCAGGATTGGTTTTCAGGAGCCCAAAGGAGGGAGAAAGGTGAATACAACATTAAAAAGTATATCAAATTTTATTCTCAAATCCCAATTCTAAGATCTATAGGTTCCCCCAAAATATGCATGCTAAAAATGTTTAGACCAAGTCATCCACTTAAGATTTCCTAAGGTAACTTGTATTTCCTGGTCTCTTTTTCTGCTGGACTTTAGTTTGTACGACTTTGATTCCTAAAGCAAACAAATCATTTCACCTAGGAAAGAAATTCAGGCTGTGACATTTGACTAAAACTCTATAGCTTCCTAGTAAATAAATATGAGTAAATATTAAGTTTGCATTCAAATATTGTAGTTCCTAGGCTATTCATCTTTGTATCTCAAGGACCAGCTCAATATCTGGTAGAGTAGAAGGGAGATTGTTGACTTAACTGAATGAATTATAAGACCAGTATTAGATGATGATAATGCACTGTCGGGATCCAGAAAACAATACCCCAAATGAAGGCCTTAGCAACAGCCTTAGAAGCAAAAGGTTTTCTCTGACCTTCTCCTATGTTCCTGTCTCTCAGTCCCATTCTCCCCACCAAGGCTAGCTGTAGAAACTAGAATCCCTCTTCCACAAGGCGTGTCATAGAAACTAGAACCCCTTTTCCCCAACACCAGCCAAAAAAGCTAAAAATATTACCCTAACTTACCTCCACCTTTCCTTGCAAAACCTAGCCATAGAGAAGTTACCTAACCACAGAGGGTCCTGCTCCATACCCAGAAGAAAGGAATGCTGATCACAGAGGGCAAGAAGCATCTAGACAGACAGGGCTTTCTGGGTTTCCCCACTCAGTCCATTCACATTAGATCGTACTCTTTTTGTCCAATCCTATTTCTATGTGGCTGTCCACACTTTGTTGAACCTAAGCATGAAAATAGAGAATTTCATCTCCATCTTTGGATCTTCACTCTAAAGCCCCCTATGTATACTCATTAAATAAATCCTTATGCCTTTTCTCCAATTAATCTGCCTTTTGAGAGTTGATTTTTCAGTGAACTTTCAAAGGGCCAAGGGGAAAGCTCTTCCTTGGCCCCTACAGCACCAACTAACCAGTAAGGTAAAAGCATCTTGGACTACAAGAGATAATGTCACTCCTAATAACTGAAACTTATATAAATCTCAGAGCCTGGTTTTTTTCACATAATATTATAACATAAGTGCTTTTTTCATTTAATTAAAAAATTTCCAGCATGTCATTTTAAAAGCTATGTAAATATCTTATTGCATGACTACATCATAATTTTTCTAACCATTCTTATTAATTAGAAATAGCCTAAAGGTCCCTTTTTTATTTTTATGTGCAGTATCATGGTGAACATCTTTATGAATAGAGATTTGTATGGATTTCTGACTGAAATCACCTTTGCAAACATTATGACAGTGAGAGAGACCTAAAATAACTGACTCGATTTTACTGCTAAACTCATAAGCTGTCTTTGCTGATTCCTGCATATAGGCCAGGCTATGGGAGGAATTTAGTTTACAATTTAACTTTAAAACAAAGATGCTAATAGTTCCTTACCAAACTTAATCCCCTCCTTGCTAGGGAACTGAAATCACCTTTGTAAAACTAATGAAAGGCCACAGGGTTAGTTTACGGTAGAGGCCTGAACTCTGCTAAGATGTAGGTATAGTTAAACTCTAACCAGTCATTGTTTTATAGCTTGCCTTTTTTGTAACTGCTTACTAACAGGAGTCACATGGCCGGTGGTCACAAGATTTATAACTTCCTCAATTGCTTCTATAGAAAACATCCCTACTGTAAAATCTAAAACTAGTGTTTAAGACTTTTCTTTTCAGACCTTGCATTCCAACAGACCAACTGGTGCCACCCAGACTGGTAACATGCACCCAGAAACTGACTCAGCACAAGAAGACAGTTTCAACCCCCCTATAATTTCATCCAAGACCCAACCAATTAG
The DNA here is from genome assembly GCF_000001405.40 of Homo sapiens. Lineage (NCBI taxonomy): Eukaryota > Metazoa > Chordata > Mammalia > Primates > Hominidae > Homo > Homo sapiens. Next base: position 196,499,014 of record NC_000002.12, read on the forward strand.
CCTTCCCTATTCCCCAGCCCCCTGCCCACCAACCTATCCTTGAAAAACCCTAGCCTCAAAATTCTCAGAGAGGCAAATTTGAGAAATATCCCCCATCTCCTTGCTCAGCTTGCCCTGCAATTATTAAACGCTTTCTCTGCTGCAATACCCGCCATCTCAGTGTATTGGCTTTTTCTGGGCAGTAGGCAAGAAGAACCCATTGGGCTGTAACATGATTACTTCTTACAATAGAAACCAGAAATGGAAATAGGAAAGTAATATATTTAAAAATTGTTGACACATTGACAAACTTCTTAAAAAAAAAAAAAAGCTTAAATACATTCTGACTGCAGGTTATGAAAGTATTCGTTCTACTGGACCTCTGCCAGCATTAAGCATTCTTTTTTTAATCAATGCAGGTTTCCTAACTTAAACATGCCTTGATAATATAAATAATTTACATTACAAATATAAATAATGTCCTCTGCATCTAACAGTTTCAAAGCAGGGGACCCTGTAAAGACTTCAGAAGAGCTTATTAGGAAATAAGCTATTTAGATGGAGGCTTAACTTTTTTCTTAGCATCTACAGATAGCTCCAGACACATTTTATCTTTATTGCTAGCCTTCTTAAAGGCAAACTTATGGCCTGCCACTCTGCAGATTTTCATATTCAATTAAATTCTGGGACTTAATTCTCGCTCTAAGACTTGACAATGCATTAAAACGCATGCATTTTTTAAAAGGGACAAAAATTAGTTCAGAAAGTACTTACTATAAACTAAACATTGATGTTGACCAAACCCTCAACACCTCCTTTAAAGAACTCAAGTTCTTCCAGAAAGTTCTTTTCCTCAAGGGTTTTATTTATTTTAACCTCACTGTTCTGAATCATTCTGAGTTAATGATTATGCTGTATGACCTTTCAAAGAGACATGACTTTGTTACAACAAACCACCCTTGTGTATTACATTTATACTCTTTTCTATACACATATGACAGCAGATGGAATAATGAGTCTTGGATTCTATTTTACATAAAGTTCTACCACATATTTTGTTCCAATATCAAGCATCCCCAAAAATGTTCCTCCTCAAGAAAAAAAAAGATTATATAAACCTTTTGCTAATAATTAAAATTCTCAAATGATTGGTGCTACCTCTGTGACCCCAAGAAGAATCAAATGAGATGATATATGTGAAAATGCTCTACACAACTCTAGAACTTCAAGTTTTTTTAGTAGATACAACTCTGTGAATATCAATGTTTTGCTTTTATGGGAGGGGAGGGAAAGAAATTCAAAGTTTACTTCCCCATCCCATGACATCCAGACACTGTAAGCATTAGCAGTATGTTGGACCACTTCATCATACTTACATACATACATGCATACATACATACATACATGCAATCTTACACCATCAAAGGATGTGAGCAGTTCAAATAATCTGCATAGAAACAATTCCCACTGCTAGAAAAAAAAGAGTAAATGCTAAGTAATTGTTGCTGTCACTAAAAGCATGAATGGAAAACTTTTGAGTTTCAAAGAACAATAAAATTCCAAAAACATTTTGCAGACTGACATAAAGTAACTAACTTTTATTTATCAATGACATTTTTAAACTAGCTCAATTAACACCACTTTACCATTTAATTCCTTACGTTGAATAACCTATGCATTAATAAAAAGTCCATTGTCTATGTTTTTCTAAGCCCATAAAAACATTGCCTCAGAACAGCATTTGAAAACAACTTATCTAGACTATACTGGATTTCAAGGACAACCTACCACACCTCCATTTCTTGTCTGTATTCCCCTGTTACTTCCTTTAATCTTCCACCCCATCTCTGTCAACAGGATGAGTCACCTATCCAGGACTCAACACTTTAGAATCTACAGTCAAGGCAGGCTTGATTGGAGGGAAACAAAGCCCCCACATGGAAGGCAAGATTCCAACAGTGAGGGCTTCCTTATTTTCCCGCTTTAAATCATTTCCAAGGCTAAAGATTAAGACTTACTTAATTCTTATCCAGAAGGTGGCTCTTTTCAGAAATTGAAGTAATAATAACAGAATTTTCATGTAATAAGTAGTCTGATTATAATGGCAGAAATACATTTTATCTTTTTTATGAAAACCCTAAAATATCAGAATAACTTTTTTAAATTATAAGTTATAAAAGGTGACTAATATTTTCTAAAAACTGGTTTCTTTACTGTGAAACTTGCCTTTTAAATGTTGCATCATATTAAAGAGACAGTTGGAAGGGATGCCACAATTACAGAAATTGACAAAAAGAATTTTATTTTTTGAGACAGAGTCTCACTCTGTTGCCCAGGCTGGAGCACAGTGGCGTGATCTCAGCTCACTGCAACCTCCCACGCCCAGCTGATTTTTGTATTTTTAGTAGAGACAGGCGTGGGAGTCTCTATAAAAATATAAGTTTTTGTATTTTTCACCATGTTGGCCAGGTTGGTCTCAAACTCCTGACCTCAAGTGATCTGCCCGCCTCAGCCTCCCAAAGTGCTAGGAGTACAGGCATGAGCCACCATGCCTGGCCAAGAATTTTTTTTTAAGGAAAAAACTACCAATTCTCAAATTAGAACCAAAAGCCTAAGTTCTCCATGTATTTTGCAATTACATTTATGACAGCACAGTTTCTCCTGCTTTAGATTTTTTAAAATACTTATTTAAAATGTAAAAGACTCTCAATATCTAAACCTACAAGTACTGTCATAGATCAAAACATAAAGTGACTTAGGCTTACTTCTAATTAAATTTTAGAAAAAAATAATATCTTTTGGTTTGGAAACATGAATGGTTATACTTCTCTTGAGCATTCAATAATGTTTAGTCCATACTTTTCCAAAGCCTAAATAAAAGCAGTATATAATATTTTCCTAAGCCTTCATCTATCATTTATTCCCAAAAAGGAAAAAAGACACAGGATGAATCTCACTTTACATTCTCTTCTAGCACAGTCTCCCAATCCCCACAAATGGCTTAGATTACAATCACTCAAGTCATATTGAATTTAACGTTCTTTAGTATGAAAACTTGGACTTTCCCTGAATCCAGCTCACGTAGTTTTGTTTATTTTGTAAAATGATTTCAAAATAGTGCTGGTATTTATATGAAAAAATTGTCAAAAAATATAATATTCTCATTTTGCTGAAAACATACAGTCTCAATCAACAACAATTACAACAGTTTTCTATAATGTATTTCTTAATATGTTGTCTTCATTTAACCAACTTTGGTGTTCCAGACTTTTCTTTGTTTTTATTTGTTTGTTCCAACCTAATTGAACTGTACGTCATCCTAGAATGGATATTTAAAGTGAAAATCTGAATTAAAAAATTATTGTGGAGCTCCCTTCCCTCAGAGAGAAAATATGTTACAAAGTCAAACAATAACATATTATCAAATTCACATAACTGAGGACCCCTAAATTCTACAAAAAGTTCAAACTTCATGTTAGTATCAGAAAGCATCTTGGAACAGCTGGCTTTCGTTTGTTACACATAATCGCACTCCAATGCAATTGATTATGCACACTCCAATGTGACTGATTATGTTATACATATTCGTACTCCAATGGTGGCAGTATTTCCCTTCTACTTCTGGCTAATTCCCTCCCTTCTACTACTCCTCAGATCCCATGACTGTTCCTTCCTTCCTTCCACAATTACGTGTCAGGCATGGTTCTAAGGAACAATAATGGGTAAGAGCAACTATGGACGGTCCCGCCCAATGGAGCTCATGTGTGGTGGGACAGGCATGCTCTTCACCCAGCCTTGCTCTTCCCAATACCACCAGGCAGTGGAAAACAGGCATGGGCAATGTTCTTACACAGGGCTACCTCTCATACTTGCAAAGAGTACACATGGAGGTCCAAATCCCTATGTCTAAATATTTTAAAGTCTATAAATTAAGCTAATAAATATGATCTCTTCTTCTACCTTGACTTTCATAATGGCCTAAAAGACCAGATTTGAATTGGGAATTCAGAATGCAGGAGTGTTGGAGGTGACAAGTACCCTTATCCTTCCACCCCTAGCTCCATTCAGCACCACAAGGGGCCTCACCTCTGCATAATCATGGGCACCTGTGCCAGCTCATGAAATTCCATTCACATCTCTGCAATTAGCTGCTCCTTAGACACCCCTTGGGACTGAGAGTGTGTATACTGGCTTCTCTGTTTGCCCCCAGTAGGAACCCCCACAAAGAACCCCAAACAACCCCAAGAAACAGGCTTGGGGCTTTTGGGCATGGAAATCCTATATCTCAGAGTGCCACAGGCAGGGCACGGGCTCCAGGTGCATACATTCCCTTGGGCCTACGGACTCCTTGCCCTGTGCAGAGGGGCAAGATAGAAGAGGGCCAGAGAAAGGGAAGGGCCTCTTGCCTAGATCTATGGGCAGTAGTGGGTTCATCTACAGGCAGAGGTAGATTGTTCAGTGTCAGTCAAGAGCCGCATTGAGAGGAAAGGGCAGAAAAAGAACTAGGGACAAGGGAAAAACACATACTATCCTGATGCTACTGAGTGCTCCCCCTACTCCTTCTGCCCTCCTGTTCCCCTCACCCAGTCGGCCAATAGCAGCAAAGGGAAGGGAAACAGGAGAGGACCCTACTCTGCTGTGGCAGGGAGTGGTGTCTCCCCGTAACAGCAGAGTACACAGCCCAGCAGAATCAGGAGGGGAGAGAAAAAACAAGAAAAAAGTGGAAAGCAACTGATGTTTATTAAGATTCTGCTCAAGGCCAGTTCTGCCCATCTCAGACGGATAGAAACACAAACACAAAAGTTTCAAAAATAAGCCGCAGCATTTTAAAAGTTGTTTATTAAATTACACACAACCCCCATATTTTTAAAAGTACTTTTCCCACCACAGGCTTTACTGTGCTCCTTGTGAGACTTCCAACTGCAGAACCACCAACCCAGGGACTCCCACTGTCAAATCCAACACAAATGCTTGTAATTTGGGAGCATCCAACGCCGACTTCATTAAAAACTGGTGGAAGCTGCCAGGCGCGGTGGCTCATGCCTGTAATCCCAGCACTTTGGGAGGCCGAGGCGGGCAGATCATCTGAGGTCAGGAGTTTGAGACCAGCCTGGATAACATAGTGTAACCTCATCACCACTAAAAATACAAAAATTAGCCAGGCGTGGTGGCAGGCACCTGTAATCCCAGCTACTCGGGAGGCTGAGGCAGGAGAATCACTTGAACCCGGGAGGCAGATGTTGCAGTGAGCCAAGATTGTGCCACTGCACTCCAGCTGGGGGATAAGAGTGAAACTCTGTCTCAAAAAAAAAAAAAAAAAAAGCTGGTGGAGGCCATGCAATGACTGGCTAACCACAGGTGCCGGGACCCTGTTATGCCCAACCCCAATCAAAGAGATGCAGTACATACTCACCTTGGCTCACCTGCAGGATGATCCTACCTGACTGAGGCCCACTCAGTCCCTCCAAGCAAGGATATATGGCAGGGAGGCTGCCTCACATGATCATCATAGAAATGAACTCTCCTTCCTCTCTCTCTATCTATCCACCATGCAAATGCTATGGTATTTAAGGAAATGCTAACAGGTCCATGCCAGCCCACCAGTCTACTCTTTAGAGTTCAGCAAGCCTCTACACCAGCCCTCACTCTCATAAGAATTCAAGACCATTCTCTTTTATGTGACATATCTCTTTGGACTTGAATTAATTGTTTATTTGTGAGTTCTTTGGGACAGAGAGTGTATGAACCAACCTTACATATTATACACTCAATATTAGGGGAGGAGTTTTTGAACATGTCTGCCAGTCTCTGGAACTGTGCTTTTTACATAGATTATCTCATTTACTCTTCACAAAACTTTTATCAACCATAATTACTGTACACATTTTCAGGCTGAAAAAAAAAATGAGTGCAGAGAGATTAAGCAAGGTACTCAAGACCACAATGCTAAAAATATCTCTGACCACACCAAACAGAGCTCTACCTATATCTGTAAAACTATTAATACAATGTTACTGTCATTCCACTGTATTAGTTTCCTGCTTGCATGAATGGTTGACTCCAAAGAGTCTTATGTATCAGTCAACAGAGACATCAGCTCCATCATGCCTTAAATAGGCTTTTAAGGACTTGTTCACAATAGTAATGATAAAATTAGATTAATAACCACACCTTACCATTTAAAAAAACTTTTAAAGTAATTTAAAAAACCAAGACAGCAGTAAGAATTAAGACAAAAACAGCAATTAATAAACGAGAAAACAAGGCCAGGCACAGTGGCTCACGCTTGTAATCCCAGCACTTTGGGAAGCTGAGGCGGGTGGATCACCTGAGGTCAAGAGATCGAGACCATCCTGGCCAACATGGTGAAAACCCCGTCTCTACTAAAACCACAAAAATTAGCTGGGTGTGGTGGTGTGTACCTGTAATCCCAGCTACTCAGGAGGCTGAAGCAGGAGAATCGCTTGAACCCAGGAGGTGGAGGCTGCAGTGAACCAAGATTGTGCCACTGCACTCCAGCTTGGGCAACAGAGTGAGACTTCATCAAAAAAAAAAGAAGAAAGAGAAAACAAAGAAACTAGACTTGATTACTAAACCGAAAGATGATACTTGGAAAAGACCAATAAAGCAGACAAATCACAGGCTGGTCTGATTTTTCAAAAGAGGAAATACACAAGTAAAACCAGAATTTTCTTTAAAATTATAAGGGGACATAATGGCTAATCCTTATCAAGAAAACATTATAGATTTATACTAATAAATTTGGATCTTTAACCCAGGTGGATAACTTCATAGAAATATTAATTCATTCAATGAATATTTACTGAGGAGCTCCTATAGACCAAGCACTGGAGCTATCAATGTCAAAACAGATGAAGTCCCCCCAACTGTGGAGTTTTCCTTTGGGAGGTAGGGCTGGGAACAGAAATTTAAAAATACATAGCATGTCATATGGTGATAAGTGCTATGAAGGAAGATGAAGGTGATTAAGTGGGAGCAACAGAGCAGGGGTATCTCTCAATAAGGCAGTCGGGGAGGGATGGGGCCACGTGGGTCAAGCAAAAAGTAACTGGCCAGTGCTCAGCTAGTTCAAGTTCAGTGAGGAGGGGAGAAAGGGGATGGCATAATATGATATGGACCTTAAAAATGCATTCTAAGTCAACAAAAGACCCAAACGAGGTGAAAGTACTGTACAGATCAATAACTATGGGAGAAACTGGGTTCAGATGGCTTTAAAGGTGGATTTCACCAAGGCTTTGAAGAAGTGATAAGCCCTATATAGAAAATTTCTGAATGTTTATGAGGCTTACAGAATCTAGAAAACAAATCAGACAAGATATGCAGTAAACGGTCACTTCGCAGAATCAATAGTTCTGGAAACTGCAACTTCAAGTGAAATGATGTATAACGAAACTAATTTTACCAGCAGGGGATATATTTTTCTTCTGGTCAATGAAATGATGCTGAATGAAAGGACATCATTGAAGACCTGGTATACACAGGGTTCTTCCCACCCCTGCCCCTTTTCTAGCATGAGCATGCACCCACACACGCACACATACACACTTATTTCATGGACCAAAGGTCCCCAAACCTCAGTCATTCAGGTACCACCTTTTCAATTTCTGACATACTTAGATACCACTGTAGTACACAGAAATATTATTTAATTAATATTTATTTAAATTTTTGGCTACAAAGTAGCCAAAAATGTATTACTATCATAAATAGAAAACCAGTACCCCTTGTCAAAATTAATTAAAACAACTGCATAACTATTACAATTTTTAAAATATTTTTCCACATACTACCTGAGAGTAGTTCACATTCTGCCAATACTTGGTACTGGCACATGGACCACATTTGGAAAAACACTGCTACAGGCCAAGCTGACTTATGACCCCCAGGTATACAAAATTTTAAATACAGTATTAGAAAAATCTATACAGAAAGGATTTTAAAGAACAATGCATATATAAAATTACCAAGCAGGTTTTATTCCAAAAATAAATGTAATATTGGAATGGCTATTAGAATTTTTATTCCAGAAATAAATGGAATATTGGCATAAAAGAATGGCTCAACATTGGAAAATCTATTTATATGTGTGCATATTACACACACACTAACATGTGTATATTACACACGTTAGTGTGTATATTATACACACACTATGTGTATATTACACACACTAATATGTGTATATTACACACACACTAATATGTGTATATTACACACATATAAATAGAAACACATGTAGCTAGACTACGGAGCATATTCAAAACCATTCATTACCTTTTTTGAGGTAAGTAATACCCAACATATACAGAGAAAAACAGGCTGTGGAGTGTTACATAACATGACCAAAGTCTTAGAACTCATATGTTTAGAGCAGTGGTTCTCAGCTGGGAATTATTTTGTGCCCAGGGGAAATTTAGCAATGTCTAGAGATATTTCTGATGGTCATGACTGGGGTCGCTGCTACTAGCATACAGTAGTTAGAGGCCAGGGGTGCTGCTAAACATCCTACAGTGAACACACAGGAAAGCTCCCCACAACAAATAATTATCCAGTTCAAAATGTCAATAGTGATGAAGTTGAGAAACCCTGACTTAAAGGAAATGCAACATCTAACTCCAAATCTGATTCCAAGACTCTTCTCATTATACCCACTGCAACCCTATCACTGAGTTAAAACATTATTTCCATGGAAAAATGCACTGTGAATTCCAAATAACCAACTCTAAAATTTACCTAAACATTACACCTAACAAAACAGTCATGATTGGGAGAGAGAATGCTCTACGGGTGTGTTCCTCCCCCAGTGGAATGACTTTTCCAGCAGTAAGGAAAGTTCAGGGATTCCTTCTACCACCTATCAATGGTCAGATGGTTTAAGAGCAGTCCACCAAAGCATTTGTGCAGCTAATTTTTTCTCCTGTGACATTAACACTCCTCTTCAACCCCAATATGCTCTGGAAGCAGGGGTCCATTGTTTCAAACTGTTCTGGAAATTTTTATAATAGGCTAGTGTGTTTTAAATATTGTTTTCTTATGCCATTTATACAACTTATGTATGGTAGGGGGATTGGATTACTTGAAACAAGTATTTTTATCCCTCTGCAACTGTCTTTAAAAGAGTACTGCTTTCTGAAAAACAAAAGTTAGGAGACATAAATACACTACTTTTCTTCAGCTAACACTCTTGACCTACTTTTTCTAAACTGTTTTTGACTTCTTTACTACAACTGCAGAAGGGAGAAAAGAACAGTTAATAAACCATCTGTGTCAAATATAGAAACCTGAATCCATCAATCTCTGGGTATGCTCAAGACAAACAGGCTGAGTATTTCCATCTTTCCCTGTGGTGCAGCTAAAATACAAATTGGAAAACAAAACCATTAAACATTTTCTTCAAGATCACCATTTAAGAGCTGGTCAAAGAAAGCTACTGGATGCTCGCTGAAGCTGATGAGCAGGAAATGTTTGACTTTCAAAGTTCACGGATTATAAAAAGCTTCAGTGTGTGCAGAGAGTTGTGTGTAGGATGAGTAGGTGGGGGTATAATAAGAAAGAACAGTATTTTGGTTCTTTAGCGGATTTAATTCCTTCATCCCAGCCTCCCACTAATATCTGTGAAGTATGCAAATCACTCCCATTGGGGCTCCCCAACCTTCCTCCACTCTCTCTTTTTCCTCCATCACTTCATCCCCTAAAGGCATCTTAGCAGGGGATGAGCACCCCCATTCCTTTCTTTCATTCCTCCTCCATTGTCCCCATCCCTGAAGAAAACTTCATTCTTTCCTTTCAGAGTCTCTTTTGTGAATATTTTCATCCTAAGCTTTAAAATAACCACACTTATTACTCTGTAAAAATGCATCCTGGCTAACATGGTGAAACCCTGTCTCTACTAAAAATACAAAAAATTAGCCAGGCGTGGTGGTGGGCGCCTGTAGTCCCAGCTACTCAGGAGGCTGAGGCAGGAGAATGGCATGAACCAGGGAAGCAGAGCTTTCAGTGAGCTGAGATTGCACCACTGCACTCCAGACAAAAGTAAGTATTAAATGTTTAATTAAGCTTTCAGCTCAAATGCAGGAAAATAAATAGGTTTAATAGGATTGTGGGTTTTTTTTTAACATTTGCCAGTTTACTACAAAAGATATTTTAAAGGCTACAAATGAATAAACAGCCAGATGAAGAGATACATAGGGTGAGTTGTGGAAGGGGTCCCAAGTGCTGACACTTCTGTACCTGTGGAATGGGAGTGTGCCACCCTCCTGGCTCATGGATGAGTTCTTTCACCTTCCTGTAAGCCTCCATGTGTTCAGCTATCTGGAAGCTCACCAAACCCAGTCTTTTTGAGTTTTTAAAGAAGCTTCATTATGTAAGAATGGTTGATTAAATTATTGGCCACTGGTGATCAACTTAACCTTCAGCCCCTCTCCTTTCCCTGGAAGTCAAGGAGTAGGGCTGGGAGTCCCAATCTTCTAATAGTGCCTTTGTTTTTCTGGTGACCAGTGGCTATCCTGAAGCTACTAGGGGCTTCCAGGTATCAATCAATCATTAGCATACAAAAAGGCATCACTTTGGGGATCCCAAGGATTTTAAACATTGTATGTCAGGAAACAAGGACAAAGACCAAATATGAAACTCACAGTATCACAGTCCACTCCTAGTCTTTGAACCTGGATCCCTTAAATAAAAAGGACATACAACTCAAAAGATAGTACCACATTGCCAGAATCCCATTCTATCATTAGCAATTAGTCCAGTCCATCATATTGTAAAAATGACTTCCAGGGTGAGGCCACTCAAGTTTGTAGGCTTCCATTCAATCCTGCCAGGTTCCAAAAGCAGGAGTGGTCTTGGCAAACACATAGCTTCACTCCTTCAGGCATAAGTGAGCTAAAAGACAATACAATCGCTTGCTCTGAGACTCTTTTAAGATATTAATGTAATACTGTGCTCCACTCAACTCATAATCTATTTATTCATTTCTTAAGCCTTGACTACTATTCCTCCTTCTCTCCATTAATAGCCAAACTTTACCACTTTTGGAAGAAACATGAGACTCCACCATTGTACTGCTAGTCTAGATTACAGGCAGCAATCCCAGCCTAGCAAGTGCCTCCCCCATCCACTCCCATTCAGATGGGATAAGGTTACATAGCCATCTTTACCACCAGGCAATATGGTTGCATTCACTCTCAATCCCAATTTGGCTAGATGGGATGAAGCCACAACCCGCCACCATCAGGCCCTTAGGAATTCTGTACTTGTAGTTGCAGACCAGTCCTAGAACTACTACATCAGGCAGGGGAAAGGAAAAATAAATTGAGGTGATGTGGGGAAGAAAGAAAAAGTATAATCATTAAACCAGCATTACTCCTCCCTTGGCAAGAATTTCATAGTCTTACCAGCATCCTCCTCCACCCACTCTCGCCCAGATCAACCAGAGAAACAGGAAAATCTAGTGGGGATGCTCCTTTAGTCCCACTCATGCTGAATGTGAGCACACACTCAGGAAGACTTACAGGCCTTCATGCTTTTATCTCCAGGTTGTGGGGTTTTCTTTTAGAAGATTCCTTTAATTGTTATAATTCCTTTTTTTTTTTAAGTCTTCCATCCCTCAATACTAAAGACACTGATTTTTTTAAGGTAGGGTTTTAATTGTTATTTTCCACAAATATGGGAATTGTTATTTTTTTTTACTTAGCTATCTTTTTATAATGGTGTGATCAAAAGCCCAGAAGAGCTTATAGAGAAGTAGTTCTAATTATTGTGTAGCACTGTGGTTTTAATTAGTAGTATGAAGCTAATTTAATGGTGACTTATTTTTCCCCTCAGGATTATAACCACAAGCAATTAGTAGTGAGGACTATGAGGACTACTCCCCCATTCTCTTGAAAAATCTCTAAAAATGGGAATTTTTGTTTGTTTGGGGTTTTTTTCTTGTTTGTTTGGGTTTGCTGTTGTTTGTTTGTTTGTTTTGAGACAGGGTCTCACTCTGTCGCCCAGGCTGGAGCGCAGTGGTGTGATCTTGGCTCACAGCAACCTCTGCCTCCCAAGTTCAGGTGATCCATGCACCTCTGCCTCCCAAGTAGCTGGGATTACAAGTGTGCACCAGCACACCCAGCTAATTTTTGTATTTTTAGCAAAGAGAGGGTTTCACCATGTGGGCCAGGCCAGGCTGGTAAAAGTTAAACTTTGTAACCTGACTGATAATCATATAGGTACAATAAATATTTTGGGAATTATAAAATATTAAATTCCTAAATGTGAAATCACAACCTCAAAAAATATAATTAAATGATGTTATCAAAACACCAATCAATATTTCCATTCATTTTCTAGAATCGTTAAGGTAGAAATGGACTTTAAATGAAGATTGAATGCTGTATTGTGTACTGCAGAGGTACAAATTAATTCCACAACCTACCCTCAAGCCTACTTCACTGATAACTTCATTTTAGTCATCCGACAAATATGTGAGCACCTATTTATTGTATGCCAGATACAAGAGCAGTGGTTGCAAATTCACTGGTGAAGAAAGCAGAGATGGATCTTCACAGATCTTACAGTCTGGTATTAAATAAATAAGCACATAAATATATCATTACAAATTATGACAGATGTTATTAAAGAAACAAAAAGTGCTATGAGGAAATATTCCTGAACAAGGAAGACAGAAAAGGCAAACCCAGGGGCATTGCAAGGTTAGTATTGCATGAGAAAAGTGTGTGATCCAAAGGGCAGAGTCTTAAGGGGCAGGCAAACAATCAAGGTTGATATAACAAGGAGGTTTCTAGAGAGACCAGAAGGGGAGTAAGGGCACAGGAGGATGGGAGAAGTGGTAAAGAAAAAAAGTAGCTATTCAGAGCAGGCCCTGTGATTCAGGAACTTGGCACCCTTGCTAACAGGATTTATGATGTTACTAATGAAGCAAACTGATGGATTGTTTTAGATGGTGTCCCTCACTGAGGTCTGCTCACTGCATGTTCTGTGGAGCAGGAATGATTTTAACACACTACTCTATGCCAGAGGTCACAAATTTCATTGCCCACAAGGCCGAGCAGGTGAAGAAAATGAATGAAGACATATGTATGCACACTCTGTGTGAAAGACCTGTGGAGACCTGGAGAACAGGCAGGATGTAACTTTCATTCCATTCACAATGACGGGCCACGTGAGAATGCAGGACCCACGGGGCCAAACATAAGAGATTTTCAAAAGAGAAGCTAGACATCTGAAAATATTTTCATGTGAAACATTTCAGTTTTTAAAGACTATACGGGGCAAATAAAGCAAATTTGTGACCCACCACTTTGCAACCTTCCTTTAATATTTTATGTCAGTTATCTAGGTACAGAAGATGTCACTTTTTTAACCCTTCAACTGATTTAACTTTTTTCTTTTTTTGAGACATAGTCTCACTGTCACCCAGGTTGGAGTGCAGTGGCATGATCACAGCTCACCACAACCTCAAGCTCTCAGGCTCAAGCAGTCCTCCCACCTCAGCTTTTCAAGCAGCCAGGACTACAGGCACGTGCCACCAAACATAGCTAATTTTTTTTGAGGGCATAGATGAGGTCTCACTATGTTGCTCTAGCTGGTCTTGAACTCCTGGCCTCAAGCAATCCTACCGCAACCTCTCAAAGTGTTGGTATTACAGGAGTGAGATTGCACCTGGCCAGATTATACTTTTTTTTTTTTTCGAGTTGGAGTCTCGCTCTGTCACCCAGGCTGCAGTGCAGTGGTGCAATCTCAGCTCACTGCAACCTCCACCTCCCTGGTTCAAGCAATTCCCCTGCCTCAGTCTCCCAAGTACCTGGGATTACAGGTGCACACCACCATGCCTGGCTAATTTTTTTGTATTTTTAGTAGAGACGGGGCCTCACCATGTTGGCCAGGCTGGTCTCAAACTCCTGACCTCAGGCAATCTGCCCACCTCAGCCTCCCAAAGTGCTGGGATTACAGGCATGAGCCACCATGCCTAGCTGATTTTACTTTTTAATATACTATTAGCACAAGACTTCAGACCAAGAAAACAAAAAACTATAGGATAATCCATTCCACTATTCTTGTCCTTTATTACTTAAGCCTAAGAAATCATACTCATTTAAGGAATGGATTACAGTGAAGATGTAATAGTATATTTTATAATATTCTAAATTTTTGTAAGTAAATGTTGCTGTCTTTAAACATAAATCTACCACAATGAAGGTGGTAGTAATTTCATCTTTCACAAGAATCCATATAAAAAGTATTCACACTTTGGGAGGCTAAGGCAGGTGGATCACTTGATCCCAGGAGTGAGACCAGCCTGGGCCACATGGCGAAATGTCATCTCTACAAAAAATAGAAAAATTAGCTGGGCACGTTGGCACATGCCTGTATTCCCAGCTACTCAGGAGGCTGAGGTAGGAGGATCACCCGAGCCCAGGGAGGTCGAGACTGCAGTGAGCCATGATCACAACACTGAACTTCAGCCTGGGTGACAGAGTGAGACCCTGTCTCAAAAAGAAAAAGTATTCAATAAGCATTTAATACCTGTTCAGCATAATGCTCAACCCCTATTCTCAAAGGGCTTACATTCTTGTTGGTGAGAAAAAAATCTCATCAACAACTAGAAGACAATATAAAAACAGTATATAATGAAATATTTAACTGTGCAGAACAAATAAAGATAGTAAGAAGCCACAAAAGTAAGATTCCAATAGTCCTGGTATATAAGTCACATGTGAAGAGACAGAGCGGATAAAAGGGATCATCCACACCAGTGGTGCTCAAAGAGGGGTCCATGGACCAATGCCAGTTGGCAAACAGTTTGCTACTGGTCCATGAAGTAAGTACAGAAATAGAGGGTAAGTGGTTAGAAACCTTTCTAGCATTTGGGCACTGCCTTTGATGGTAGCAGCAGCCCATCTGGTGCAGCCACTGCCATGACGCTGGTGGCAGTGGGGGAGGCGCTGCTGGGGCTGCCCACTCCAGAGCCAGTGGGAGCCAGCAACAGGCTGGAGACCCACCCACTTTGGAGTTGGAGGGGCAGGAGCCTCGCCCTCCCAGGTACAGCAGCAGCCACCCCATCAAGGGCTGCAGACCCAGGCTTCCCTGCACTCTCAGGGGCCCAGGAAGCTCCCCAACCCCATAGTCTCAGAAGTACCTGTTCCAACTGCCCGGCCTCTCCCTGCTTCTAGTGCCCACTCCAATTTCAGAGCAAAGTTGTGGCCGAGTCTGAGCACTGTCACAACCCAGCCAGGTGTGCAAGCACTTCGGAGGGCGCTGACACACCTGTCCCCTGCCGCCTCTGTATAGTCTGTAAAGTTCCCTTCAGACTTTGGGCACCAACCAGCACAGGAGGAGACCACAGTGGGGCTGAGGGCGGCTCGGCACAGGCCTGTAGGCGCTCCTCAGCAGAAAAGCCTGGGAGCCATGAACAGCAGCAGGAGGCAGAAGGGCTCCTGGGTGCAAAGGGGTGGGTCCCTGATGAAGTCCCACCTTCAAGCCAAGGACAGTCTGAAGCCTGGAAGCCAGGCTGTCAGTTCCATAAACTGGAGTGAGAACTTATGGTGCTTTTTCCCGGCACGCCCATGGCTACCCATGGACCAATCGGCATGCACTCCCTCCCCTCTGAAGTCCATAAAAAATCTGAGACTCACCCAGACTTGGGCAGATGATGGAACAACCCCCCTGAGGACAGGAGCTACCGACTCTGGGTCTCCTCTCCAAGGAGAGCTGGACCCTCATTGGGACGACCTGCTTGCAGAAAGGAGCTACCCACTCTGAGTCTCCTGAGAGCAGTTCTGCCACTCAGTGAAGCTCCTCTCTGCCTTGCTCACCCTCCAGTTGTCCGCACACCTCATTCTTCCTGGATGCAGGACAAGAACTTGGGACCAGCCAAATGGTGGGACTAAAAGCGCTGTAACACAAACAGGGCTGAAACATACACCCCTGCTTACCACATTACAGGTCCAGAAGGAGAGAAGCGGCCCTTTAGGGAGCCCAGACCTAGGGACTCCCCAAGCCAGGGCTGTGACACCCTCTTTGGGGCTCTGCAGTTCCTGGCCTCTCCAAGCCTCCAGGGACCACTGCATTCCCTTTGTCCAGACGCAGGTGCCTGCAGCAGAAGCCATGTGCAGTACATCTGGCCCAGCCACAGCCTCGCACAGAGCCGGCACCTGTGCTGGCGCCTGGAGCTGCCCACCCTGCCACAGAAGCTGGCGTGCCTGGCTGTGCACAGTGGCCGGATCCCATGCTCACTTGCCCACACACTTCTCGCTGCTCTGCACCCGGCTTGGCAGGTGTGAGACCCAGGCTGTTAGTACAAGCCAAGTGCAGGCTGCTGGGCCAAGTGGGCAGAATAAGCCCAGCAGGCGCAAACAAAACTCAGGCAGAAGGTGCTGCCGGCAACAGAGGTTTCCAGCTGGCAAAGCAACACCCTAACGATCTCATGACACCCTGACATCTAAACTCATGTTCCATGGATTTGGCTTGGCGAGCACATCACTGACCAGTTAGAACACATGTGGCACAGGCTGCATGCCAGTAATGTGCAGCAGGACCATGTAACAACATGCAACCCTTTCCAACTATAACCCAAAAGGGTATCAAACCCAGAAATCATTTATTTCTCCAACAGGCAAATTCTTTACTACAATATTGTTGAAATTGTTTACTGAGAATGAATGAAAGATTAATTCTGAAAATAATACCTTTACTTTGGATAAAAGTGGAAAGTTAATATCCTGTGGTTGCTGACATTACTTTAAAAATCTCTTCTTCCACTCCTGTTAAGATCCCTTCCACAAAACTGGTTTTGCTACTATGAGTGTTATTAAAACAAAACCTAGGCCAGGTGTGGTGGCTCATGCCTGTAATCCCAACACTTTGGGAGGTGGAGGTAGGCGGATCACTTGAGGTCAGGAGTTTGAAACCAGGCTAGCCAACAGGGCGAAACCACCTCTCTACTAAAAAAAAAAGTACAAAAAAAAAAAAATAGTTGGACATGGTGGCTCATGTCTGTAATCCCAGCTACTCGGGTGGCTAAGGCATGAGCATCGCTTGAACCTGGGAGGTAGAGTTTGCAGTGAGCTGAGATCGCACCACTGCACTCCAGCCTGGGTGACAGAGCAAAACTCTGTCTCAATAAACAAAACAAAACAAAACAAAAACCTGAAATATTTTTAGGTTGGATTATGCCTTGTGAGTAGCATTATCATCACTCCAACATGGTTTAGGAAGCAAGCTCATTTGTAGCATGAAAAACTTTAAATACTAATACAGACAGTCTATGTTCAAAGCATATAAACAAACAGGGAATCACTATTTCTCTTAAAGCCATTTGTTTAGCTATAATTGCAGTCTACCAAGTTACAAATGTAATACTAATTCTTTATATTAACTGCCTACACACACACTTTTTCAAGGAACATGTGTACTGTTTTTGTAATTATAATTTTTGTAATTTTTTCCTTAAGCTATGTTTATTCGTATTATATAATGAAATTTAATTGTGTCTGTTGAATCAAATAATAAAAAGTCTGGGTTTATATTTTGTATGTCTGGCTCTTATTTTGTTTTTCTAGTAATTCACAGTATCAGTCCACAAGGTATCGGGAATTAAAATTTAATAAAAGAAACATTAGTCCCTTACTGAAAAATATTGATCTACCCCAAACTGCTAGAAACCAGCCAGTTATGCAATCATAGTTTTCCCTAGGGCCATATTTTCCCAAATTCAGGATGTGTTGCTTGGTAACAGACTAGGCATTAAATTACATTGAATCAGACAGTAGGAAAGTCATTGCGAGATGAGCTGTTCAGAAGAGGTCTGGGTCTTTGAGTAAGCATCAGTTAAGCTAGGTACAGGCTATATATCCCATTCCTCACAAGCTTGCTACCAGGCAAAATATCCCATTCCTCGCAAGCTGTTACAAAGATATCAAGTCACGGATTACATTCAACCAAAGGTACATACATTATCCAGCAGGCACCAAATCTGTTTTATAGGTCTAGAAAGTCCCAATTTCTTCCTGCCATTATCTAACTTGACAGACTTCCTCCCAGAGAGACACCAAGGTGTCCTGATGGCGGGACAAGCCAGTGTCCTGGTGAAACTACAGTGACTCTTGGGCTTCCCACCGCTCATTCATACAAGGAGGCACTCATCTCATGCATAAAAAATTATTCCTAATATCCCTCAGGCTCATTAAATCCTCTAAGGTAGATCTCTAAGCCAGTATTTGAAGTTCTAAATATTCAATACTAAAGATGTTAATTCCTTATGAGGGTTCTTGGAATAATAACTAACCACATTCTAAGGAGAAAATTAGAGAAGAATCATACCCTTTATACTAAATCACTTTCAAACTAAATTACCATACAATAATGCCATGGTCACAGGTTCCTAAAAATAAAATTTTAAAAAGGAAAAAGAAATTACAACACTATATAAAAATTTTATTACAATATTTCTACTGAAATAAAGTCTGTATTTAATGATAAGATGGCTTTAATAAATCTTCAATACTTGGTAATCTCCCATTTTAACAAAGAACAGACATTTAGCTTAGAGCCTTTGGCAAGTATCAGTATCCAATTAGAAGTCAGTGACATTGTTTTGTTTTCACTGTAAAGATTGTTACAGTTACTTGGTCTTAATCATATAATAATACTACAGTTACCTTTTAAAATAAGTTTTCTTAAATAAAAAGTGAGTAAATAGAACAAAAATATCAGATAATCAATAGTACAGGTGGCACTCATATAAGGTAAAAACTTAGGAAAATTGTTCCGCTAAATCATGCTTACTTTGAACCACCCCAACTCAACCTCCCCAGAGTTTCAGGATACAGCAGCTCACCAGTGACTGGGAGGGCAGCTACTGCTAAAAAGGCTTGGGGTTCATAACTTCCCCTAATTCCACCTCAAAGCATCACCCAGGTAAAACCTCATGGGATAATCCCTTCACACTGCACCCCTTAGAGACCATGCACTTTACAATTCAAATGTCCTTTAATGTTTGTGTTAATCAAATTTTAGCAATATAAATACGAAGGGGAGAAAGAAAGCTTTTAACACACCTGGGATTAAATGAAAAAAGACAGAAATCCCCTACACTAACACAGCAATGGAATTGTAGGGATTTTTCCTCCTTTCTTCTGTTTTTCAAGCTTTGTGATGATGTTACAGGTCTCTTGTAATCCAAAAATGTGATTAAAAAATAAAATATAATAGAAAAACAATGCAAAATCACACAAAGACATCTGAGTCTGATGTTATGAGAAATGGGATGCCTAAAACCAAATTATAAGATAAGAGCTAAGTAATGATGGCTCACTTTACAAAAGGCTTCTGTGCATCACCTTAAAGAATCCCTTTAGGCCAGGCGCGGTGGCTCACGACTGTAATCCCAGCACTTTGGGAGGCCGAGGTGGGTGGATCGCTTGAGGTCAGGAGTTCGAGACCAGCCTGGTCAACATCATGAAACCCCATCTCTATTAAAAATACAAAAATTAGCCGGGCATGGTGGCAGTGCCTGTAATTCCAGCTACTCGGGAGGCGGAGACAGAAGAATTGCTTGAACCCGGGAAGCAGAGGTTGCAGCGAGCTGAGATTGCGCCACTGCACTCCAGCCTAGGCAACAGAGCGAGATTCTGTCTCAAAAAAAAAAAAAAAAAAAAAAAACCCTTTAGAGAATTCTGTACTCTGAAGCTCCACAGGATCCTTCACTCCCTCTGATATGACCTACCGTCCCTCAATAATTTAAAAGTTGGCCTTAGCTCAGTGCCTGCTGCCCTCTTGCCCACCTGGGTCTCCTCTCTGTATCTCTGCCTCTTACAAGCAGCCTTCTCTGCCTCCTCACCAGTCTTTCTGCCAGGCCTGGCCCACAGTATCCCACGGTGTTGGCGTCTGTCTCCACTACTACATGCAGAATCTTGAGAACCTGAACATGTCATTTCTCTGCATCTCTAGTGCCATGTCCAGAGCTTAACAATTACAGTTCAATAGATGTCTACTTCAGAACTGGAATTGTTTCAACTATTTCCCAAACAACACATTTAATACTAATAATAGCTAGCATATGTGTAAGTGCTTTACATAGACCACCTCAGCTCATGTCACCTTCAGCTCTCTGAGGAGGTATTTATCACTACCTCCATGCTATAGGTGAGGAAACAAAGTGGGAAGGGGCTAAGCAGCATGCCCAGTCTCAAACCTTTAGAAGGTGGTAGAGTTAGGACTGAAACTCCCCATTTCACATGAAACTGACTTCCGTCTGCCACCCTATTCCATTTTCATAGATTCACCAGAAGAGCAGACATGCAAAGCCACTGTCATCAATTTCTCCCACAATGTACTCAACAAACTGCACCAAAAATAAATAAATAAATAAATAAACAGAAAACAGCACTAGCAACTTGCTTCAGCTATAATATCAGCATGGTAACCCGTCTATGTTCTGAAGAAAATGCACACCTTCTTATTTCTTAAAATATGTAATATGAAATTCTGTAAGAAACTGCTTAAATAAAAGTAATGCTTTATACCAGAAAAAAAATTTTGTTCTTGCCTCTCATCTCTTGAGATCAGGCCAGTCCACCCCTGAAGGCAAAAAGGTAAAAGCTTCCCAGAAACATTTAGTTGGAGAAGGATAAATGCAGATTCATGGACTGCAAATATTTCTGACATTTACCTTTGTTGCCAGGGGTCACAGGAGTAATTAGATTTAAGGGAAAAATTAATGTTTAAGCCAAGAAAATACGTGTAATGGCACTTACATTACCTGGAATTTACTTTAAAATACGAGAACTATATGAATCATATGTGTTAGTTTTAATCTCCATTCTAATTGAGACATGCTCCAGGGGTAATCAACTGACTAACTCAAGAGAATTACACTCCCAGAGGAAGTGATCTTCCCTCCAATCCACACTAGTGATGGTAATCATAGGTGCTGCAGATATTAGAGATAAGTTTTCATTAGTGAAATTAATAGTGTTTAAGATGTGTGGACTGCCTCCTTCCATGAACATGATACAAAACTCTAGTGACTAAATGCAATGTGGTATTTTAGATTTGATTCTAGAACTGAAAAAGGGTATTTATGGAGAAAAGTCTGAAGTTTCGTTGAAAGTAATGTACCAACGTTGAATTCTTACTTTTGATAAATATACCATGATAATGCAGAAGGCTAACAATAGAGGAAACTGGGTAAAGTATATTAAAACTCTGTATTATATTTGCAATTTTTCTGTCAATCTCAAATTATTACCAAAAAAAAAAAAAGATCCAGTGAGCATGGTAGACTGTGCCATTAAGGCTGGCATCTTAGGCTTGATTCTTAAAGACCCTACCTATAGTCTCTGTTCCAATGGATTCCTGTCTACCCAACCCTACGTAGTTAACAAAATCTTCCTGATAGAATGTGGTTGCAATTGCCGCAGGAAAAACTATCATGTAATGTGCACCTTAAGAGCACCTGAAAGGGCAGACAGTGGGAAATTCATAGGGCTTTTAAGACAGGTTGCATATTTGTTTTTACATTCTTGCTAATAAACACATTTACATGAAATGGAATGAAGTCTAAAAGTTGCTTTCACTGTAATCTGGTAAGAAATCACCCCTAAATATTGGAGGTTAGAAATGTTCACTAAAGCAAAAGAACCTACTAGTTGTGCAGAACCAAAATGTCTCACATCAGTTTGTAACACAATACTCAAAACAGTTTTTCCACTGTAGCTTTTAATGACTATCATATATCAACGTTCCACAGTTAAGCAGCATAGCTAAGATGAAAACAGGTAGGTCAGAGGGGATTCAATTTAGTTAACAGTAATGCTCAGTTCACACAGAAGGACACGCAAGAAGAATAACTCACCACGTATAAGACATAAAATTATTTATAAGGTCAGAAAAAATAAATAAAGAGAGCTAGCTCAAACAGTATGATTTTAGGATTTATAGAAGAAAGTAGATGCTTAAAGCCAGGGAACGAGCCCTACAAAACCCAGCAGCCTTGTGGCATGCAACACTAGGGTGGGTTCAGATCAGGAGAAAAGCATTATTTCATTTCATCTTCACAACAAGCTAACGTAGTAGGTACTATCATTCCATTTTACATGGGAAGAATCAAAGCTCTTTTGTAGGTAAAGTAATAATAACAGGCCCAAGCTCAGAAAGCTAGAAAGTAGTGAGACCAGCATCACACCCAGGATCATTACTTCAAAGGGTTTTCCTCTATCCTGCAGTCTTTCTTGTATTTCATCCTCACTAGGAAACGTGAGTAACAAAAAAAAAAAAAAAAAAAAAAAAAGAAAGAAAAAGAAAATCCTATCACTGCCAATTCATACCTAATTTTATACAGAAAATTTCTAATAGACACTAGTTATAAAAAATTTGCTTCCCAATTATGTTTCAGAAACTTATATATGAATATTACAAAGTCACTTGAATCCCTTCATTTTATTTTATTTTATTTTATTTCATTTTATTTTTTTATTATTCTACTTTAAGTTTTAGGGTACATGTGCACATTGTGCAGGTTAGTTACATATGTATACATGTGCCATGCTGGTGCGCTGCACCCACTAACTCATCATCTAGCATTAGGTATATCTCCCAATGCTATCCCTCCCCCCTCCCCCCACCCCACCACAGTCCCCAGAGTTTGATATTCCCCTTCCTGTGTCCATGTGATCTCATTGTTCAATTCCCACCTATGAGTGAGAATATGCAGTGTTTGGTTTTTTGTTCTTGTGATAGTTTACTGAGAATGATGATTTCCAATTTCATCCATGTCCCTACAAAGGACATGAACTCATCATTTTTTATGGCTGCATAGTATTCCATGGTGTATATGTGCCACATTTTCTTAATCCAGTCTATCATTGTTGGACATTTGGGTTGGTTCCAAGTCTTTGCTATTGTGAATAATGCCACAATAAACATACATGTGCCTGTGTCTTTATAGCAGCATGATTTATAGTCCTTTGGGTATATACCCAGTAATGGGATGGCTGGGTCAAATGGTATTTCTAGTTCTAGATCCCTGAGGAATAACCACACTGACTTCCACAATGGTTGAACTAGTTTACAATCCCACCAACAGTGTAAAAGTGTTCCTATTTCTCCACATCCTCTCCAGCATCTGTTGTTTCCTGACTTTTTAATGATTGCCATTCTAACTGGTGTGAGACGGTATCTCATTGTGGTTTTGATTTGCATTTCTCTGATGGCCAGTGATGATGAGCATTTTTTCATGTGTTTTTTGGCTGCATAAATGTCTTCTTTTGAGAAGTGTCTGTTCATGTCCTTGCCCACTTTTTGATGGGGTTGTTTTTTTCTTGTAAATTTGTTTGAGTTCATTGTAGATTCTGGATATTAGCCCTTTGTCAGATGAGTAGGTTGCGAAAACTTTCTCCCATTCTGTAGGTTGCCTGTTCACTCTGATGGTAGTTTCTTTTGCTGTGCAGAAGCTCTTCAGTTTAATTAGATCCCATTTGTCAATTTTGGCTTTTGTTGCCATTGCTTTTGGTGTTTTAGACATGAAGTCCTTGCCCATGCCTATGTCCTGAATGGTAATGCCTAGGTTTTCTTCTAGGGTTTTTATGGTGTTAGGTCTAACGTTTAAATCTTTAATCCATCTTGAATTGATTTTTGTATAAGGTGTAAGGAAGGGATCCAGTTTCAGCTTTCTACATATGGCTAGCCAGTTTTCCCAGCACCATTTATTAAATAGGGAATCCTTTCCCCATTGCTTGTTTTTCTCAGGTTTGTCAAAGATCAGATAGTTGTAGATATGCGGCGTTATTTCTGAGGGCTCTGTTCTGTTCCATTGATCTATATCTCAGTTTTGGTACCAGTACATGCTGTTTTGGTTACTGTAGCCTTGTAGTATAGTTTGAAGTCAGGTAGTGTGATGCCTCCAGCTTTGTTCTTTTGACTTAGGATTGACTTGGTGATGCGGGCTCTTTTTTGGTTCCATATGAACTTTAAAGTAGTTTTTTCCAATTCTGTGAAGAACGTCATTGGTAGCTTGATGGGGATGGCATTGAATCTGTAAATTACCTTGGGCAGTATGGCCATTTTCACGATATTGATTCTTCCTACCCATGAGCATGGAATGTTCTTCCATTTGTTTGTATCCTCTTTTATTTCATTGAGCAGTGGTTTGTACTCCTTGAAGAGGTCATTCACATCCCTTGTAAGTTGGATTCCTAGGTATTTTATTCTCTTTGAAGCAATTGTGAATGGGAGTTCACTCATCATTTGGCTCTCTGTTTGTCTGTTGTTGGTGTATAAGAATGCTTGTGATTTTTGTACATTGATTTTGTATCCTGAGACTTTGCTGAAGTTGCTTATCAGCTTAAGGAGATTTTGGGCTGAGACAATGGGGTTTTCTAGATATACAATCATGCCGTCTGCAAACAGGGATAATTTGACTTCCTCTTTTCCTAATTGAATACCCTTTATTTCCTTCTCCTGCCTAATTGCCCTGGCCAGAACTTCCAACACTATGTTGAATAGGAGTGGTGAGAGAGGGCATCCCTGTCTTGTGCCAGTTTTCAAAGGGAATGCTTCCAGTTTTTGCCCATTCAGTATGATATTGGCTGTTGGTTTGTCATAGATAGCTCTTATTATTTTGAAATACGTCCCATCAATACCTAATTTATTGAGAGTTTTTAGCATGAAGGGTTGTTGAATTTTGTCAAAGGCTTTTTCTGCATCTATTCAGATAATCATGTGGTTTTTGTCTTTGGCTCTGTTTATATGCTGGATTACATTTATTGATTTGCGTATATTGAACCAGCCTTGCATCCCAGGGATGAAGCCCACTTGATCATAGTGGATAAGCTTTTTGATGTGCTGCTGGATTCGTTTTGCCAGTATTTTATTGAGGATTTCTGCATGAATGTTCATCAAGGATATTGGTCTAAAATTGTCTTTTTTGATTGTGTCTCTGCCCGGCTTTGGTATCAGAATGATGCTGGCCTCATAAAATGAGTTAGGGAGGATGCCCTCTTTTTCTATTGATTGGAATAGTTTCAGAAGGAATGGTACCAGTTCCTCCTTGTACCTCTGGTAGAATTCGGCTGTGAATCCATCTGGTCCTGGACTCTTTTTGGTTGGTAAACTATTGATTATTGCCACAATTTCAGCTCCTGTTATTGGTCTATTCAGAGATTCAACTTCTTCCTGGTTTAGTCTTGGGAGAGTGTATGTGTCAAGGAATTTATCCATTTCTTCTAGATTTTCTAGTTTATTTGCGTAGAGGTGTTTGTAGTATTCTCTGATGGTAGTTTGTATTTCTTTGGGATCAGTGGTGATATCCCCTTTATCATTTTTTATTGTGTCTATTTGATTCTTCTCTCTTTTTTTCTTTATTAGTCTTGCTAGCGGTCTATCAATTTTGTTGATCCTTTCAAAAAACCAGCTCCTGGATTCATTGATTTTTTGAAGGGTTTTTTGTGTCTCTATTTCCTTCAGTTCTGCTCTGATTTTAGTTATTTCTTGCCTTCTGCTAGCTTTTGAATGTGTTTGCTCTTGCTTTTCTAGTTCTTTTAATTGTGATGTTAGGGTGTCAATTTTGGATCTTTCCTGCTTTCTCTTGTGGGCATTTAGTGCTATAAATTTCCCTCTACACACTGCTTTGAATGTGTCCCAGAGATTCTGGTATGTTGTGTCTTTGTTCTCATTGGTTTCAAAGAACATCTTTATTTCTGCCTTCATTTTGTTATGTACCCCGTAGTCATTCAGGAGCAGGTTGTTCAGTTTCCATGCAGTTGAGCGGCTTTGAGTGAGATTCTTAATCCTGAGTTCTAGTTTGATTGCACTGTGGTCTGAGAGATAGTTTGTTATAATTTCTGTTCTTTTACATTTGCTGAGGAGAGCTTTACTTCCAAGTATGTGGTCAATTTTGGAATAGGTGTGGTGTGGTGCTGAAAAAAATGTATATTCTGTTGATCTGGGGTGGAGAGTTCTGTAGATGTCTATTAGGTCCGCTTGGTGCAGAGCTGAGTTCAATTCCTGGGTATCCTTGTTGACTTTCTGTCTCCTTGATCTGTCTAATGTTGACAGTGGGGTGTTAAAGTCTCCCATTATTAATGTGTGGGAGTCTAAGTCTCTTTGTAGGTCACTCAGGACTTGCTTTATGAATCTGGGTGCTCCTGTATTGGGTGCATATATATTTAGGATAATTAGCTCTTCTTGTTGAATTGATCCCTTTACCATTATGTAATGGCCTTCTTTGTCTCTTTTGATCTTTGTTGGTTTAAAGTCTGTTTTATCAGAGACTAGGATTGCAACCCCTGCCTTTTTTTGTTTTCCATTTGCTTGGTAGATCTTCCTCCATCCTTTTATTTTGAGCCTATGTGTGTCTCTGCACGTGAGATGGGTTTCCTGAATACAGCACACTGATGGGTCTTGACTCTTTATCCAATTTGCCAGTCTGTGTCTTTTAATTGGATAATTTAGTCCATTTACATTTAAAGTTAATATTGTTATGTGTGAATTTGATCCTGTCATTATGATGTTAGCTGGTGATTTTGCTCGTTAGTTGATGCAGTTTCTTCCTAGTCTCGATGGTCTTTACATTTTGGCATGATTTTGCAGCGGCTGGTACCGGTTGTTCCTTTCCATGTTTAGTGCTTCCTTCAGGAGCTCTTTTAGGGCAGGCCTGGTGGTGACAAAATCTCTCAGCATTTGCTTGTCTGTGAAGTATTTTATTTCTCCTTGACTTATGAAGCTTAGTTTGGCTGGATATGAAATTCTGGGTTGAAAATTCTTTTCTTTAAGAATGTTGAATATTGGCCCCCACTCTCTTCTGGCTTGTAGGGTTTCTGCCGAGAGATCCGCTGTTAGTCTGATGGGCTTCCCTTTGAGGGTAACCCGACCTTTCTCTCTGGCTGCCCTTAACATTTTTTCCTTCATTTCAACTTTGGTGAATCTGACAATTATGTGTCTTGGAGTTGCTCTTCTCGAGGAGTATCTTTGTGGCGTTCTCGGTATTTCCTGAATCTGAACGTTGGCCTGCCTTGCTAGATTGGGGAAGTTCTCCTGGATAATATCCTGCAGAGTGTTTTCCAACTTGGTTCCATTCTCCCCATCACTTTCAGGTACACCAATCAGACGTAGATTTGGTCTTTTCACATAGTCCCATATTTCTTGGAGGCTTTGCTCATTTCTTTTTATTCTTTTTTCTCTAAACTTCCCTTCTCGCTTCATTTCATTCATTTCATCTTCCATTGCTGATACCCTTTCTTCCAGTTGATCGCATCGGCTCCTGAGGCTTCTGCATTCTTCACGTAGTTCTCGAGCCTTGGTTTTCAGCTCCATCAGCTCCTTTAAGCACTTCTCTGTATTGGTTATTCTAATTATACATTCTTCTAAATTTTTTTCAAAGTTTTCAACTTCTTTGCCTTTGGTTTGAATGTCCTCCCGTAGCTCAGAGTAATTTGATCGTCTGAAGCCTTCTTCTCTCAGCTCGTCAACGTCATTCTCCATCCAGCTTTGTTCCATTGCTGGTGAGGAATTGTGTTCCTTTGGAGGAGGAGAGGCGCTCTGCGTTTTAGAGTTTCCAGTTTTTCTGTTCTGTTTTTTCCCCATCTTTGTGGTTTTATCTACTTTTGGTCTTTGATGATGGTGATAAACAGATGGGTTTTCGGTGTGGATGTCCTTTCTGTTTGTTAGTTTTCCTTCTAACAGACAGGACCCTCAGCTGCAGGTCTGTTGGAATACCCTGCCCTGTGAGGTGTCAGTGTGCCCCTGCTGGGGGATGCCTCCCAGTTAGGCTGCTCGGGGGTCAGGGGTCAGGGACCCACTTGAGGAGGCAGTCTGCCAGTTCTCAGATCTCCAGCTGCGTGCTGGGAGAACCACTGCTCTCTTCAAAGCTGTCAGACAGGGACACTTAAGTCTGCAGAGGTTACTGCTGTCTTTTTGTTTGTCTGTGCCCTGCCCCCAGAGGTGGAGCCTACAGAGGCAGGCAGGCCTCCTTGAGCTGTGGTGGGCTCCACCCAGTTGGAGCTTCCCGGCTGCTTTGTTTACCTAAGCAAGCCTGGGCAATGGCGGGCGCCCCTCCCCCAGCCTTGCTGCCGCCTTGCAGTTTGATCTCAGACTGCTGTGCTAGCAATCAGCGAGACTCCGTGAGCCTAGGACCCTCCCAGCCAGGTGTGGGATATAATCTCGTGGTGCGCCGTTTTTTAAGCTGGTCTGAAAAGCGCAATATTCGGGTGGGAGTGACCCAATTTTCCAGGTGCGTCCGTCACCCCTTTCTTTGACTCGGAAAGGGAACTCCCTGACCCCTTGCACTTCCCAAGTGAGGCAATGCCTCGCCCTGCTTCGGCTCACGCACGGTGCACGCACCCACTGGCCTGCGCCCACTGTCTGGCACTCCCTAGTGAGATGAACCCGGTACCTCAGATGGAAATGCAGAAATCACCCTTCTTCTGCGTCGCTCACGCTGGGAGCTGTAGACCGGAGCTGTTTCTATTCGGCCATCTTGGCTCCTCGAATCCCTTCATTTTAATCCAGCCACTATGAACAACATAAATGGGCTTGCCCAAGCTCAACTCAGGTCTGAGGCAACGTTAAGGGCAAACCACAAGAAAACCTTCCTGGAGTGTCAAATTTTACCCTACATTGAATAATTTAAAACAGTATTTTTATGTTGAAACAAAAAATATACAAAACAGAATACTATATCTGCATGAATTTTTAAAGTAATACATTGCAGAGAAACTTCAGACTTAACAGCAGCACGCTTTGAACCATATTTCAAGCCCCAGGGGTTTATAGCCCTGTCCTAGAAGGAGTCCACTTGAAATTTTTAAGAAACATATTTAAGTGACTTTTATGTCCTGGTTAAAATTTTATAAGCAGTCATGTAAATTAATTTTTAAAAAAGGCTCACAGACTTGAAAACTACCAGGTTTCACTTCTGATTATTTCCACATTTTAAAAATACAATGATAATGATTCCTTAATTTCTTGTTCATAAAGCCCATAAAAGATTGAGTGATTTGGTTTCCTCTAAAAGGTTCTTTTTCCTCTTCTAGAAAATGAGTCCCATAGCAGGAACTAAAAAGATGATGATGGAGGTGATAGCAACTGTAATGGTGGTAGTAACTTTGATTAGAGTTCCCATATTTACCAAGAGATCATTTGGGCCATCACTTAATATGCAAAATTCTTCCCTCAATAAACATGACCTATACTTTTAAAAATATCTCTTTAAATGATTCAATTACATAAATGTGTAATGATTTCAATTATATAAACGCATTACCAAGCAATTAATTAAATATTAACATTGGTACCTATATTATTAAAAATTGACTAGTGGAAAGCAGAGTCAACTGTATTATTTTTAATTACGTATATTAAATTACATAAAAACAACATTACACTATTCTGTTCTCCACATAAGAGGCAGAACATACTTGGCCTCACCTATTTAAAACTGATTTGTTGCCAGAAACAACCAAACACTAATAGATTTTCAAAGTCAGTGGTGAGAATCAGGGGCAGAAACACCAGGACTAGAACCTTGGTATCCTGGAATTATAATCCTGGCCTCAACCAACCAGAACAGGATGCTCCTTCAAAAGCAAAACAAAACAAAAGAAAAAAGGAAGGCTTTTCTATTGTACACATCCAAGGCACTGTCAGCACATCACTGTTTCATTGTTCTGCCCATTCTTCATGGGAGCAGTCACAATTATGTGGTCATGCCTGGTTCTTTTCCTAGTTCTAATAAAAGAATGAGGAGAAAGAATTCCACATCCCTCTAACTTTTCATTCTGCAGAACTCCAAATTTACTGTTTAAATGTTTCATTCAAAGACTTGGGTAACCATGAATGAGAACAGTCAGGTACCTGGAAACTCTCTGGCTTTCTCTTTTTCTACATTAGTGAAATGCTCCAAAAACCGTTAAATGAGACTTCCTTTATCTGTGCAGGGAGTTGGGGTTACCCAGAACCAGGAGAGTGATTTGACTAATGAGAGCAATTCTTGCCATGACTCTCTCATCATTTTCTCAGAAACAGAAATCAAATGAGGCTGAAGCTTATAACCACATGCAGAAGCCACACCACATGGAATCAATATTCCTACACACAATTACCCTGTAATATTTAAGACAAAAGAATGTTCTGGTATTCCAGAGCAAAACCATCCTACTAAGAACTCAAAGGACTTCTGGCTCTTGTGTACCTCCCCATGTGCTGCTAGCTGTGATCAAGAATGATATTTTGGAAGGGGAATATGGTAACATATTTCAGGAGGAAAAACATGTTGCCATCTCCCTTCACACTTTGGTAAGTGACTCAATTTTGTTTGGTAATAGGAACTCATATAAATTATTATTAATACATTTAAAAGGTATTTTATTATTACTAAAAAAGAGTTGAGGTGGATTCTGGTCTTCCACCACTAATTCTCTTTGTGATCTCGGGCAAGTCACAACCCACCTGAACCTTACTTCTTCATCTGTCACACAGGAATAATACCCCTCATGCCAGGCTCAAATGGCTATAAGGATTTAAAAAATTAACAGAAAAGAATGCTACACAAACATACATAAATATTACATTGTTATGAATAGATGGCCAGGGCCTTAGGACAAGGAGTGTGCTCATGTTCATCCATACTCTCCTTCCCTTTTTGATGGCTGGAATCCAGACATGGTGATGGCCAGCTACAACCATGCCAGTGAACAAGTCTACACTAGGAGATAACAATTTGGAAAGCACCTGAGTGACCATGAAGAGCAACAATGTCTGGCCACCTGGCCCACTCACACTGGAACTGTCACATGGGAAACAAACATCTCTGTTCTTTTGGCCATTTTCTTATTGGATTTCTTTGTCATATCAGCCTGCCCTAACTAATACAGTTATTAGCTGGAGGTCACAAATGAACCCAGGCAAACAAAATCCCACTCCTACTTGTTTTATTTGGCTCTAACAATGTTGGCCTACTCAGTATTCTGTTTGCAAGTTTGTTTAATTTTTACTTAGACATCAACATGTAAAAATTAGATTTCATATAAGAATCTAAGATACTTTGGAAAAAGAAAAAAATCAGAAGATCTGGCAATAATTCTTATTTACAAATGGCAACACTTGCCTGCAACTGAATAGACTTGTCCTCTTTAAAGGGTGCATGTGCTGTCCAGTTCCCCAAAACCTCCCACTCTTACAGCAAGCCTGCTTTATTTAGTTTTCCTGTGCTAAGCAAGCCTTGGTAAATATTTGACTTTGCAACCCTCATTAAATAAATGTATGGACATTTAGAATTCTAGGGATGCATACAATGTTATGAAGCTCAGGCCTGGACAGTAATAGATTAAAATAATTTCTACCAAACTCCTCTCCATGAAGTTCTGCCTACTAATTATATTATGCCTAACAGATAACCATCCCTACAGAATCCAGACCACCACCATATCCTTTCTCACCTGGATTACAGCAATAGCCTAACTGACCTTCCAGCCTTCCATCTTGCTCTCCTCTTAATTCATGGCATTAAAACCAGTGCCACCTTTATAAATTGCAAGCTTAATTCCCTCTTTTCAAATGGTTTCATGTCTACCTTTGGATAAATCCTAAACTCCTTAACATGGTTTAGTGAGCTGTCTTATAATCTACTTTAAAATACAGTAAGACAGTTATTTAGTTATTCATAAACAACTAAATATAACAATTCAATTTCCCTAATCAGTAATTTACTCTTACTGGCATTGCAAGGACCCTATGGAGGTATCCACTCTCCACAAGCCACTATACTAAATCCTAACTGTTCTATGGGAGGAAAATAAACTTCTATCTTGTTTGATTCATTGTAATTTGTGGCCTCCTTGTTGCAGTACCTTAAAGTATGTCCTAATACTACACCCAGTGTTTCTCATTTTCTTAAATACACTATCCTCTTACCATGAGTTCTCGCACATGTTCCCTCTAGAACTCTCCCACCTCCTAACCTTCATCTGGCCAACTTCTACTTCAGTTCTCACTTCCTCCGCAATATTATCCCTAACCTTAAGACTGGGTTCCATTTCCCTTGATATGTATTCTAATAGCAGACTTCTCTCTGACTTTCAGCTGTCATTTTACGCACTGTGGTTCATTAATTAGCATAAGGGATGCCAGAAATAATGTTTCATTAGTGAAATGAGTGATCAAGATAAAAAGAGCCCAAGTTCCAGAATGACCTTTAAGAGGAGAGCTGCCTATCACCCTGGTTTGCTGACTAATTCCAAACTATTTCAGGAGGGGAAATAAACTTCTGTCTTGTTCGATCTACTGTAATATGGAGTGACTTTGTTACAGCAGCTTAGCTTGTACTTTAACAAATACACTAAACTTATTATTATTAAATGTTTTTGGCCAGGTGCGGCAGCTCAGGCCTGTAATCCCAACACTTTGGGAGGCTGAAGTGGATGGATCACAAGGTCAGGAGTTCGAGACCAGCCTGGCCAACATAATGAAACCCCGTCTCTAATAAAAATACAATACAAAAAATTAGCTGGGCATGGTGATGGGCACCGGTAATCCCAGCTACTCAGGAGGCTGAGGCAGGAGAATCACTTGAACCCGGTAAGCGGAGGTTGCAGTGTCCTGAGATCGTACCACTGCAGTCCAGCCCAGGCAACAGTGTGAGACTCTGTCTCAAAAAAAAAACAAAAAAAAAAGTTTTCAGGATGAGACCAAGCTCTCTTTTACTTCCGAGCCTTTGCACACGCTGTTACCTATGCTCAGAATACTTTACCACCTCTTAATGTTAACCTAGTTAACTTCTTAGCCTCTGGATCACTATTTAAAAATTGTCTTCTTAGAGAGACTCTCCCTAATCTTGAAGGTCCATTAGATCCCTATCACACACTCCAACAGAAGACCCTGTACCCTCTCATCATCACTTTGACATATTTCACTGCTCTTAGTTTTCTAAAAGTCTCAAAAGCATTATAAGCTCCTTGAAGGAAGAGATCACATCACACTTGTTTATTGCTGCACTGGCAGCACCTAGCAATGTGCCCTGCACACAACTGGCATCTAACATTACGATCTTCCCAGTGTGGCGATTCCTCAAGGATCTAAAACTAGAAATACCATTTGACCCAGCAATCCCATTACTGGGTATATACCCAAAGGATTATAAATCATTCTACTATAAAGGCACGTGCATATGTATGTTTATTGCAGCACTGTTCACAATAGCAAAGACTTGGAACCAACCCAAATGTCCATCAATGATAGACTGGATAAAGAAAATGTGGCACATATACACCACGGAATACTATGCAGCCATAAAAAAGGATGAGTTCATGTCCTTTGCAGGGACATGGATGAAGCTGGAAACCATTATTCTCAGCAAACTATCACAAGAACAGAAAACCAAACACCACATATTCTCACTCATAAGTGGGAGTTGAACAAGGAGAACATACGGACACAGGGAGGGGAACATCACATACCAGGGCCTGTCAGGGGGTGGGTGTCTAGGGGAGGGACAGCATTAGGAGAAATACCTAATGTAGGTGACGGGTTGATGGGTGCATTAAAACACCATAGCACGTGTATACCAATGTATTAAAACTGCACATTCTGCACATGTAGCCCAGAACTTAAAGTATAATAATTTAAAAAATAGTATGTGCAATAGGGAATAAAAGTTAATATTAAAAAAAAAATTACCATCTTCCAGGGCACATTCCTCCACACTGGCTACAATGACCTCTGGAGAGATCTTATCAACTACCTTGCTATCATCTATATTTATTGCTTATATTATTTTATTTTACTTATAGTAACACTAGTAAGGAGAAGGAGAGCAAAGAGGTGGGGAAAAGAGGAGAAGGAGGAGGGACACATTAATTTGGCATAACTTAGCGTGGCTCAGTGAACTCTTCTGTCTAGGCTGCTCCCCAAGATATCTTATTAAGAAAATACACTGAAAATATTTGGGGAAGGAAGTTGAAGAAAGTCAGATAACATACAGTTTCTTCAGCTATCATATTAATATTTTTAGGTGCATACCATGTAATTTTTCTGGTGTGGAGACCAACTGAATTTCCCCTTACTATTCTTACCTTAAATAAGATTACAATTGCATCTTAGTCATGTTTGTTTTAAGACCAAAACAGATGCTTAGCTACTATGTTTTAATTATTTGTGGTAACCAGGAATTGGACAGCTGATCTTTTGGTGAACTTATAAATTATAATGTTATGAAAATGTTCAAACAGGTAATCTTAACCTCTGTAGAGAAACTGTAGCAAAGATCCCTATGTTGATTACGAATTAGCAACCAATGACCTCTATCTATTTCCAGTGTTAAGTTTCTAGCATAAAAATGTTTATTATTGACGTGGGATAGAGCCCCTTCCATAACAGGAAGCAACCTCAACCACCACAAATGAAACTTGCCCTTTAAATTATTTTGAATCACAACAGCCAAGAGACTACTCATCTTTTTTTGTGTGTGTGGGGGGGTATCTTTTATCTAATTCTCAATTCTTCCTCCACCCTCCTGCCTTCCCCTTCAGTTTGCAGGCTGCAGGATGGAAGAGCTTCTATTCCTTAATCTCAGCAAAGTCATATGTATCCTTGTCCATGACACTGGAAAAGGAATATATATATAGGTGTAATTTCATTCTTTATTTTCCATTAACAATGTGTTTAACTAGACAAGAAGCTCTGTTACTGTCACCTTAAACTAGCCTGACTTTTTTCTGGCTCAACTTATCTCACTGTAAAACAGTTATAAGGTCAATGGTAGACTCGAGAATTTAATTAAGTGTGTAAGATGAAAGCTTTACAACTGCTTCCATTTTGCTTTGTATCAAGAACAAGAAACCAAATTTTTCTTAGGACTAAAATATAATACTAGCTTTCTGGAAAATAATTATTGTACATAATTTATAACCTCATTGCTATGAACCACCTTACCTAGTGCATCTGCTACTTTGATACTGTTCATGAGCTGTCAGCTGGGCTGGGGATTTGATTTGTTTTTCTGTTGCTGCTCCCTGATTTACTGTTGCACATTATTCCCAGAATCCTGATTTCATTTGCTTTCACTGATAATATGTATCTGCTAAGAAGTCCCAACTTTGTGTCTAAACTAAATGAGATCAGACAATTTGAAAGTAGTATGTATAATTTTAGCATCCTTTACAAGATCAGGTATTTATAGTTCTATTTCACAGAAGTATTTCCTGACCACAGGAAAGCTTCACTCTCACTGTAAATGAGTCTTCGGTGTGTGTCAGGGCCTCCGTTTTTGTGCAGGAAAAAAAAAAAAATCTTTACTCTACTTTGTTCTTCAACTATGTAGCCCTTCCCTGCCTCATGCACTAAACTGCTCATATGTCAGCATTAATAAACAGGTATAAATTATTAGTAGCAACGTACTCTGAGATCTCAATTCAGTGAGTGTGAAATACTAGGGAGGAATTTGTTACTTTTCTTCTCTTTAAATAATATATAGCCTAAGGAGCATGGAAGAATCTTTTCAGCCTCAGAAATGAGAACGGGGTTGAAATGATAGCTGAATCTTCTTCTAGTCTCTGATGCCTCACTCCATCTCCCATAAATATCAGAAGAGAGTCTGCATATTCTGGTAAATGTAGGCCAGCTGCTGTGACGCAGGAGGGAGAGCTGGGGCTTTGAGATATAAATTTTTCAAAGAGCTAAAAGTAGCTCCCAAGAACCTGCTTAACACAATCGCCTGCCCCGGCCTCAGAAAGCACTTCCATTGTCAGTCTCTACTGTGAAACAAGATGCTGCTTGCTTTGCCTACTCCAGTGGCTTCACCTGGCAGGGTGTGGCTGACTAGAATGAGCGGGATAGGGTAGACATCTCACTGCAAGTCCAAGATACCAAAATCAAATCCTATTTCAATTGCCACTTAGTTCTCCACATCTTAATGGAGAAATTTTTGAAACAGCAAATACTAACTTAACAAAGTGGCTAACTCCCCAACTAATCTATGTCCCCTTCAGTCTATACCAATTTGCACGACAAAACGATTAGGAAGAAAACAAATTGTCAATATAACAAAAAAAAAAAAACAAAAAACCCACTCTCCTTCAACTGCTAAAAACGCTAGCCCCTAAAACTCACATTTAAAGCTTCATCAGTTTCATTTCTCACAACACTCCCATAAGAGAGAAAAATAGATTTCCCAGTTTGTGAAAATCAGTGCTGTATTCATAAAGCTGGCAAAGACTCCAAATGAAGAAACACAAAATCAAGATCAGTACTAAACTAGATGTGGGTGGATCCTTGCCACCACTGTGAGAACTGCAGCCTGTTTACCATGCTAGTTTTGTTATTCTTAAGCGCCACTTCAAACATAATGTATAGCAAAGGACAAGATTCCAAATACATCAATGTTAAACATGTAATACCATACCACATCAAATTTACATGCAGCGGTTAGAGTGGTGAGTTTGGTATAATGCCTTGGATAACATACTAAAAGATAAGAGACTTACTAAAGGCAAATTATAAGGCAATTTAATTATAAGGCTCAAGCACACTGCACTTAGATCCTGTAAGTGAGAATGCTGCATCAAAATCCCTTATCCGCTTACCACATACCTTTCTGGGTCTAATGTCTGTGGCACAGTCGACCCTAAATGTGTACATAATAGTCCTGGATATTCTCTGCCTTACCCTCTCCTCATCGATCCCAAATCATCACAGTCACCTTGGAAATGCAGAGGTGCTATGAGTTCAAAACTAGCAAAAACAGAGAAAGCAGAAACAGTTTAGAAGAAGAGACTCCAGGGACAAACTGCCATAAATTATTTTATGCTGTCCCTTCACGTTTGTCTAGAATGTTTGAAATGGCTCATTTTGTTATGATACATTGCCTGAGATGTCATCAATTAGAGATCTGAGTTAACAAGTATTATGTGTTAAAAAAAAATCTACCTCCAGGGGGATCACTAGACTATGAAAAATACAATCAGATTGCTTTCCACTCTAACATCTATCAAAGAACCACAGAGAGGAAAAAATGGTTGATAGAGGCTAAATAATTTGGGAGCACTTTAGAACAACCTGGAAAGGTAATGTGTGCCCTTAGGACTTACATGACTTCCTAAAAACTTTTGGAAAATAAATACCAATTTTTCTAAATGGCCAAGGGTGGGCATGAAGGACACACTGAACAAGCCGATAATTAATAGGTCTCATCAACCAGTAACCTGATCTGTAAACACTTTGATGCTCCTGTAAAACTTACGGGATGGGACCCTCTGGCTTTAAAGAACTTCTGAGTTCATTAGTTTTCTTGGTACACCTAGGTGCATGGTTTGCCACTCTGAACTGTAGCAGCTGTGAGAGTATTCTGCATAAGGGACTACTGTAAAGGCCACTGGACTACATGAGAGAGCTGGAAAGATCAGAAATGTCAGTGGGCACTTGCTTTCCAGAGGATGTGTCTAAAGCCCACAGATACTAAAAGTTGGCATGCTCAGCCTCACAAAACTCCTGCTGCCTATGTATCTCTGTTCCCACCAACCTTAAAAATTCCTCTACCGACAAGCGAAGAAGCAATTTTAAAAAACTTTTGTTCCCGATAACCACTAGAGTCTGCCATTTTGTTCCCAGACCCCCTCCAAGGACTAATCTCCAGCTTGAAGGAAAAAAGGAGATTATAGATCTCAAAAAGTCACACAGCAAATAATCTTCAGGAGCACATAATCCAACTCTCTGGACTAGGGGCTGAGAGCCACAGAGTCAGTTATTCCCATCATTAATCTGCTAAATGGCCACTGTGCTACTCAAACTGAGCATCAATACACCAAGTTAGAAGGCCACTGAAACTCATTTGATCTTTGATGGCTGCATTGGTGGTTGTGTTGGATGAAAGACAGCAGCCACTGTAACTGAGCAAGTCCAGAGGTCCCCAAATTCACTAGGGACACAAATCACTCACATCTCACAGCTTAATCACCTAATCTCAAACATACGAGGCCAGGAAAGATGAAATTAGTAAAAAGAAAGCAGGGGCGAAAACCAATTCCTTTCTGTTCAATTTTGCCTAAAATCATTTCCATCCTAGGAAGAAGGAAGAAAGCTATTCTTCTTCCTTCTCCCTCCATATCTCAGGCCTCCTGCTCCTAGGAAAGAACAATTCAGTTCCATATGGGGTGAGTGAGCTTTGGTGGAAGAACCTGAACATCTAAACACTACAATAGAGTTTCCAGGAAAATGTGCTCCTAGACATAAACAGAAAACTGACAAAGCGATACTGGGGAAACCTGTGTGGAAACTGAGAATGTGCTGTCCATGTATGGGGACAGGGTGGGAGGTGGGAAGATGGAAAGCCTCACGATGGAAGCCAATAGATCCAAGAGGAATTTAAACATCCAACCCAGAGACCGGCGAGCTACATTCAAAACGTTTCCAATTCAGTTGAAGCTGGAGATCAGGAGGCAGCAAAGCTCTTGGCCTGCCAAGCAGACCAGACAGGGCACAGATGATTATAATTATGAAAACATGTCTAGAAAACCAGGGACAGCATGAACCAGGACGGACAACAGGAGAAGCTGAGGTGTGGCTGAACGGTACTGGTGTCAGAGGCGTTCGAACCAGAGCAACTCCATCTTGAGTGAGGGCTAGGAAAATGAGGCTGAGACTTGCTGGGCTGCATTCTCAGAAAGTGAGGCATTCCTAGCCTCTAGATGTTTATGGTTAAGGGAACAAATTAATCATGTTTACTAAACAGACCCAGACTTGGGAGTGTCCAGATATCCCGATATCTGGAGAACAAAGGCATTCCCAATTTTTCTTTGAAGATAATAATATTGATTCTTGCAAAATATAGCAATTGAGAAAATTAATCCTTTATCACAAACCCTTGTAACAGAGCCCATCTCCCCATATATACCAGCATTGTAGCTAGGGAACCTCCTACTCTGTCTGTGGAGTAGCTGTCCTTTCACCACTGTACTTTCTTAATAAATTTGCTTTTACTCTGCACTGTGGACTCGCCCTGAATTCTTTCTTGTGGGAGATCCAAGAACCCTCTGTTGGTGTCTGGATCAGGACCCCTGTCCTGTAACACTCGTACTCAACAGAAAGACGAAGGAGTCCGACAGAGACAGTCAAGTACCTGCATCGTTTCTCTACCTTACAAAGATTGCTCCCCTGTAACCTCTCCACCTCCTTCCACAAAACGATTTGACCTGAGGCATATCCTCCACTTTTTCTGATAAAGACAAACAAGGAAGGTGATAAAGGAACCAGTGGCTGTCAATTTTTAGAGTGTCACTGAGCACTTGGAGAGCTTGTTTAAAATTAAGAACGCCAGGCCCTGTCCCAAGAGATTCTGTGATACAAGCAGTTCTGGATCACACTTTGGCAAACACTGAACTGCGGTGAGGGCAGTAAAAAGGGTAATATGCTAGCTGGCATAGCAGCCCTACATTCATTCTGGCAGCGTAAAAGGTACACCGCACTTAGCAGTCCTCAGAGAGGTTTTGGGAAAGTTCTTTACACTCCTGTCCCACAGTACATTTTTGGGAGATTTAGGATGGCAGCTTAGATTAGTCTTGTATCAGGGAAGCCACCCTGGAGTTTGGTTAGTCCCAGACTTAACCAGTGCCCCTCTATACCCAGCCTTGAGTATGTAAGAAAAAAATGACTTGTCTTATTAAAAACTTTCAGTTTAAAAAAACTATAACAGTCTCATGAGCTAACATGTTCTGACAATTTTGCTTTTGCTCGTATAAGTTTTTCTCCCAGGTACCTTCATTTTATATGAAGGACAGCTCCAGTGATAAGAAAGGCCAGCTGGCAGGCTGCTCATCAAAACTCACCAGCAATAAAAGCTTAGCAGTCACCTAGGAACCAGCCGCCTCCTCTCTACCAATCAACGCACCACCACAGCAGTTTCCTCGGAGCTCAGGTACTCTTTGAAAGTGGAAAAAATAAAGGGTTTCCTAAATATCCCTGAAAAAAGACACCAAGTGCTTCCAACAGTGAGAAGTGGTGGTCTGAAAGGGAAGACTCGATTCAACTTTTTTAGTCCTAAAAGTAAGGAACTATTGCCCAAAAGGCATGAATAGTGGCAGAAGTCCAGAAGTGCCCTGGAGTCTTAAGCCGAGACTAAAGGTAGTTTGGTGGAGAAACTCTGAGCACTCCTAAGTTCTTGTCTGGGGTGCTCAGTCCCTGTAGGATCTCGGGCAAATCACTTAACCTCTCAGGCTCATTTTTACAAACCTGTGAAATGAGGGAACTCTTCCCTCCCATCCTTCCTCACAGGAAATGTTAAGGCTTACATGTCAGGAAACGTGTGACAACTTTCCATAAAATGTTGGTCAATAAACAAATACTTTTACGTAGGCCGGACGCAGTGGCTCATGCCTGCAATCCCAGCACTTTGGGAGGCCGAGGCGGGTGGATCATGAGGTCAGGAGATGTAGACCATCCTGGCTAACATGGTGAAACCCTGTCTCTACTAAAAAAATACAAAAAAATTGGCCGGCTGTGGTGGCGGGCACCTGTGGTACCAGCTACTCAGGAGGCTGAGGCAGGAGAATGGTGTGAACCTGGGAGGCGGAGCTTGCAGTGAGCCAAGATCCAGCCACTGCACTCCAGCCTGGACAACAGAGCAAGACTCCTTCTCAAAAAGAAAAAGAAAAAAAAGAAAACAAATACTTTTACGTGTACGAGTAATCTCACATGAGGGTCCCTTTGGAAGGGCTTGAACTTGCCTTAAATCTTCCTCAATCAAGTAAGTATTTTGTTTATTAGTCCTTGAGAGAATCTGAATATAAGATAGGTTCAATAGCACAAAAGGAAAGGAATTTTACCACTTTTAAAAAATATAAAGTGAAGAGGCTACCTCTGAGCACTGCAAGGATATGTGGTACATGAATATGCCTTGTTTAATTATAGAGAATTCCAAAACTGATACTATCTTTTGTTTTGTTTTTCCCATGTAAAAAGGTAGGAATGTTTCCCAAGCTATTCAGGACAGCGGATGAATGAGCAGTCACTTTGTTTTGACGTAGGTACAGCTGGAGCACTATGTATGTACTGTCTGAACTACTTTGACAAAAGTAGGCTTTTTAATGTAACAAGATAAGTCAACTTGAGTTGTACTATATTTTTGGGAATTCATTCACTACAACTTGTAACTGTAAACATTGTACTTCAAATGTTTTGTACTTTTCCTTCAATACAATTTTTGGGGGAAAAAAGATTAAAATTTTTTAAATAAACAAATATTTTATCATCATGAATGTTACTCCTTTAAACTTTTAAAAACTGAAAGAGCAAGTAGTTGTTCTACTTATTAATGACTTATCAATCTTTAAATTACTCCCCTAGAGAAATCTGTTAATGTCAATGACATTGATCAGAATTTAATAATCAAGTAAGAAAGGGGTATTTGTGTTTAAGGAATATAATTTATTTTTCTTTCTTTTTTTTATTTTTATTTTTAGAGACAGGTTCTCACTCTGTCACCTAGGTTGGAGTGCAGTGGCAAGATCATAGCTCACAGTTCACTGTCATCTTGAACTTCTGGCTCAAGTATCCTCCTGCTTCAGCCTCCCAAGTAGCTGAGACTACAAGAGTACAACACCATGCACGGCTAATTTTTTAATGTTTTTGTAAAGACGGGGTCTCGCTATGTTGCCCAGGCTGGTCTTGAACTCCTGGCCTCAAGCAATCCTCCTACTTCAAAGCTCTGGGTTTATAAGCATCAGCCACTGCACCTGGTCAGGAATCTAAATTTCAAATGTCATCTTCTTTTTACCATATATTTTTTCTAAAACAATGAACAGGAGTCACTATGAGGAAGCACAATATTTTTAATCACTACACTTTCTCCATAGGATAATCATACAAAGAAATGGCTGTTCCTCCCATTTACTGATGACAGAGAATGTGATTATCAGGAACTAGAAAGAAAAAACAAAGCAAACTTGTAAATGTAGCATCTTGCCAAGAGACTGAACATAAAGCCATCCATCAATGTGCCCTTCCGTCAATCAGTATCTTTATACTACAGATTCCCTTACCAACCTCATCCAAGTTAACCTTCACTAACCAACCACCCAAATAGCCAATGCTCTACATTTCCTCCATAAGATATGCTGAGTGATGCCCACTGGACCTCCTGGGAGCGGCTCTGCAGACTGCCTGTGCACCTCTGTACCTATCAGCTGGGTTGGCTGCCCCCAAAAGCCAACTGTATTTGTTAACAAACCTCTTTATGCCAGCTCTACTTGTTATTGTAATTATATAATTATGTAACATAATTAATATTATGTAATTTAATTGTATAATTTAATATTATGTAAACCACAGAAAATTTGAGAGGAAAAGAAAAAGTGATTATATCTATGGAAACCAAGTTAGATGCTCTGGAAAGGTTTAGTAAAAGGCGGGTAACTAAAAATACTTCTGTCAAATTCAGAATGGCTAGAGGATTGGGAGAAATCTTAAAATTCTAGAAGAAATCTTATCTCAGATTGCTTCCCAAGAGCCTTTAAGTCCTTTTACTAATGATGAAAGCACGGAGGAAGGCTTATGGGTATGGCTTCTGCAAGAAAGCCCAGAGGAACTCAAATTAGCAGATGCAGACTCAAAGAGAAGACCTCAGTTTTATATCAAAAGATTGGTAAGTGTGCATAAGGAATAATTCAATCACCTTTCATGATTCTCTGCTTTAACTGGTTACATTTAAAGATCCCTATAAGAAAACATTTAAAGGTTTTTTTTTTTGTTGCTTTCATTCCAAAACTACAAGTCCCAGAAACCAGAAAGGACTCTATCTCTTAAAAACAAACTCCTTCCAACACCTGAAGATTTTTTCAGAAAAATGTTCAACATTTTCAATAGTATGCAAGAACTATCTAAAGGAATAATTGCAGAAAAAAAGAAATTTTACTTCTATATTTGGTAAATATATAAATAGCAGGACAAACAAAAGAAATGGAATGTAACATAGAAAAAGACAAAGGTGCCAGGCACGGTGGCTCATGCCTGTAATCCCAGCACTTTGGGAGGCTGAGGTGGGCGGATCACGAGGTCAGGAGTTCGAGACCAGTCTGGCCAACATGGTGAAACCCCTTCTCTACTAAAAAAATACAAAAATTAGTCAGACGTGGTGGCGCACACCTGTAGTCCCAGCTACTCAGGAGGCTGAGGCAGGAGAATTGCTTGAACCCGGGAAGCGAAGGTTGCAGTGAGCTGAGATCTGGCCACTGCAATCCAGCCTGGGCGACAGAGTGAGACTCTGTCTCAGAAAAAAAAAAAAAAAAAGACAAAGGCACAAGTTTTTAAAAAGTACGGTAAACAAGAGAGAAGAACAAAAGAACTAGAATTGAAACCACACTGGACATAGAGAAAGGCAAATCCAACACTGGAAAACCGAATGACATGAAAAATAAACATTAAGAAAAATAAGCAGTGGTTAAAACTCATGTTTTGAAAAAGTTCCTACTGACATGGGAAATTGCTCATAGCATAATTTTTAGATAGTTTATTCATATTTTTAGAAAAAGTAACATATGCACATGGTACAACATTCAAAGGCAATAAGATGGTAAATATTGAAAAGTCTCCCTTACACCCTTTTCTGTCAGCCACCCATTCCTCTCCCCAGAAGCAACTACTGTTAACAGACTCTTCTGTTTCCTTCTAGGGGCAGTCCATGTATACAAGCAGGTGGGTATGAAAATAATATAGGATACAAATGTATCCTATATAAATAATGTAGGATACAAAGATATATATGTGCATATATATATAAATATATCTAGATAGATACATGGATACACAGAGAAAGACATATCTATATATAATCTAATATCTAATATACATCTAATAAAATATAGGTATTACATATCTAATATATATCTATATATAGGTATATCTAATATATGTAATATAGATCTATAGATATAGATAGCTATATATTATATATTTATATATTAATGATATATAGGTATTATACATATCTAATATATATAAAATCAGGCCTCAAAATTCAGTTGTAATACACACACACACACAAAGGAAAAAAGGACAACAGTAAGTTTGTCAAATATTAGCAGTTGCTATCACTGGGAGGTAGCATTTCAGTGATTTTTATTTTTTCTTTATGCCTTTTCATATTTTCCAGATTCTATGTAGTAATCAAATATTGCTACAGTCAGAAAATATTTTAGACATCAGTGGTTCAGTAGTTCAGTTAAATACAAATCTACAAGTGAAGAGTGTCACATATTTAGATGCCTATAATTTCTCAGAATTAGATAT
Organism: Homo sapiens; assembly: GCF_000001405.40. Lineage (NCBI taxonomy): Eukaryota > Metazoa > Chordata > Mammalia > Primates > Hominidae > Homo > Homo sapiens. Next base: position 196,543,282 of record NC_000002.12, read on the forward strand.
ATATTTTTATATATATAAATTTGTTGTTTTTGGTAAAAAAAAAAAATGTTCTGTGTGTAGAACATTCAAGATACATTTTAAAGTCCTACCCAGAAAGACAAATCTGGAAATATTATAATGTATTTTTAATGTATTTGTAAATGTGCATATAATTATATAATCAATATAAAATGCCATACACAAATGTTAAATTATTGATCTTATTATAGATGTGCAGATGCGAGGTAATTACAAAAATTTAACTTTAATATTGCCATCCTTCTCAGTATGTAATCAGCCTTTGTGTGCTGCTGTTCATATTCTAAGGCATGGTTTAAAAACTTTTCTTTTTTTATTTTTTTTTTCTTTTGAGATGGAGTCTCGCTCTGTCGCCCACGCTGGAATGCAGTAGCGCAATCTTGGCTCACTGCAACTTCCGCCTGCTGGGTTCAAGCAATTCTCCTGCCTCAGCCTCCCGAGTAGCTGGCATTACAGGCACGTGCCACCACGCCCAGCTAATTTTTTGTATTTTTAGTAGAGACAGGATTTCACCATGCCAGGCAGGCTGGTCTCGAATTCCAGACCTCGTGATCTGCCCGCCTCGGCCTCCCAAACTGCTGGGATTACAGGCGTGAGCCATTGCACCCAGCCAGGAACTTTTCTTAGAAAGACAGGTAAATTGGTAATAAAACATCTAGAAAGCCTTAGGCAGCATTCTCAGGGCATTCAGTTCATCTACCCATCAGGCAGTCCCATGTTTCCACATTCCAGGACTCTGCTAGGTAAAGGGGATACAAAGATGAAGGAGGCAAAGTGACTACCTCAAGCAGCTCTCAAAGCAGGCACTATAAAAACTACTGCCAGCATTAAGGACAGTAACCAGTTTTCCTCAGAAGAACTGACACAACTCCACTCAGATCAAGACCGGAAGTATGGCCTTGCTCTTATCCAAAGGCCCCACACAGGCCTCTGTGGGATGGCAGGCCTCCAGCCCAGCCTCTAGCAGGACCAAGTGCCCAACTCAAGCTGGCTTCCCTCCCTCAGCCTCATGAGCCCCTGAAAGGCAGGCTAGAGTGGTTAATGAGGTCCCATTTGTCCTTGAGCTAAGAAACATGAGTCCCTCAGTGTGAAAGGGAAAGGAAGGGGAGAGACGGACAGTCAAGACCTGAACAGCCATCCCCTCCCCTTTCACAGCGTACACCTGTGACTCCCCAACTCCTGATTGCTGTAACCAATCCAGTTGGGGGGCACTGGAAGGTCTCAGCCCACTCTTCCAAAACTACCTCACAATTCCACAGGTACCACCATTTCTGAGAAATGAATTTCAACCTAAGTCATTTGCATAGCACGATGTAGGAATGGGATAAATAATGGTGCTACTTCGCAGACAGCAAGTCAAATCACAGGTCCCTGGAGAGTATTTCTATTAAACACAAAGCTGGCCAGATGACAGGTCCAATCAGTTGTGGCAATTCCATCTTCCTGTTGCCATGCCCTTTTTAAAAACTGGCATACCACACACACAATGTGGTAATCTGTGTGGGAATTCAACAGTAAAGAACAGGGGCTGGGGGAACAGGGAACAGCAAAGGAAAAAGGGCCCCGCAGGACCTCGAACCTCATACTTTGTTTTGCTCAAGTTCAGATTTTGCTTCTTAGCCAGGGAAGCTTAGAAACCCCATGAGTTGCCACATTCTGAGTAGACCCCTCTCAAGGGCAAGCTCACTTTAGTGAAACTCATAAGATCTACATGTGAGTGGGCGTGTGGATGTGTGTGTGTGTGATCACACATACCCAAACACAAAGAATGCTAATGTATTCATTGACAGGGAAAACTGCTTCCTGTAAGCTCATCATGTGGAAGTCAAATAATAGAGTGACAGAGGAAACCTGCAATGTCTGCCTATTCAAATCTACTCCCTCTTACGAAATCACAAAATTTTACCTCTGGGAACCATTCATCACCCATGATGAGAACTTATAATTTAGATGGTTGGGTGGGCACATGTCCCAGGACTGGCCAGTCTCAGGGCTGAAACTCCTCAGTAATTAGTCAGATTGCTAAAGGGTAAGGATATGAGCTGGAACACACTGAGGGCCATATCAAAGAGAGAGCATTGACTGAAAACAAAGCCCAACGGGAGAGCAGAAGGAAGAAATGGAGACAGCCACAGCCCAACAACATCACTATCTCTTGCAAACAAAAAGTCCTGATTAATAGATGAGAGTTTTGATAGGGAAAATGGAACTGGCTAAGGAGAGTTTGTAATATGATTTGAATATTTAATAAGCATTAGTTGAAAGCATTTACACAAGGGCACGCCAGGGATCATCCTTAGGCATCTTGCTCTGACACCTAACCAAGCACACCTGCCACTAACACAGTCTCTCTGAAACCATGCTCTTACATTCAATCCGTTCTGGCAGGACTGCAAGTCATTCTGTCTCTGCTCCATTATACAATAACTTTAAAAGTTAACTCTCAGAAAGCAATCACATTTCCCCTGTTCCCAAGTTCTTAAGAGGATGCATCACTTGGTCCCAAGTACTGAGAGTAATTGAAAACCACTTAATAGATTATAAAATTCTATGTTGCCCAAGAGAACTCAATTCCTCCAAATTAAATGCAATGAATTCATTCCAGTGAATTCTGGCATCAAAAAATCACTTACAGTAGCAAAATGACACACTGAATAGTTTCCAAGTATATATCTTTGACTATATCTTTGATGACATTTTCAATTATGGAGAACACATCACTCATACTTTAATAAAGGTGAGTTCTTTAAACCCACATTATTTCGAACACAAGGAGTTGTTTATGCTCACCACGATAAGAAATTCAGAGGACAAAAGTGCATGTTTGCAAATTTATCTCCTATTACAGCTACCTTTTATGCAAATGAAGGTTTCTTCCTTATAGGCACAAATCCTGTCTGTGGTTAGATTCTTTGAGGACCTCCCCTTAGTGCCACTTCCCAGCTTCTTGTCTTAATTAACCCAAGCCACAAAGAGAAGCAAGTAGTTCTCTCCCCAAACCTTTGTCATCACTTGTTTACACGTCTCCCCTACTAGACTTCAGATGATTTCATGACTAGTCTAGCACAGTGTCTAGCAGATGCTCTGTAAACATTAGTCGAATGGATTTAATTAACTAAACTTGTCAGAATTTTACCAGAATATCTGGCTTGTGGCTTTTATGTCATTGTTTGGTTTCAAGCATCAAGGAAGGTATTGGAGAGAAGTCTTAGAAATCTGGTGTGTGACTTCCCTTTAAGAAACAGTTTATGGTGCACAAGTTTTTAACCTTTGCAAAATGTATCCTGCAACCCTGGCTACAACTATCTGGATCAGGGGTTGGTGCTTGACCTACCTAAAGGTTTCAGCTCTGGACTGGGTATGAGAAAGACCATTGGCTTTCAAGGTGGTCAGGCATGACAGCTCAACCGCATAGGTGATAAACTGTACTGAACAGTGATTAGGCAACACAACAAGATTCTTCTGCAGTGCATTTGAATGCAACTCGTACAGAGAGACCTGTCATATAGGAGAAGGACAGCAAAAAAAAAAAAAAAGAGAGAAAGTAAAAACTGAAATTCTAAAGCAGGAGAGGCCAAGAATAAGCAAAAGCTATGAGGACACTAGGGAGAAAGGAGCATATACAACTGCAGAGAAAGAGGAGAAGGAAAAGACACAGAAAGAAGCTGAAGTAAGCATCGGGAAAGTATGACAGCCACTGTTATGTGACCTGAAACTTCCTCTACAATACAGTATGAAGACTCAGTTAATAAAAGGGCCACATTAAGAGATGGCTACTGTCTCTTAAAGTTTTCAGCTATCTTTACCTCTAGTAAAGAGCTGAGGTTCTCAGTTATCAAAATGGATATCAGAAATGTAGAAATGGGTTTTTACTGTTAAAATCTAAGATGTTCAAGACTTGTGAATTGACTAGAAATACTTCAGGGGCACCCCAGCATTCCATGATGGGCTATAACCTAGCATGTTCAGAAGGCTGGACTCAAGAACAGGACCCTAGGAGGGATACTGCACTCAGGCACAATTCAGATGGAAGATTCTGGCTGTCCAAGGCCAACTGTAAGTTTAACTGAATCCTGCCTTTATAATATAAAAACTTTATATTTGCCCCAAGTGAACCTCTTAAACAATGCAAGGAACACCTAAAAGGGCAAAGTCATAGACTCTATCAAACTTACAAAATAGGTTGTAGGTGTACTTTTGTGTCCTCTTACAAATAAAGATTTGCTTTCATGTCTGAGGGTGGGGGCATTGATAGGAGACTACAGTTTTCACCTACCTCTAACTAGTGGTGTGTATTAGTTGTGGATATAGATTCAGGTGCCACCACACAGAAACCAAGAAGTAAGGTGGCCTGAACAGGAGCAATATTTATGTTTCACATTTAACAGTCAAGAGATAAGCAATACACAGGAAGGGCTTCCACTTCTACTTCCAGGTGGCTGTTTGAAGTCTCACCATCTCCCAGTCAGCAGGAAGGAAGAAAGAGAAATGGCTAGATTTTCCCCCATTGGCTAGATTTCGTCACATGATCATATCCAGCTTCACAGTCAGTGAGGAAACTCATCTCTATACCAGCAACTGAGGGGCAACTGAGTGGAATCATATTGTAAGACATCACTTGGGGGACCTCTTCTCTGGGCAACTCTCATCACCTGAGGGAATTCGAGTGAGGTCTTCTTCATAGCCTGGATGATTTTAATCCAAATGCAACTCATTGCTTAAGTAACACCAGTAAGAAATCCACTATGGGCCAGGCGCAGTGGCTCACACCTGTAATCTCAGCACTTTGGGAGGCTAAGATGGGTGGATCACTTGAGGTCAGGAGTTCAGGACCAGCCTGGCCAATATAGAAACCCTATCTCTACCAAAAATACAAAAATAAGCCAGGCTGTGGTGGTTGCCTGCCTGTAATCCCAGCTACTCAGGAGGCTGAGGCAGGAGAATTGCTTGAATCGGGGAGGTGGAGGTTGCAGTGGGCTGAGATCTCGCCAGTGCACTCCAGCCTGGATGACAGAGCAAGACTCCATCTCAAAAAAAAAAAAAAGAAAAGAAGAAAAAGAAAAAAGAAATCCACTGATCTTACATAATACAGATGCTTACAAAAAGAAAAAAAAACACCAAAAAAATAGTCAAGGCTCTGAAAGATAGATAACTATTATATTAAACAAAAGCTGGATGACTTGAGGATAAACTACATCCTTGCTCCCAGCCTTCAGTCACTTTAATTAGAAATTCCTGAGTCACATGGGAAAGGTAGCTGCCCCATTCTACTTTGAAAAACCCCAAAACAGGTCATTGTAATAAGTAAAGCCACTGATTAAAAGCTAAAATGTTTGTCAGTCTTCTGAACTGTTACTTTACTGGGACTGCCATAAGAAATACCACAGCCTGGGTGGCTTAAACAACAGAAACGTATTTTCCCACAGTTCTGGAGGCTGGAAGCCCACAGTCAAGGTGTTGGCAGGGTTGGTTCCTTCTTGGGGCTGTGAGGGAAGAATCTGTTCTACCCTCACCTTGGCTTATAGGTGGCGGTCTTTCTCCTATGCCTCCTCACATAGTCTTCCCTCTGTGCGTGTCTTTCTGCCCATATTTCCCCTTTTTATAAGGACACCAGTTATACTGGATTAGGGCCCACCCTAATGACCTCCTTTTAGCTTAATTACCTCTTTAACGAACCTATCTCCAGTTAAGGTCACATTCCAAGGTACAAGGGGTTGGCACTTCAACACATGAACTTTGCGGGGGACACAATCCAACCCCACAAACTTAGAAACCCTTTACATCTCAGACCAAATAGTAGGTACTCACTATGATAGTCATTTTATCCTCTTAAAAGCCTTTTTATTGGAAAATATAACAGATTTGGAAAATGCTAAGACATCAATCTACAGCATAACAAATAATTATAAAGGAAACACATGCATAACTGCAATCCAGGTCAAAAAATAGAGCACAGTCAGCAGTCTGGGACCCCTGTATGCGCTTTCCTGGTCACACTCCCCTCCCTCCTCCAGGAGGTCTCACTATCGTTACTTTAAGGAAAATGACTTCTTTTCTTTCCTTCATGGTTTTACCACTTTTAAATGTATCCCAAACATAATACAGTTTGGTTTTTGAACTGCATGTGAGTGAAACGATATTGTAATACATTATTTAGAGTCTTTTTTTTACTCAAGATATTTGTAAGATTCATCCATGTAATTACATTTTTAAATGGTTTCAAAGAATATTCCATTAACCTAAATCCAACTTAGCTGGTCAACACTACATTTTCTGATATTTGCCAGTCTTGCTCTTTTTTTTTTTTTTAACATCCCCACATCCTTCAATGTCTACATCAAAGTTATATCTACACATTGAAACTACTATGACTACAACTGACTTTATAGTTTTTATCTTACAAAATCACTTTTTGTTTAAAGCTCCTACATAGACAGATTATAATACAAGCAATTTTCTTCAGCAATGCCTCCACAGATATTTTCCTAGAAAAACTGAAAAAGAAATGATACTCATAGCAAAGTATATTTACCAATCGACCTGATATGTTTCAGGCAATGCTATAATATTCTAAACTGAACTGGCCCATAGACCCTTTCTCCCAAAGTGTGTAAATGGCAAGGTAAAGGTGAAAGAGGGCATGATTCAGTGGTTGAAGGAGACAGGCATTTGCAGGGTCTGGCTGACAAGCTTCACTGATAAACACAGAATCTTCAATGTAACCTGCCAGACTGTGCTGACTTTAGAGGCTTGACCAATTCTTGTTGGAGTTTCAACAGAGAATATTTGCTTCTTGATCGATTCAACTTGAAGTTTCCTCAGTGCTCTGACCTTGCCTACACAGGCTGGAATTGGACACTAGTTTGGTTAACTTATCTACCATCCATATAAAGGTAGACTGACTGACTCTCTTTCACTTCATATTCTAAGCTTGGACTCTAATTCCTGCTTAGAAGTCTCCATCCAGACTTCATTTCCTAGTCCTGATGATCAGCTGTATTTTCTGATTGTAATTTAAATACAAGTTCGAACAGTGATGTGACTCCTCTACGAAATGAATCACAGTTGGGAAGTTGTTTTCCCTGTCATTCCAGATATATCTCTATGAAGTAGAAATGAGCTAAGTAAAAAAAAAAAATTAAGAAACATGAAATTTTCATTGAAAATTCTTTAAGAAAATAGCTTTTCCTTTTAAAATTACTATTGCTTTTTAGTCTCTATAAATGTTATTAGGAATAAAGTGAAAGCCACCCTTATTTCTAATACTCAGAGACATTTTACCACATATCCTTCCAGACTTTCTTTTCCATTCATAAATACACAGGTAAAGGGATAACAAAAATGAGAACATGTTATAAATGCTATTTTGTGACTATCTTTATTGCCTTAAAAATATATTGCAGAGACCACCTTGTGGCAATAAATTTTTCCTTACAGTGTCATTTTAAATGGCAAAATGGAATTCTATTGTAAGAATGTACTATAATTTATTAGGCATCTATTTAAATAATCTCTTTCAGGAAGATGTATACATGATCAGTGAGAACATCCAATTCTTATCTTCTGCCTAAGCAGTTTGTTATAGCTTAAGACCAAATACAGTCAACTGGAAGAACTTTAGTTACAACCAAGAAAATTAATATAAAAAAGAATTTCTAATAAGATCAATAAAGATTTTAAACCTTTCATGCCTTATTGCTAGCATGTACACAAGACAGTGCCAAACATTCAAACTTCCAATTAGGATGAAATCTAAGTGTTTGTCTTTTTATCCAGTAAAAATTCCATTGCCTCCAAAGGCAACTAAGAAGTTAAATGAAATCCAAATGTTCCTCTCATCTCCATCACAACAGACCAGATAAATAGCTCCATAGGCTACATAAGTTTAGAAGAAGCCAAAGAAATGCAATACTTCAGGGACCAAAAGAATAAAAGTTTCACAATGAAAACAGCTAAGAGACACACCCACTTCATTTTATTAGGAAGAAACACAAACACACTTACAGCCAAGGACAGGGGCAGGAGAAAGTTAAGTGAAAAGAAATAGTAAGTAAATACTCTTTTTTGCAAACATTTGTATGAGACCTTAAAAGACCAAAAAAAGTCAAGCTATTGTTAAAAAGTGACAGTCTGTAGATAACACAACTATTTTGAATCACTCTACTCTAGAAAATGGAAAGACTGATATTCATAGACATAACCTAGCAGAACTTGGCTTCTGTTTACTCTAAAACTATTCCAGATGATAATTCAAAATATACAAATGTCTGGATTTAACATGCTTCTTTATACTGGTATAATATAATTTTTCCCTGCGCATACTATATAAAGAAAGATTTAACATCTCTGCAGTTTCAGGTCATCTAAATACAGTATCTGATAACTTTGTTTAAATGGTAAACATGACTATTAATTTCTTTTAAGCTTAGATGTACAATAATTATTCCCTGATTTGAAAGAGAATCAATATGAATTGAAAATTACACTAAATTCTGAGGAAACAATAATATTCAGTCATGCATTCTTTTCATAGGCCTCTGCAATCTGTCTTCAGGATCCAAATTTGCCTGGAGCTCTCCTCTCCAAGGTCATCAGCTGACCTTCTTCATATGCAATACTTCTTCATTTTATTTTCCTAGCATTTCTTACTGTCAACTATCACTTCCTCAGCCTTCATGACAACATACCATCCTGAATCACTTCTCACCCTTCTCTACTTATCTGGGTTAATTCAAACATTACCCAGAGCCTATTAAGACAGCGCCACAGGACTAGGTCCTACAGGTAAAGAGGAAACAAGGTATGACCTGTCTTTGAAAAGAGAGATGCAGGGAACTAATATTTCAACCCAAAATGATAAGAATTATAATGCATGGCCAAGTTGACATGAGAGTACCAGGGAGAGATATTTAAGTTGTAAATCAAACTTAAAGCTTTATGGTTAAAGAAAGCTTCTTAAAGGCTGTGCAGCTGACCAATCAGGTTTGTGTGAGAAAACGTTTATATTCTCCCAACAAAGTGACCCTTAGGCCCTTGGCTGCCTGGAAATCCTTCTAAGTTTTCTCCTGGAAGCTTTCTGGTCCACTTTCATGACAACTATTTCTTACTTTCCCCATTCTCCTCAAAATTTCCACACAGCCTTTATCTGTCTCACTCACAGAAGATGACCTAGCCTCCATCTTCAGAGAAAACAGAGATATATTCATAGTCCATTAGCAAAGAAGCCTTACTATTAAAAGATAAAGTGCAGAGTCAGGAGCATGGTACAAAACAGTTCTTTTATTGTTCCCTAAATCACCAGCTCAACTCTTCACATAATCACCTTGAGAGGCCAAAGGAAGTCCTTCCTCTCTCCCGCTCCCTATGGTTCCTTAAGTGTCTTACCTCCTCTTCCTGAGCCTGAGGCTTCCTCTCATTCTTTCTCTGTGGCTGGCCAAGCATCTCCACCATTTGGTTCCATTAGATTTTACTTCCATGGAAAGGGTAGAGGCCAGAATGGCAGTGAGAGGGTGAATCTTTCCTCTTCAGTGAATCAGGGAAAGGAACTTCCAGATCTGGCCTCAAAATGTCTCCGGCATTAAGGAAGTCTCTAGCAAAATAAAGTCCCTCTCAGTATAACCCTAGAACCCAGAAAGTCTCCAAATCTCCATCCCACCCGAGGAAAAATGTTTCCATTACCTAATCTGGATAAGGCCCCAGGGGGAGATGACTGTGCCCCAAGCCCCAGAAGGGGTGGGCGAGTAGGGCCAAAGGGGAAAATATCGCATCTTTTCTCACAGGCTTTTGTGTTTTACTATAACTGCTTTCTAGGAATCAAATTTAAATGAGCTAGAGGCTAATAAATTATTTTTGCTAGTCACAAGAAAATGTATTTCACATGCAATTGCTCTTCTTCAGAAACACCATTTTGTTTGAATTCCACCCAACAGTATGCACTACATGTAGTAATTCTACTACATCTGAAGAGGTTTTGGAACCAAGTTAATTGAAGTTGCAGGTTAACAAATAAAGGCAAAAACTTGTCTATAACTTCCCTGTAACCTGTGGGTACTTGGCACTGAGACTCTTTCAAGTTCATTCATTCATTCATCAAATATACATGGAGCACCAGATACTGTGCTAGACCCTGGGCACACAGTAGAGAATAAAACAGATATGCATGCCACTGCTTAGAGACTACTGAGGAGACAGATAATAAGCAAGTAAGCAGAGCATTACAAATGGTAATAAGTGTTTGCCTTACACCCTTCAACAAAATTATACTTCCAGGCACTACCCCACTGCCATCAGGCTCCTCAGCAGGATGAAGCAGTGACCAAGAAAACATGGTAGAAAATTGCAGCAATTTGTTGGTCTAGGAGACATCTGCATTTAAACTCTGATTTGCGGAACAACAGTCTGTAGAAGTCTTCAGGCCAGTGGCTCACTAGACCAAAGAAAGCTTCTTATAGAATTGTATACTGAACAAACTGATGCTCCACATACTAGGTAAGTTTTTAACCTAAAACACCATTAACTTGAGCCTCAGTAATATCCAATCAGTAATATCCAATCCACACAAGCCTCAAAATATATTTATGTGCTAGTGTCACTTCCACCTAACCAATAAAAAACTCTTCAGTCAGTAAACTTGACATCTCACTCAAACAAAATAATACAGCCCCAAATGGCACAAAAGCCAAGAGGTTGTTTGCCAGGGAGGGTAGCTCCCTGATATCTAGGATAGGGCTGGAGGGCTTCTCTTAAAAAGATTTTTGGGCCGGGCGCGGTGGCTCACGCCTGTAATCCCAGCACTTTGGGAGGCCGAGGCGGGCGGATCACGAGGTCAGGAGATCGAGACCACGGTGAAACCCCGTCTCTACTAAAAATACAAAAAATTAGCCGGGCGCAGTGGCGGGCGCCTGTAGTCCCAGCTACTCGGGAGGCTGAGGCAGGAGAATGGCGTGAACCCGGAAGGCGGAGCTTGCAGTGAGCGGAGATCGCGCCACAGCACTCCCGCCTGGGCGACAGAATGAGACTCCGTCTCAAAAAAAAAAAAAGATTTTTGAATTATGATGGCAAAAAACAACTTGTGACTTAGGCTCACTGGCTCATCATCGTATTGATGTTTTCACAGTCCTGGAATCTTGACAAATGGCTCAATGACCTATGAAAAAACTGAAGAAACATCTACTAACTAAATGTTAGTAAAACTAAAACTCAGTTGAAGCCCTGAGACCTTAATCAAAGAATGAGGAGGATGGTCAAACAGCAGAATTTCCTTCACCTAGCCAAAATATGTGCCCCACCTCCCAGAAACTGGGCTTTGGACACAAAGGGGAGCAAACTACACCCTTAACCTGCTTTCTAAAATCACTGAGAACTGTCCCTTTCTCTCAGTAAGTCTTTTCTTATTCCAATTCCACTTTAATTTCCACCAGCTTCATCTTCCAGCATGCAATGGGTCTGGGGCTTTGATCCATAAGTCAATCATCGGAGAAGTTTAGCCTAGAAGAACGAAGAGCAGTAGGCTCTGCAGTGTGCAAAATTGTTGGCTTGCAAAATACTTATGTTTTCACATCATTACAGAATCAATTCCCGCCCTCATAAAAAGACCTGAACAAGAGACCAAAAAATCCCTGCACGGGACAACAGATCCACAGCCAAAAAGGCCAAGATAAAACACAGTTGGGTCCAGACTGTGCACAACACTCTGCCCTCTACTTTAAAAGGCCAAAGGGGGATTGTCAAACCTTCAAGGTCGCCCAAAATACAGACACTGAGAATAAGGATAAATATGGCCTAAAATAGGAATGAACAGATTCCACTGAAGTAAGACTAAATAAGGAAGAAAAAACAAGCAATTTTTTTTCTGTTTGGACTGCTATAACAAATACCATAAACTGGGTAGATTATTAGCAACAGAAATGTATTTATCATCATTATGGAGGCGGGGAGGTGCAAGATCAAGTCCAAGATCAAGCAGGCAGATTTGGTGTCTGGTGAGGGCTCCTTTCTGATTCAGAGCTCCTTCTTGCTGGGTCCTTATGTGGTGGAAGGGACAAGGCAGCTGCATGGGGCCTGTTTTGTAAGGGTGCGAATCCTTTTCATGAGGGCTCCATTGTCATGACCTAATCACCTGCCAAAGGCCACCTCCTAATACCATCACATTGCAGGTTAGATTTCAACATACGAATTGGTGGTGTGGGGACACAAACACTCAGATCATAGCACATAGGTCCTATCAAAACATCTTGCTGCATAAAAGACACAAGTGATATATAAAATTTTACTTTATGATAAGAGTACACTTCAGAAAAATGGGAAAAGAAAAAATTATTCAGCTAAAGGTACAGTGACTTTAACTGCTTAGAAAAAAAATTTGTAGGCCCCATAAAAACAAACTCCAAAAGAATTAAAGAGTTAAGTATTTTTTAAAAAGAAAAGACAGCATCATATCACCTACTCTGAGCATCCTCCTTAAATGGCATTAGTGGTTTTCCATTGCTCTTACAACAAAGTATCAAAATCCTTAACAAGACTTACAAGTCCCCACAAGGTCTAGCTTCAAAACTCCTTTCCAGCCATTTCTTGACATAATCCTGCTTTATCTTTCTTGATCTCTGTGCTTCAGCCACAGTGGCATCTGCCAGGCCTGAAATGCCTTCCTCCACCACGTCCTTATGTGATTCAACTACAATCTTCCATCAAGGCCACTTCCACTGGAAATCCCTCCCAGACCTCCCCAAGCAGGTCAGTTAACCTCAGTAGACATTTTTATTTTACTATTTACCTCTCCTTCATAATACTTAGCACAGTTTTAATTTTATTTGTGCAAATTTAAGAGAAATTAAGGCCTATTTTCTTCTTCTTGCAGCTTCACTGAGGTATAATTGACAAATGAAAATTCTGTATATTTAAAGAGTACATGATGTTTTGATATATGTATGCATTATGAAATGATTACCAAAATCAAGCCAATTAACATGTCCATCACCTCACATAATTACCTTGATTTTGTGGCGAGAATATGTAAGATCTATTCTCGTAGCAAATTTCAAGTATACAATATATTATTATTCACTATAGTCATCATGCTGTACAGTAAGTCTCCAGAATGTATTCATCTTATAACTAGAAGTGTGTACCCTTTGACCAATATCTCCCATTTTCTCCCGTTCCCGACCCTTCTACTCTCTGTTTCTATGAGTTGACTTTCTTTAGCTTCCATTTATAAGTGAGATTATGCAGTATTTATCTTTCTGTGCCTGGCATATTTCACTTAGCATCATGTCCTTATTAAGGTCAATTTCCTACCAGACTGAAGCTCCAAATGTGTAAGGTATATTACTTTTTGCCTGGCAATTGTCTTAGCCCTGCCATATAAGAGACATTCAATGAACATCTGTGGGATTAAAGTACGTGGATGAAGAAATGAACTAAAACATAGACGATGGTGTAATCTTGGAGTGGAGATAGATATCCCAAGCATAACACAGAGGCAGAAACAAAGAAGAAAAAGAAACTGTTACATCTGACTACCAAAAACTAAAAATCTCTATCAAAAATATTGTGAACAAACTTAAAAGGCAAATTGAAAACTATGGAAAAATACTTGCAGTATTCCTGATTAAGAGTTGATAGCCTTAAAAATTAGAGATTTCTATAAATAACTAACTCCCACAAAATGTTCAAAGGACACAGATAAGCAAACTCATATAGAATAATAGAGTTTCTGAACATAAAAAGTTCAATACTAGTAGAAAATATTTAAGTTTTACATAAAAATGGTATTTTTTAACCCATTAAATTGAGACTTTTTAAAAATTATGTCTGGCAGGGTGCAGTGACTCATGTCTGTAATCCCAGCACTTTGGGAGCCCGAGGTGGGCGGATCACCTGAGGTCAGGAGTTCGAGACCAGCCTGACCAACATGGTGAAACCCCATCTCTACTAAACATACAAAATTAGCAGGGCGTGGTGGCACATTCCTGTAATCCCAGCTACTTGGGAGGTTGAGGCAGGAGAATTGCTTGAACCTGGGGGGCGGAGGCTGCAGTGAGCCAAGATTGCACCATTGCACTCCAGCCTGGGCAACAAGAGCAAAACTCCACCTCAAAAAAAAAAAAAAGTATCATGTCCCAGTGTCAGAAGGAGTAAGCACCAAATTTCATATATTCCAAGTATGAGTATAAATTTGTAGAACTTCCCTGAAAGACAGTTTTGCAATGTGCACAAAAGTGTATACAGCTTTTAATCCAGTAATTCCTCTTCCAACTCAGCCCAAGGGGAAAAAAAAATTCACTGGAGAGCTCCTAATAACTAATGAAAGACTGAAAACACAAATATCTAACAATAGAGGAAACAAGTTTTAGGGCATAAGTAAAATAAAATGACATTAAAATCATGTGATAATATTTCATGGGAAAATACTGCTAATATAATGAGTGAAAAATGCAAGTTTAAAACTACTACAATTTTGATTTGCTTATGTAAAATATATGCATGTAGGGAAACAGAAGGCTGGGAAGATGTACTAAAATGTCAGTATCTGTTATTAGAGCATTTATGTGATTTTTTTTCTTTGTTTTATTTTACATTTTCTACAATGAAAATTTCTGTTTTGTAAGCAGAGAGAAACCAATAGCAAAAAATTAATAATACTTAACACGATTATAAAATATGTTTATGGCATGCCAAGCACCATATACTAAACACTTCACATATATTATTAATACTTTATTTATTCTGTAAGGTAGATACTAATCCTATGGAATAGGTACCATTATAATCCCCATTTAAAAGATGAATCAATGTAATTTAGTCAAAACAAAAAATATTCTTCATCCAGTAGTTTTCTTAAATCTGATTAAAGTTATTTTTCTAACATTTTCTAAACAGCAACCACTTAAAAGTTAAAAAATAACCAAGGCACTACTTCAATACCTAAAATCAGAGCTTTCAAACTCAGATGGGCTATGGGTTCAGATTCAGAGATAGAGAGAGAAAAGTAATGGAAGAAGTCTACAGTCAAATATTCACAGGTAGAACACTAATAAGTTAGGATTTTGTGCCACACCTCCTGGTTTCCTGATATAAGCAGAGTTGTGAATTTGGAGAGCTTTACATCAAACTCTACACCCTTTATAATTATAAAGAAAAATGTCCTTTCCAGGATACTATATGAGCATGAGCATACTTTTTGAAACAAAATGTTGCATTTCATAGCCTTCTTCATAGAAAACAACACCAGGTACTGCAACCATTTGAACGTGATTAATTCACCAAAGCTCTTTTTACCACTTGCTATTGTTTTAAGCACGTAGTCCCTTTTCCTTGATTCTAGCTGACATGTTGGCGTATCCCTTGTGTAAAATGGAATATTCTCAGCTTTCTGGACATGTAATCCCTGCTGGCTCTGATCCAGCTGATGAATCTGCCAGGTTGACAGCATTGTGCCTTTGAAGGCCTGTGTCTGCCACAGCAGCAATAACAGAAGATGATGCTTACCTGGCAAAGAATCACTTGAAAATACATTTGATGGGCAAAACTATCAGAAGCTACTTAAATCCTTACTTAGTTTAGCTGGGGCAGGCATTTAAAAAAACCTGTATGGAATTGTTTAATATACCAAATGGATTAGTAATGTGAACTTACCATTCAATGGGCACCTACTCTATGCCAGGCACTATATTAGGCTCTTAATACATCATCTCATTAGAGTCTCACAACAACCCAGGGAGATAGAAATTAACCCTATTTTTACAATTATGGAACTCAAAAATCAGAGACTAAATAACTGCTACTAGGTTGCAGAACTAATAAGCAGGAGAGCTGGGATTCAAACCACATCTACCTAATTAGAAACACAATGTTCTTTTCACTACACCATACTGATGCCCTCTGCCAGCTCACAACACCCACAGTTCCCATTAGACCCTCCCACCTGAGTGAGCCAGTAAGATGCACCTGCAATCTGACATTGGCTTAAAGTATTTTCTTCAACAGCACATACACCAGCCCATCAGAGTCCTACCTGACATGTCCACCCTTCAGAAACACGTGGGGATGTCTCAGCTAAAGGGAGGAGGTTCAATTCCTTCATCACCCCCAATATAAGTAAGACATCTAAGAAAGCTAGGAAACCCTGATATATATCAAGCTGCCATCAACATTATTGAAGCTAACGTTGGGCTAATGTGAGACAGCAACATCTGGAGTCCAGTTGATTACTGCTCATAGGGTTATGCGACAAGCCTGCAGTGTCATGGAACAGACGAGGCTCTACTGTGCTTAAGGAGCTCTAACAAAGTTAGGATGCAAACAACAGAGGCATGGCCCCAGCTAAAGCCTTTTTTCTTGGAGTTTTCTCTTCATGCTGAATTATAACTTCGACAATTTAGCCACCTTTAGAAAGAATACAGAAAGCAGAAAAAGGGGGAAAGGTTTTGAGCACTCTGGCTTATGGCTAGTAAAATGACTACAAAAATCATTTTTTGAAAATAATAGTCATTGTATTTGCATACATCTTAAATCTCACAAGGTACAGTGTGGGAAGGTCAATATTAAACAATTGTATTGAGCCAACAATGTACAATAAATATCTGAATTCCTTTCACTCTAAAAGGATTTTCCTAATTATGCTATTTAGTATCTGCAGGTACTTCACAAGATGAGTCTTTATCTCTCTACCAGTTCACTTGCAGAGAGGGACGGTCCCATGAAAATGATTTCCAGAGCTTCTCAAACCTAATTTGTATATGAATCACCTGGAGATGGTGTCAAAATGCAGATTTTGATTCAACAGGGCTGGATTAGGGCCTGAGAGTCTGTATTTCTATGAAGCACCCTGATGATGTTGCTGCTGCAGGGACCACCCTTTAACAGCAAAGGTCTCACTCTTGTTGCCCAGGTTGGAGTGCAATGGCGCGATCTCGGCTCACTGCAACCTCCACCTCCCAGGTTCAAGTGATTCTCCTGCCTCAGCCTCCCAAGTAGCTGGGATTACAGGTACCCATCACCATGCCCAGCTAATTTTTGTATTTTTAGTAGAGACGGGGTTTCACCATGTTAGCCAGGCTGGTCTCAAACTCCTGACCTCAGGTGATCTGCCCACCTCGGGCCTCCCAAAGTGCTGGGATTACGGGCCTGAGCCACTGTGCCCAGCCTTAACCACTGTTTCTTATCTGAGATCTTCATATGCCCGCACTCCCTGTCCCTGTCCCAGGGAACTGAGCTTTAAAAAAAATCTTAATTGCATGTTCATTTTTTTGGATAATCTAAAAGATATATATTTTACCAGTTCAGTGACTTCTCATTTACAGAAATAATTGATACAATGTGTCCAGAAAATCAGTTTCTCAAGTCAGCTTTTCTCAAAGTGGACTCTGCAGACATTTCCTTGGTAGATCCACACAAATAATTTTCCCACAAAAAAGTCCATACTGTTGCGGGAAGTCAGGGACCGCGAACGGAGAGACTTGCTGAAGCCGTGACAGAAGAACATAAATTGTGAAGATTTCATGGACATTTATCACTTCCCCAATCAATACTCTTATAATTTCCTATGCTTGTCTTTACTTTAATCTCTTAATCCTGTCATCTTCGTAAGCTGAGGATGTATGTCGCCTCAGGACCCTGTGATGATTGCATTAACTGCCCAAATTGTTTGTAAAGCATGTGTGTTTGAACAATATGAAACCTGGGCACCTTGAAAAAAGAATAGGATAACAGCGATGTTCAGGGAACAAGGGAGATAACCATTAGGTCTGACTGCCTGGGAGCCAGGCAGGACAGAGCCACATTTCTCTTATTACCAAAAACGGGTAAGAGAAATATCGCTGAATTCTTTCCCCAGTAAGGAATATTAATAATTAACAGCCTTGGGAAAAGAATGCATTCCCAGAGGAGGCCTCTAAAATGGCCACTCTGGGGGTGTCTGCCTTATGCAGCTGCAGATAAGGGATAAAACACGCCCTGGCCTCCTGCAGTGCCGCCAGGCTTGCTAGGATTAGGAAATTCCAGCCTGGCAAATTCTAGTCAGATGTGCTCTCTGCTCTTGAACCCTGTTAAGATGTTTATCAATGACAATGCGTGCACAGTGGGACATGGAACTTCATTAGTAATTCTAGTTTTGCCCTGACCTTGTGATCCCGCCCTGACCTTCTGCCTTGTGATCTTTTGTTGCCCTTGAAGCATGTGATCTTTGTGACCCACACCCTATTCGTACACTCCCTCCTCTTTGAAAATTGCTAATAAAAACTTGCTGTTTTTTACGGCTCAGGAGGCATCATGGAACCTGCTGACATGTGATGTCTCCCCCGGCCACCTAGCTTTAAAATTTTTCTCTTTTGTACTCTTTCCCTTTATTTCTCAGACCGGCCGGCACTTAGGGAAAATAGAAAAGAACCTATGTTGAAATATCAGGGGCTGGTTCCCCTAATACATACAATGACTTCTTAGTTAGAGATTTGCCTTACCCAGCAGCACAGGCAACATCCAGCTACAGGGAAAGAACTGATGTCTTGGGATGGGCAAAGATTAGGAGGAAAGGTAGATTCTGAGACTCACAGAGCCTGATGTCCTACCCTGCACACCTCTAAAATAGTTTACCAAATAAGTGGTCTGTGAGAACTTAGAGGCAATGAAAAGAGGCAATCAGTAGAAAACAGCAGGGTTTCACTAAGAATAAGTTATGCCAAACACGTTATTTCCTTTTGACATGGTTAGGAGAATGGTGGGTATGACAACGCTTTAGACAGCATATTTAGATGTCGGCATGGTATGAAGTCTCTTAAAACACTCTTGTAGCCAAGAATAGAGACATGCAGCCTAAATAATGATACGCTGAATAGATTTGCAGGTGGTTAAGCAGAATATCCAAAGACAATGAATTGGTGGAATAAATGTCAGTCTAGTAAAAGACTCCTTCATAGTTCCTTCCCTTTCCCAGCTTTAAACCCTCCCACCCTCCAACCAAGTTAGAAACAATAGCACAAGTGATACATACTAAATTTCTTACATGTACTTTAAATGTATAAAGAAGTAAAACCACTTATACCAGAATTTTACAAAGGAGGAATTCAGTATACTTTACAGCACATTCTTTTGACAATATTTAAAATTTAATGATATTCTCCCTGTATGAGTTATTTATTTAAACTGTTTTCAATGGCATTTTCAGTAGCTAAAGCTGAAAGAGGGCTTGGAAATATAAAAGACAGGTAAAGTGGATACAGAGAAGCAATTTAGATATTGTCCAATTAAAATGTGGGAAAGATAATGGAAAATGAGCACAAGTAAACCCCAGCCTTATCACTGCATTTCCAAAATATACAAGAAGCAGGAGGGACAGAGCAGAAATACATGTAAGGCGGGCTGTCCCAAAGTATTTCTCCATCTTAGGCATCCATTCACAGAGGTTCCCAGGAGGCAGCACTCAGAATTTTTTATTCGAATCACAAATCAGAAAAGTACCAGCTTTGGCCAGGGTTGGTGGCTCACATCTGTAATCCCAGCACTTTGGTAGGCTGAGGCAGAAGGATCACTTGAGCCCAGGAGTTCAAGACTAGCCTCAGCAATATAGCAAGACCCTGTCTCTACAAAAAATTAAAAAATTAGCCAGGTGTGGTGAGGCACACCTGTAGTCCCAGCTGCTTGGAGGCCAAGGTGGAAGGATAGCTTGAGCCTGGGAGGTTGAGGCTGCAGTGAGCCATGAACGCACAATGTACTCCAGCCTGGGAGAGACCCTGTCTCAAAAATTAGAGAAAAGTACTAGCTTTGAGAAACACACCAGAAACCAGCCTCTTGATATGCTTATAATCTTCAATAATTAAGAGGTATACACTTATTTCAGTTATCACTGAAACTATAAGAAGAACTTTCCATCAAACAATTGATGATAGAAGAAAATTAGTTTGTGTAAAATGTCTAAACCACTTTTACTGTTTTATTATAAAATAAATGTTATAACGTTATCTTAGTCACGTAAAAAATATTCATTCCTGGCTGGGCACGGTGGCTCACGCTTGTAATCCCAGCACTTTGGGAGGCCGAGGCAGGTGGATCACTTGAGGTCAGGAGTTTGAGACCAGCCTGGCCAAAATGGCAAAACCCCGCCTCTACTAAAAATTGAAAAATTAGCCAGATGTGGTGGCGGACACCTGTAATCCCAGTTACCCAGGAGGCTGAGGCAGGAGAATCGCTTGAACCCAGGAGGCGGAGGTTGTAGTGAGCCGAGATCACACCACCACTGCACTCAAACTTGGGTGACAGAGTGAGACTCTATCTCAAAAAACAAAAACAAACAAACAAAATTCATTCCTGAATGCAAGAAAGTGCTCAAAGACTACAGGAGTCAAGTAAAGAACACAGGAACCAGCTTGAAAAGGCACCCACTAGCTAGATCTGAATAATTTGTGCATCTAAAAATATAATACTGATCATCAAGTATTAAATATAATACATTTAACTTAAAAATCCATGAATCCATATTAAGGGGGAGTGGAAGGATGTGAGGGAAGTTCTTGCAAAATGCTATCTATTAAATGAAAAAGGGATTACAGAATTAGAACATAATCCCTTTGCAATCTTCACTGTAATTAATTCAGGCAAGAATCACCTATGAATGCCTAGAAGTACCTGGGAAAATATTATTGGGGAATAGGATATTCACATGATCTCACACAGTATCATCCCAGAGACTATTTACTAATCACAAAAGGACACAGGTACTTGTATATGGGAAAGCTACAGTAGTTAACACTTAACCAAACAATCCCATTCCACAATCACCAGTAGCAGACATCCTGTGCCTTCTGATGGGAAGTAGTAGTGATATCACCTCAGCTGTCTTCTTGCCAAAAAAAGTGAATCTAAAAAATGGGAAACAGACAAATCCAGAATATAGAACATCCTATAACTGGTCTACACTCTTCAAATTAGTCATAATTTTAAAAAAAGGCAGGGGAATTTTTCCAGATTAAAATGAGATTAAGAGGCATGACAATCAAATGCAATGTGTGAAATTTTATTGCATCCTGGATCCTTAAAAAATGGGATAATTCAACATAAAATGTACATGAGATGATATTATTGAATTATGATTAATTAGGAAGATTCAGCAACAGTAATAACCACAAAAACAATAATATTAGGGATGGTAGGATAATGTCCTTATTCTCAGGAAGTGTGGAAGTATTCAGGCAGGATGTTTAATGGTATCTATAACTTATTTTTAAAAGCTTTCTAAATAAATATATCACATACATAGAGAATCAAATGTGACAGAATGCAACAGATGGATCTTATGAGTGCTGCTTTTTCTTTTTATTTCAACTTTTTTTGCAGTTAGAAGTTTTTTTAAATTAAAAATTGAGGGAAAGAGGAAATATTTTTAATTTAAACATTCACTACTGTTTTTTCTTATTCCCTCTTAACCTTATTTTTTCTCATAAAAACTTATGTTCCTCAACCTCATGCCTCCTACTTAACTTATCCTTGGAGTTTGACAGCAATTAAAGTCATCTCCATCCTATACATTCAATATTCCAAATTTACATAGATTATAATTTAAAATTGAAAAATAAAATAGCATATCAAATAAAAGCCTAATGAGCAGTACAGTCTAGTAGACAATACATTAAAAGTTGAGTGGTAATTTGTTTCTATGCTTTGATTTTTTTTTTTTTTTGAGGCAAGCAATTTAACTATTTCTTCACAGAGATAGTTAAACGGAGCCTAGCTAATAATGAATTAATTAAACAGAAAAACCTTTTGGTAAAATTCACCACTCTCTTTTGCCCAATGCTCCCCACTAACTTCACAATGAAGTCCAACTTAACTAATTGCAAGGCCAGTGGCTGCAGTAACCCAACCCCTATCTTACTACATCTAAACATCATCTTTAACTCACCCACAAAATAGTCAGAAGCTATGCCAGAGATCAAGGAAAAAAATTACCAAAAGCTGCAGGTTAAATCAGTGAAAACTCAATCTAAATTTGGGGAATTTAATCTAAAATTGATGATGACAAAGCAGATGGCACACATATCCTCTTTCGGCATTTTGCCCAAAAAATAGGAAACCAAAGAAGAATTCTTATGCAACAAATGAACATGCTTTAGAGATGCTAAGTTTAAAAAAAAATTTAACTTGACATGTTCTTTACTTTGTTTTCCCATATGTCCTTTGAAAGTGGGGAATAGATGAACAAATAGATTTAAAGTTCAGCTTCCTCATCTTTAAGACATATTTCTAGTGGATACAGACTGCTTTAACCACATTAACCACCAATTTCACAAAACTAGTGAAAAATCTCTGAATAACTTCCTAGTCACTTTTCATCTTTGCTTCTTGACCAAAAACTGAGTTCTGCTAAAAAGTGCTTTCAAAAATTATAATGAACCTTAACAATTAACTGGCTGAAATTAACAAGTAAAGAAACCAAAACCCAAAATAAAGTTATCTTTCTTTATTCAAAAATAATAATTGTCTATAAAATAATAAAGAATAATTGTTTGTGGATTTAAATGTTTCATTATAGCTATCAATGACAAATAATGTATAGTACATGCGAATAGTCATAATACTAGGTTACTTTCCCTACTTTCAAACTCAAGCAGTTTAAAATATTAGTAAATTATTTCCACTTTTGTATATGTTTCAGCTTTTGTTTTTCTTTAGGCTAGTAAAAACTTTATCGTTTGTTTCCCTCAGCCAATTACCAGGAAACAACTTTTTAAATTACATAGGCATTTTAGAATTCTCACCGCCGCATCAAATCCATATGCTAAGAATATCTTGCCAAATAAATGAATTGCTTTTAGCGATGACCCATTTTAGAAGGAAAAAAAAAACTAACTAAAATTTTTGCAAGGGAAATTAAATTACTCTAATGGACTACTTACCTCAAAACCTACTTATGCTTTATCTACATTAAAACCATTCTAAGAAACAGTGTAAATGGTTGTTCCATTAATAATTTTGCTTTTTCAAAAATAAGCAAAAAAAAAAAAAAAGAACCCAGATGTTATGGTGCTGTAATATCTACGGTCTCCACGTATTTAGGTCTGCGCCTTTTACTGCTTTAAATAGTAGAATTTTTCTGAAGTAAAATAAGCATTGCTTACAAGTTCTTTATGCATTAATAAACTAAAAAGCAATAGCTACTCTTGTCGTTAGAAAAATATCTTCATAATTAAAAACTAACATTTATTGAGCATATTATATATACCAGAAACTATACTTTTCTTTTTCTTTTTTTTTTTTTTGAAATGGAATCTCGTTCTTGCTGCCCAGGCTGGAGTGCAGTGGCACGATCTTGGCTCACTGCAACCTCTGCCTCCCCAGGGTCAAGTGATTCTCCTGCCTCAGCCTCCTGAGTAGCCAGGACTACAGGTGCCAGCCACCACACCCAGCTAATTTTTTTTTTTTTTTTTTTTTTTTTGTATTTTTGGTAGAGATGCGGTTTCAGCATGTTGGCCAGGCTGGTCTCAAACTCCTGGCCTCAAAGTGATCTGCCTTCCTCAGCCTCAGAAACTATACTTTCTATGTATTACCCAATTTTCGAGACAACTCTCTGAGGTAGATAAAATTATTACCACATTTTAGAGAAGAGGAAGCTAAGATTCCGAGGAATTAAGTAACTCTGGCAGATTGCTAGGCATTCCCCAAAATCTAATCTCTCCTTCTTTCCTAGTAACAGCATTTTAGCTGGGTACATGACCATCCATGGAGAGAAAACACCTGCCTGCCCCTGACTGAGTGCAGGCATAGTCATAAGATTAAATTCTCACTGATGAAATGTTAGTGGAAGTAACATGCCATTTCCACATCTTGTGCTTCCCTCTGTTCTCACAGACTGGGGTACAAATGTGGATGAGGCATCTCTGACCGCACAGATGACAAGGGATGGCAGAGCAACAAAATACAAGAAATGGGCAGTGCTGTCCATCCTGACCCACCTGTTTCCCTTAAGTAGAAATAAGAGAGAAATAACAGAAAGAATGTTAAGACAAAAATAAGCTTCTGTCTTTACTGGGCCACTGTGCTTTGGAGAAGTGCCTATTATAGCAGCTTAGCTCATATCCAAACAATCATAGAAACTGGTGCCAGAAGTGGTGTGCTGATGTTACATAAATATAAAATATGAAGCGTTGGTTTGGCAGTTGGGTCCCTCAAAACAAGAAAGCAGATGTTGCTAACTGAAAAAGGTCATAAACTGGTGACCCTTGTTTGTCACAGTAAAATGCCTGCCAAACCTGTCACCTGAGACTCCCTTGAAGGCAGGCGGAATCACATGCCTATAGAGCCTATTGCCCTAGGGAAAGTAGATGATGGAAAGCGCAGGAATTAGATATTTCTCTGATTCCATATATTCAACCAGAATTAATTATCTAACGCTGATATGGGCCATTATCACAAAGAAATCCTGGAAATAATTATGTTCTTTGGCAAAAGTCATAGTCTTCTTTATCTTCTACAATAAAAATTTCAGTAGTAGGATGTCTTAATAAATCTGTTTCTAGATTAATTTCATTCCTCCCTAATGGGAATTAAACTGAAAGCCCTAAATAAAGTCTTCTCACATTTTGGAAATTAAGAAATGGAATATTTTATCTTAAAGCTTGAAAGAAAATATTTTAATCATGTTATCCAGTAAATATTTTAAGCACAGTTATCCAGTAAATCTTTCATTTTACTTTAACCTTACACATATCTAAAAATAAAGTAATTAATAAATATAATATTTCAAACATATTTCCTAGAAACATTGAATTGTTCTAATTGAAGGGTTTGCATGTTTTGCTACATTTGTTCTCTCTTTATTACCTTTTCATTTCCAAATTTTTTCAAGGATCCATTAAAACCTCATAACATGAAGTTGTGTGTCTGTTTCTTTTTAAAAATTTGGGAAAAAAGTCATTAGGACACTCAAATATATATCTAAATTAAAATCCTCTATGTTATGATAGTTACTTCTGTATTCCCATTATATGAAATCTTACATCCTAAAAGCATCTCAGACAATGCAGCCAACTTAAAAACTCAAACAGTACTTAGTTTCGCCCACTCCTATCTACTACAAAATGGAGACCTGAAGTGTGAGTAAAATACATGGGGGAAAATAAAAAGCCTAACAAAGCACTAAGCCAAAAACTAGGAAATACAGACAGCCCCTTACTTATGATAGGTGAGCTTACTTATGATTTTTCAATTTTACCATGGGTTTATCAGGACATAACCCCATAATAAATCCAGAAGCATCTGGACTTAACCATGGTTTGACTTACAATTTTTCAGCTTTACAATGGTGTGAAAGCAACATGCATTCAGTTGAAACCGTACTTTAGATTCTGAACTCTGATCTTTTCCTGGCCTAGCAATATACAATGTGATACTCTTGCAATGCTGGGTAGTGCGGTAAGCCACAGATCCTAGTCAGCCACACAATCGCAAGGGTAAAAAACCAATACTTACTAACTTCTTGAAGAGCACTACGCCCACTAAACCATCAACAAGTATAGATACTCCAGGGTCCCCTACCAGCTACTCTCGAGCCTCATCAGGAGACAGAGAAATTGATAACCTGGTCGCTGTAGCATCCCCAGCATCCACAATTAATTTTAGTTCAATGCTTCAAACATCCCAGGTCCAGGGTGTTTTCAGTTGTGTATGTTAATTGTGAATGCCCATATAACCATCCTGTTTTTTACTTTCAGTGCAGTATTCACTAAATTACATGAGATGTTCACAGCTTTGTTATAAAATAGGCTCTGGCTGGGAAAGGCGGCTCATGCCTGAAATCTCAGCACTTTGGGAGGCCAGGGAGGAGAATCACTTGAGGCCAGGAGTTCAAGACCAGCCTGGGCAACATAGTGAGACCCCATCTCTCCAAAAACTTTGAAAAAAGAAATAGCTAGGCATGGTGGTACACATCTGTAACCTTGGCTACTCAGGAGGCTGAGGCAGGAGGCTCACTTGAGCCCAGGAGTTCAAGGTTATAATGAGCTATGATTGTGCCACTGCACTCCAGCCTGGGTGACAGAGTGAGACACTGTCTCTAAACTAAACTAAACTAAACTAAACTAAACTAAAATAAAATAAAATAGGCTTTGTGTCTCAAGCATCAACTTCTCCTTAATAAATAAATACCATAAAGAAGAAAATGACTTCTGTCTACTTTTTCCATATGATACTTTTTTATGCTTCTCTATTCTACACACATACATTTTTCCCTTGAGAAACCTTAATTTTGTCATATTATTTATCTTCCTGCTAAGACAGGGAAAGTTTACAAATAAAGGTACTAGATCCTAACATCAGTTCCATCACTAGGGGGACCCTCTATCTGAGACTTCCCAGGACCCCCGATTTGTGCCTATTGTCCCAGTGTAATTATCATACTCAAAGATGTACCAGGATGTAGGATAAATTATAATGAACACACTATCTCTCATAAATGAGCTGTGTGAACTTAAGCAAGTTACAAAACTTCTTTAGGACTCAGTTTCTTCTGTGACCAAATGAGAATAACACCTATATGTGAAGGCACATGGAAAAGTGCTATATAAACCCAAGTTATTACTAATAAGGACACAAGAACCAGGCATGGTGGCACATGCCTGAAGTCCCAGCTACTTGGGAAGCTGAGGTAGGAGAATGCCTGAACCCAGGAGTTCAAGCCTATAATGCGCTATGATCACACCTGTGAATAGCCAACGCACTCTAGCCTGGACATCACAGCAATACCTTGTTTCTGAAAATAAAAGACACAAGAGATATCCAAATGCATTTTCAGAAGGCGGCACTGGCACTGTTACCCTTTAGCTTGCTTTGTATGGTTCTAAAAGTCTCAATAGATATGACTGCAAACACAGAAAGTCATTAAACGTTGTAAGGTCCTGTTTTCTTAACTATAAAATAAAATGGATACACTAGATGATCCTTATGGTACTTTACAACACGAGAAATGTAATTACCATAATCATTTTAGTCAATTATCTCAGATTATAATGAACATATCATTTATATTGCACCTATCAAACCAGCTACCTTCTGAATTCACAAATTTATCGACGTCAGAGTCATAAATCAAGCTTGCAAACTTATCTGGTTGGGCAGCACAGTATTTTATTGAAATGTTTAAATTATTTGCTCAACTATCACAAGGACAGAAACCCAAACACTGCATGTTCTCACTCATAGGTGAGAATTAAACAATGAGAACACTTGGGACACAGGGTGGGGAACATCACACCCCGGGGCCTGTCATGGGGTAGGGGGTAGGGGGAGGGATAGCATTAGGAGAAATACCTAATGTAAATGACGAGTTGATGGGTGCAGCAAACCAACATGGCACATGTATACCTATGTAGCAAACCTGCATGTTGTGCACATGTACCCTAGAACTTAAAGTATAATTTAAAAATAGAAATAAATTATTTGCTCACTTCTCAAAATAAAAAGATTTCACATACAAATTATTATTTCTGATTTTTCTTGAAAAATTGGCATATCTAGCTAGTATCATGGGACAATAACCAGCAATAGCCAGTAGAAGCTTTCCCTTTAGAAAGTGCATGTGAGGTCCAGTTTGCCAGACTCTTCACCCCATTTGCTTCACGGACTTATGTTACCTGCTTGTGCAGTGCAGGTATTTGAGTTTGTTTCCCTGATGTTCAAAGAACGTATGGCCACTCACATCTATCTCAATGACTAAAACTGTAACTTTCTTTCCCTAAATATATTTCCCCAATAACCTACTAATTTATCAATGAAATTTAGACTATGAAATGCTGTGTTAATTGCTTATTCAAAAGAACTACAATACTTCTTACCCTTATACTCTTCCTTTACACAAAAATAATAACAAAGCACAGCAGTTTAAGGATTCAACTAGGAATCAGAAGTCAGATTACATTTAATTTTGTAATGTACTCATTTCCTAATCCCTGACATGGCTTTGTGTCATTTAAAATTGTTTAAACTTTATCACTTTAAACACAAGAGAACAAGTGAGGTAATGTCTAATGTTTGGGAATAAACAGCAAACAATACTTAGTTGTGTCTACTGAAGAATGTATCAAAAATAACAAAATCTGAGCAAATCATTAAGTCTACTGGCCTATTAAAAATTATCAAGTTGAGGCTGGGCGCAGTGGCTCACACCTCTAATCCCAGCACTTTCGGAGGCCAAGGTGGGTGGATCACTTGAGGTCAGGAGTTTGAGACCAGCCTGGCCAACATGGTGAAACCCCAAGTCTACTAAAAATACAAAAATTAGCCGGGTGTGCTGACAGTTACCTGTAATCCCACCTACTCAGGAGGCTGAGGCACGAAAGGCATGGGAAGCGGAGGTTGCAGTGAGCCGAGATCATGCTACTGCACTCCGGCCTGGGCAATGGGATGAGATTCTGTCTCAAAAAAAAAAATAAAAGAAAAATCAATTATCAACTTGGGTATTTCTGTAGATGCTTCCATACAAAGCAAAAATAAACCAATCATACACCCAAAAGAATTGAAAGCAAGGTCACAAAGAGATGTTTGTACACCTATGTTCATAGCAGCATTAATCACAATAGCTAAAAGGTAGAAGCAACCCAAGAATCCATCAAGGAATGAATGAATAAAAAATTGTGGTATATGCATACAGTGAAATATTTCAGTCTTACAAGGGAAGGAAATTCTGACACATACTACAACATGGAAGAATCTTGAGGGCATTATGTTAAGTGAAATAAGCCAGTCACAAAATGACAAATACTGTATGAGTCCACTTATATGAGGTAGCAAGAGCAATCAGATTCAGAAATTCAGAAACAAAAAGTAGCGTAGTGACTGCCAAGGACTGATGGAAGAGGGACACAGGGAGTTTTGTTTAATGGGTACAGGGTTTCAGAAGTTTTTGTTTTGTGTTTTTTGAGACAGGATTTCACTGTGTTGCCTAAGTTGGAGTGCAGTGGCATGATCTCGGCTCACTGTAACCTCCAGCTCTTGGACTCAAGCGATCTTCCCACCTCAGCCTCTCAAGTAGCTGGGATTATAGGTGTGTGCCACCATGCTTGGCTAATTTTTTAAATTTTTGTACAGACGAAGTCATACTGTATTGCCCAGGTTTGTCTCAAACTCATGGGCTCAGGCGATCTACTCACCTCAGCCTCCCAAAGTGCTAGGATTACAGGCATGAGCCACCATGCCCCAGAGTTTCAGTTTTGCAAGATGAAAGAGTTCTAGAGATTGGTTGCATAACAGTGTGAATGTACTTAACATTACTGAATTGTACATTTAAAAATAGTTTAAGATAGCAAATTTTATGGTATATGTTACAATAGACTAAATGTTTGTGCTTGCCCCCTCCAAATTCATGTTGAAACCCTACTCCCAATGTGATGGTATTTGGAGGTGGAGACTTTGGGAGGTAATTAGGTCACAAGGGTAGAGCCTTCATGACTGCGATTAGTATCCTTATAAGAAGTGGCCACAGAGTTAGCTAGCTCCCTTTTTGCCATGTGTCTACACAGCCACAAGACAGCTGTCTATAAGCCAGAAAGAGGGCCCTCACCAAGAACCCAACCCTGCTGGCACTCTGATCTTGGTTGTCCAACCTCCTGAACTGTGAGAAGTAAATATCTGTTATTTAAGCAACCCAGTTTATGGTATTCCGTTATAGCAGTCAGAGCTGACTAAGACGTGTATATTACCAAATTAAAAGTCTTTTAAAATCTACACATGGACTTTTCTTTAAGTATGTACCTATGGGAGAAGAGGGGTGGAAAAACAGATGACAAAGATGAGAAATGCGATAATACAAACCATGTTTCAAGATCTAAAAAAGAAAACAATCAAATAAAACATCAGGAGAGTGGCAGGCAGTTTTATAATTCAGTAAGAGGGGAAAACACTTTCAGAATGACCGAATAAAGACCCCCAGAAATTTGTTTCTCCATAAAAGCAATAAGAATGCTGACCAAAAAAAAAAAAAAAATGTCAAAATCAACTTTTTCACAACTCTGGAAATCAAAAATAGGCTTACAACATTATGAGGATGATTTACTCAAGAAAAATATCTAAGTCTCAATAAGGACAGTGTGCTTTATTTTTTTTAATTTTTTGCCCTATTTCCATCACTCTCTCCCCAGCATCACAGGACCCTTGAAAACCCAGATCCTTGTAGCCATGGTAACTATGGAAAACAGCACTCTGGCAGAGTGCATGGACAAGGGAGCAAACAGGTCTGGAGCTCCTCAAAAAGGCCCTAACCCAGAAAATTATCACTATATGACCTGGCAGTTAGCTGGAAAAGCCCTATTCTCAGGACTTGTCTTAATAGGACCTGACTCAGTGCCCACTCAATGGGAAAAGCCGTATCCCCACAGCATGTGTTGAAAACAATCAGCTGCAATTGCCGAACACTGCGGATGCCTCGGCAGCAATACCAGCTGTGGCAAACAAGAGGCTGGGGAAACAGAACAGTTCGACAAGAAAAAGAAATAAAAGGCATCCAACTCATAAATGAAGAAGTAAAATGATCTCTGTTTGCAGGTAACATAATAATATACATAGAAAACCCTACAGACTCAACAACAACAACAAAAAAAAAACAGTGAGAAATAATAAACAGCTAGACAGGATGGTGCATGCCTGTAATCCCTGCTACTTGGGAGACTGAGGCAAGAGGATTGCCTGAACCCAGGAGTTCAAGACCAGCCTGGGTAATACAGTGGGATCCCCATTTCAAAAAAAAAGTTCCAGGATACAAAATCAACATTATAAAATCACTGGTGTTTCTATACACAACCAACAAACTAGCCAAAAAGGAAATTAAGAGAATAATCCCATTTACAATAGCGACAAAAAACAAAATACTTGGCTAGGCATGGCGGCTCACGTCTGTAATCCCAGCACTTTGGGAGGCTGAGGCGGGCAGATCACTTGAGGTCAGGAGTTCAAAACCAGCCTGGCCAACATGGTGAAACCCCGTGTCCACTAAAAATACAAAAATTAGCTGGGCGTGGTGGTATGCACCCATAATCCCAGCTACTCAGGAGGCTGAGGCAGGAGAATTGCCTGAACTCAGGAGGCAGAGGTTGCGGTGAGCAGAGATAGCACCACTGCACTCCAGTGTGGGCGATAGAGTGAGACTCTGTCTCAAGAAGAAAAAAAAAAAGAATAAAATACTTAGGAATAAACCTAACCAAAGAGGTGAAAGACTTGTGCATCAAAAATTACAAAATATCAATGAAGAAAATTAAAGATACAGACAAATAAAAAGACATCCGTGTTCATGGATTGGAAGAATTAATAACATTAAAATGTCCACTCTACACAAAATGATCTACAGATTCAATGAAATTCCTATCAAAATTCCAATGGCATCCTTTACAGAAATTTTAAAATATCCTAAAAATTACACAGAACCACAGAACACTAATAGCTAAAGCAATCTTGAGCAAAAAGAGCAACACTAAAGGCACCACATTTCCTAATTTTAAAACATATTACCAAGTTACATTAATCAAAACAGTATGGTACCAGCATAAAAAACAGACATATAGCCTAACGGAACTGAATAAAAAGCCAAGAAATTAATCTACTCATTTACAGTCATCTGATCTTTGACAAGAATGCCAAGAACACATCACAGGGAAAGGATAGTCATTTAAATACATGGTGTTGGGAAAACTAAATATCCACATGCTGAGGTGAAAGGATTGCTGCTTGAGCCCAGGAGTTCAAGCTTACGGTGAGCTATGATCATACCACTATACTCCAGCCTGGGTAACAGAGCAAGGCCTTGTCTCAAAAAAAAAAAAAAAAAAAAAAAAAGGCAAAGATCCCGAACAGACATTTTGCAAAAAAAAAAATACAATTGGCCAACGTATGTATGAAAAAATGCTTAACATCACTAACCACCAGAGAAATGCAAATCAAAACCACAATAAGATATCACCTCACACTTTTTAGAATAGCTATTATCAAAAAGACAATATTGGCAAGAATTTGGAGAAAATGGAACTCTGGTACACTTAGTGAGAATGTAAACTGGTACAGTCATTGTGCAAAACAATATGGAAGTTCCTCAAGAAATTAAAAATAGAATTACCACATGATCTAACAATCTCATTTCTGGGTATATAACCCAAGGAAATGAAATTAGTATCTCAAAAAGACATCCGCACTCCCATGTTCAAAGCAGCATTATTCATAATATCCAAGGTATGGAAACAGTCAAATGTCCATCAGTACATGAATGAATAAAGAAAATATGGTGTATGTATATAGATATATACACACAGTCATGAGCCACATAATTACATTTAACATAGACAATGGGCTGCATAGATGACAGCTGTATTAGTCCATTTCGCATTGCTATAAAGGAATACATAAGACTGGGTAATTTATAAAGAAAATAAGTTTATTTAGCTCATGGTTCTGCAGGCTGTACAAATAGCACCAATATATGCTTGGCTTCTGGTGAGGTCTCAGGAAACTTTTACTCATGGTGGGAGGCTAAGCAGGAGCAGGCGTGTCACATGGCAAGAGGAAGCAAGAGAGCTGCCAAGCTCTTTTAAACAACCACCTCTTGCATGAACTAACAGAGCAATAACTCACTCATCACCAACGGGAGGGCACCAAGCCGTTTATGAGGGATCCACCCCCTCATAAATGAGTGGGACCCAAACCTCCCACTAGGCCCTATCTCCAACATTGG
This sequence comes from Homo sapiens, assembly GCF_000001405.40. Classification (NCBI taxonomy): domain Eukaryota; kingdom Metazoa; phylum Chordata; class Mammalia; order Primates; family Hominidae; genus Homo; species Homo sapiens. Next base: position 196,575,995 of record NC_000002.12, read on the forward strand.
GGATCACATTTCAACATGAGATTTGGAGGGAACAAATATCTAAACTATATTAACGGTGGTCTCATAAGATTATAACACCATATTTTTACTATACCTTTTCAGTGTTTATATATGTTTAGATAGACAAATACTTACCATTGTGTTATAATTGTCTACAGTATTCAGTACAAACCTGCTGTACAGGTTTGTACCCCAAGAGCAATAAGCTATACCATATATACCATATAGCCTAAGTGTGTAGTAGGCTATACCATCTAAGTTTGTGTACATACATACTTTGATGTTCACACAATGACTAAATTGCCTAATGACACATTTCATAGAAATTATCCCCATCATTAAGTGATGCATGACTGTACATGTATGTACAATGAAATATTATTTAGTCTTAAAAAAGAAGGAAATCCTGCCATTTGTGACAACATGAATGAACCTGGAAGACATTATGCTAAGTGAAATAGTCCAGAAAGACAAGTACTGCATGATCTCACTTATATGTGGAATCGAAAACAGTCCAACTCAGACGCACAGAGTAGAATAGTGGTTGCCAGGAATTGGGAAGGTGGGGAAAATGGGGATATATTCGTCAAACATACAAAGTTTCAGTTATGCAAGATGAATAGGTTCAAGAAATCTAACATACCGCATGATATCTATAGTTGGCAACACTAATTGTATACTTCAAATTTGCTAAGATGATAGATCTTAAGTGTTCTCACCACAAAAAAAAGATAACCATGTGAGATAACAAATGTTAACAAGCATTGTGGTGATCATTTCACAATGTATACACATATCAAAACACCAAATTATACACATTATAAATATATAATTTCTATTTGTCAGTTATACCTCAATAAAGCTGGAAAAAGGTTTATTAGAAAAAAAGGAAATGGATGTAGAAATAAAAATAAACCATTGGATTCATCAGTCAATCCAGTTTTCAATCATCTAAGAATAAAAATGTTTTCCACTTATACAGGAAGGAAAATGGCTGAAGACTCTTCAACAAAGTTATGATACATCAAATATTTCAAAATGATGCAAATAACGGATTTTGTCAAGGCAAGTGTAAGAAGAAGGAAAAGAGATAATGATAGGCTAGAACTTATTAGGGACATATTTGAATCTCAGAATCAGTATTTACAAGGTGGATATGTTCCAGGTTCATATACACCACATGTCTCCACATGCAGCTGGTTGCATTCACAGAATGTTGCCCAATTGGAATATATATGCCTTCAAAACCAGAAAAATATAAGGAAAAAATTAGGTGTGCTGTGCTTAAGTTTCTATTATAACTTCTAATTATGTTGTTTTTCTACTATACCTTTATTTTTACTTTTGCAAATTAGTCATTTTATTAAAAAGTCATTTATTAAATTTTACTAAATATAATAATGTTAGTCATCTATTTAAGGCTTTGATATTAACAAAGAAAAAGGATCTATTAGACCTGATGTTGGGGGAAAGACTGGCAAAAAGAAAAAATTTAAAAGAAAGATCTGGGGAATGAGATGTCCATATAGGTCTTTGCAAAGCTCTGACGTATTCCTTAGACTCTAGAACGCCACATGTATTTACTCATACCCAAGACATACCTAAGAAGGCTCTAATCTCTGGCTCACCTTGAGGATGTGTGCAAGCAGTAAGTGAAGGCTAAGGCAGAATTGTCAACTGTCTTGCTGATTGTCGAAGGTATGCCCCCAACATGTACACAGAGCTCTCAGCAATGACTGAGATTTACTAGTCCAAGGCAATTAAGGAAATCTCTTTCAACCATCAGCTGACCACTAATATAACCAGACAGAGACTCCAGTAGCTACATATGACAAAGAATACAGACTACAGAATTCATTCTGAAGTCAATAAATAAACAACAACAACGAGCAACAATACCACATCCTCGAGAGGGAGGACAATCTATGTCACATTATCTTACTTGAAATGTCCACTTTTCAACAGACTTACAAGACATACAAATAAACAGTAAAGCATGGCCCATTCACAGGAAATAAAGCAGGCAATCAAAAAATCCTAGGTGTTGGACATACCAGACCAAGACTTTACATAGGCTATGTAATAGGTTCAAATTACTAAAGTAAATCATGTCTAAAGAATTAAAGTACAGTATAAAAATGATGCTTCACCAAAGAATATCAATATAAAGAAAAAAGCTTTAAAGGACCAAAAAGAAGATGTGGAGTGGAAAAATACAGTAATTGAAATGAATAATTCACTAGAGGGGTTCAATAGTAGATTTGAACAGGCATAAAAAAGAATCAGTGTACTTGAAGATATATCAACTGAGGTTATGCTGTCTTAGGAATAGAAAGAAAAAGAACAAAGAAAAATTAACAGAGCTTCAGAAACCTGTGAAACACCCACAAGCAAAGCAACATATGCACACTGGGAGTTCCAGGAAAAGAGGAAAGAAATTGAAAGGATATTTTTAAGATTAGTGGCCATACATTTCTTGAATTTGATGAAAACCATTAACCTATGTATCCAGGAGGCTCAAACAAACTCCAAACAGGATAAACTAAAAAAGATTCACACCAAGGTACATCATAGTCAAAATGTCAAAACACAAAGAGAGAAACGAAAGCAGTATGAAAAAAATATTCCAGCATGTACAGGGAACCTGAATAAAAATAACAGTTGATTTCTCATGAGAAACCAAGGATGCCAAAAGGCAGCAGTATAACAATTCAAAGTGCTGAAACAAAAGGTCAACCAAGACTTCTATAACTGGGAAAACTATCCTTCAAAAAATGAAGGCAAAATTAAGCCATTCTCAAATAAGCAAAACTTGAGAGAATCTGTCACCATCACATCCTACAAGAAATACTAAAAGGAGTCCTTGAGGCTGAAATAAAAACAACACCAAACATTAACTCAAAGCCACACAGAAATAGAGTATTGGTAAAGCTATCTACACAGAGAAGATAAATATATTTATATTTATAACCCTTTCTTTTTATCTAATTTAAATGACAATTGCATAAAGCAATTATTTAAAAAGTGTAGTCACGGGTTTATAATGTATAAAGATGTAATCTGTATTACAATGAGAGCAAAGTGAAGTATTGGAGTGAAGTTTTATATACTTCTGAATTTAAGTTGATTAATCTGAACTAGGTTGTTTTAAGTAAAGAAGTTAATTGTAATCCCCAGAGCAACTACTAAGAAAATAACTCAAAAAATATCATAACAGTATCATCAGGAATTATGGAGTAAACACCTATGAAAATCTCCTCCTCCAGAAAAATATCAACAAGAGAATTAAAATGGTACACTGGAAAATATATATTTAACACAAGATAAGACAGTAATGGAACTCAGGAACTCTTCTACAAGACAAGTAGAAGACATGTAGAAAACAAACAGGAAAGAGACAGACATAAATGCTACTTGATTATCAGTAATTACATTAAATGTTTAAGTAAATTAAACAATCCAGTCAAATGGCAGAAATTGGCAGAAAATACTTTTTAAGTGATCCAACTATATGCTGTCTACAAGAGATACTGTATAATCAGAGATAAAAATAGAATAAAAATTTTAAGTCGAAAAATATATATACCATGTGTTATGGGATGAATTGCCCTCCTACAAAAACACTTCATATATTGAAGTACTAACCCCAAGTAGTTCAAAATGTAACTAAATTTGGAGATACAACCGGTAAGAAGTAATTAAGTTAAAATGAGGCCATTAGTATAGACCTTAATCTAATCTGACAGGTGTCCTTATAAGAAGAGGAAATTCTGACACACAGATAGACACCAGGGACATACATGCACAGAGGAAAGCCTATATGAGAACACAGCAAGAAGGTGACCACCTGAAGCCAAGGAGAGAAGCCTCAGAAGAAACCAAACTTGCCAACACCTTGATCTTATACTTCCAGCCTCCAGAATTGCAAGAAAATAAATTTCTGTTGTGTAAGTCACCCAGAGTGTGGTATTTTCTATGACAGCCCTAGCAAACCAATACAACATGATAACAGCAACCAAAAAAAGAGTTGGAGTGATAATATTAGTATCAGACAAAATAGACTTTAAGACAAAAATTGTTACTTAAGACAAAGAAGGATATTCTGTAATGATAAAAGGATCAATTGAAAAGGAAAACATAATGATTATAAACATATATGCACTTAACAACAAGGCAGCAAAATACATGGGCAAAAACTGACAAAGCTAAAGGGAGAAATGGACAACAATAGTCAGAGACATCAATATCCCACTTCTCCTCATGGATAAAACAACTAAAGATCAACAAGGACAGTTATAACACCAAAAGCACAAGGAACCATTTTTAAAAAGGTGAGTTGGATTTCATTAAATTTATAAACTTTTCTGCTTCAAAAGACACTATCAATAAAGTGAAAAAACAATCTACAAAACAGAAGAAAATATTTGCAAGGCATATATCTCTTAAGGGTCTAGTATCCATAATACAAGGAAGTCTTAAAACTCAACAATAAAAAGACAACTCTATTTTTTAAATTAGCAAAGAATTTGAATA